>NC_000003.12:60616060-60919090 GCF_000001405.40 Homo sapiens | reverse complement strand
CCTTTGCTTACTTTAAAGGTTGACTCTGCTTTGTGTCTGGGTAGGTAGTGACCCAGATATTTAGTCCATGATTGACTGCCATTAAAGCAACTCCCTTTTTTTTACCCATAGAAGTTTACATATGAATAAAATTATATGTTATTCCATAAATAAAAGCCCTTATCATAAATAGGGAGTAAAAGTTTAAAGAGAAGTACAAAAAATAAAAAGTAAAATAATGCCATTCAGATTGGCAAGTGTTACTAAGGTGTTTAACAATTAATGCTGAATTAATACTTTTTCATTGCATGTATTAGAAAGATTAAAATCAAATGGAAAGAGATATAACTTTATTATTCTTTGGTTTGTCCTGTCAGTGGACCATGTAACACCAAGGTTCCATGCTTTGATGTTTGGGGAACACTGGTATAATCTATGTGTCTGCCCCTGCTGTGCTCTCACCCCAAATGCCTTCTTCCTCCTGGTTTCCTTTCCCAGATCTTCTCCAGCCTTCTTTTTGAACCATTCCTTCACCCTCTCAGCCTACACAAATCTCTCCTCCTCAGAACTCTCTGACACTTATTGCCTGCCCTACTCATGTTGGCTTTTGATCATTAACTCTTTTTAGTTGTCATTTCAGTAGTTTATATTTCATGTCTTGCCTCCCAAATTATATGCAAGTTTTTGTCTCTAAACTATATAACAGATAGACACTGGGACCTATGTTTCTGGAATTTCTTATCTAATAAGAGTTTAGTAAATGTTTGCTGAGTTGAATGAATTTAACCAAAGTCAGGTAGATGCTGTTTTCTCAACTATGGGTGTATTAGTCAGTTCTCACACTGCTAGTAAAGACTGGCTAATTTATAAAGAAAAAGAGGTTTAATGGACTCACAGTTTCACCTGGCTGGGGAAGCCTCACAATCATGGTGCAAGGCAAAGGAGGAGAAAGGCATGCCTTACATGGCTGCAGGCAAGAGAGCTTGCGCAGGGGAACTCCCATTTATAAAACCATCAAATATTGTGAAACTTAATTACTACCACGAGAACAGTATGGGTGGAAGTGCCCCCATGATTCAATTATCTCCACCTAGCCCTGCCTTTGACATGTGGGAATTATAAGAGTTACAATTCAAGATGAGATTTAGGTGGGCACACAACCAAACCATATCAATGGGTGTAGTTCACAGTCATAGTATGTTTTTCTGTCTGGTTGGGATGCACTTTTTTATCTTTGCTTCTTCTCATCTTCATTGAAGTTACATTCTAGTAGGGGATATACAGAATGAACAGATATACATCTAACTACATCATATAATGTCGAGTGGAGTTAAATGATATAAGGAAAGTAAATCTGCATGCATTTGATAAAGAGTTTTGGGTTATTTTTTAGATAGGGTGGTCAAATAATCCTTTGTGATGAGGTGACATTTGAGGACATACCTGAATAAAGTGAAGGAGGAAAAACATCTGAATATTTGGGGGTCTAACCTTTTAGCTGGAAGCAGCAAGACCTGAGGGTCTGAGTTGGGAATGTGCTTGATAGAGGCCAGTGTAGGGAGGAGAAAGAAGTGGTAGATGGATTCCATATGTGGCCTTGCCAGCCATGGCAAAGATTTTAGATTTTAATTATGAGCAAAACCAGTAGAGGGCTGAAAAGAAGGAAATGATGCGATCTGATTTATATTTTTTAGAAAATCATTTCAGCTGCTGTGTAAAGAAGAGGCTGAAGGGGACAAGAAGAGAGGCAGGTGGCCAGTCAGAAGGCTCTGGCTGTGTGCCAGGGAAGGCAAGCATGGTTTGGAGCCTGGTAATCTTAGCACACAAAGTAGGAAGTAGTAACAGATTAGGGATAAATTTTGAGGGCAGAGCAACTGTGTCATTCCTTCTAATTTATTTACTACTATCCAATGCTTTCAAAGTAGTATTCTCTGTTGGCATTTATTTTCATTTTACAATTCTGTTAAGCCTTAAGTTTTATTTCTATTTACCCAATATTCTTTCATATACAGTTGTTTTTGAGATGGTGCTTAATGACTAATTAGCCAGTAAAAACTAGGGTTCTATCTGGGGCAAGAATGTGTTCCCATGGCAAATTTATTTATCTGACTTTTCAAAAGTAATTGCATTTTTGTATTCATTCTTGAACACTGTTTCAAAAATGTTGTCATTTCCCCAAATGACTATTTGGGAGATGGATTTTTTTATGCGATTCTAATTCTGTATTCTCTTCCTTTTAATACTCCCATCTCCACTTTATATTACAAACTTCATCAGACTACTGCATGCTATTATAGCTGTCGTCACCATGGGAAGAAAATGACTAATTGAAACTGCTTATTGATATAATAGAGCAGGTTGTGACACTTGGCGAGAATGCTGGAACGATGGGTTCCAGCTGATGTTATGTAAAAATATTCAGCCATGAAATATGCACTTGTGGATGGCTTTCTGCAGATGTCTGCAGAATGCAGATAATCTGTCTTCTGAGAAGGTCTGCAAATTAAAGGTCTCTCTGACCAGTTAGAATTATACCACAGTGAGGATGGTGATGCAGTGGGTAATGAAATGGCCTTGAATCTTGGGCAATAATGATTATAACTGCCTATGGTTATAAGCAAAAATGGGTGATTTTTACCCCGACTCTTTTTAAGAGAGAAAGGATCAGTTGGCAGAAAAATGATGAACTTTTGGTTGTTTTGGAATTCCTTCAATGCAAGATGTATTGGTATCATGAATAGAAGCATGAATTGTTATATTGTCTTTGGAAAGCTATTTGGCTCTAACTATCAAAATAGAATGCATATATACCTTTTGACCTAGCAGTTCCATTTCTAGTAATTTATTTTAGAACTATAGTCATGCAGGTGCACAAAATTCTATGTACAAAAATATTCGCCATGGCATTGCATTTAACAACAAATGATTAAAAACAGCTTAAGTGTCCAAGCAATAGGAGAATCTGTAAATAAATTATGGAATATCTATACTTTATAATCTTTGTAATAAAATTAGACCATCACAAAAATGGGTCTATACAGAACCATCTCTATGACATTTTTAAGTGAAAAATGGGTTAGAATATGCCATTATTTGTAGTCATGGAAATTTAAAATGTGTGTATATGTTCACATATGCATATGTTGAAGAGGGTACAGAGATCATTAACAGCATGAGTGGGAAGACATTTTTCAACGTACTTTGGTGTGGTTTCAATTTTTCACTTTGTATGTATATTATCTATTTAAAAGCTATAAATTAAGACAATTGTGGATATTATATCTATGTATATTTTTACTCCCTGATGTAAAGATGTATTTGGTTCTTTCTGGGCTGTATTGTACTTGACTTTTGTTTTGACAGTATTTCTTGGTATGGCATTTATAACTTTATTTTAGAACACCTAAAAGTTTCTTTTAGAACACCTTTTATGAGGATATCATTGTGCTGACACTTCTAGTATTGAGGTGGTGACTCCCCTTCTTTCTTTATTTCTTGTCATGACTTTATGGAAATGTAGTTCTAACACTTTCTTCCAATGCTTCTATCCTTCCTGTCCAGGACAGCTATCTGTTCGAATAAATGGCAAAATCATTCAAATCCACTGGCTATTGAATATCTAATGGGTATATTTATGAAAATGCTCGGAAGCCTCTGAAATTATAGGCTCAGTTCTTTTCAACAACAAATAGAAGTTAAATACTAGTAATACTGCTTATTATAAACTTTTAATAAGCCCTCTTCTTCCCCAACAAGGTAAAGAGCAATTTTTTGAACTGTGTGGCCAAAAGCTGTGTCATTCCCCACTTTTATATGTGGTATCAGGAGGCCCTGAGAACAATGTTTAAAATGTTTTAATCATTGTTATTGAAGGAATTAATGTATGGTACTATTCAGAAATCCCATTGCTCATATTAGGTTTCTGGTGTGAGTAGGGGCAAAGAAGAAAAAAAAGACATGGAAGAAAAATACACTCCTAAAAAAGTTAAATAACAACTTGTAAATTTCACTCTCTGTTGTTGGAAAACCAAGTCATTATACATGAATCTGTAAAAAAACAAGTGTTCGGAACATTGAGGTGTATGAACTATGTAGTGTAATCAGAGCTTATTTTCCTGCAGTGGAGATTGAAATTTATACGTTTCTTCTAAGCAGCACCTTTCATTCCATTTTTATTTTCTAAGGGAGAGTGAAATTTACAAGGCTACTTAACAATACCAAAAGTGTTAGTTCCTACACAATGAATAGTGAAGTTTACAAGTTGCCATTTGGCAATGCCTACATTTCTGTTTGTTTGTTCCCCCACCCTCTCTACAAGGTATAATAAAATTTATAAGGTTCATAAAAACCCTTCATTATTAATACAAGGTTATATTGCTGGTGGGGATTCCACAAATAGCTTATGAACATATCTAAAGGGAGAAGTAAAGGTGGACGTTATGAGGCAGGAAATTCTTTCAGGAACATTGAATTGATAATCATCATTGAAGAACATGCAGATACTCATTCATGGCCTTGTGTCCCTATGACCCCATTCCCTTGGCTCCTTGATTCTGTTGTATCCTTTGTGTGTATTTCATTGGACCTTTTTTTTTTTTGAAAACCTTACTCATTTTCCTATGCAAGTCTTACTCACTGCACAACCGTCCTTCCATGGCCATTCTCCTCCCCTTCCATTCTCTCTTCTGAACACTCAGGATGGTTATTGTGTGCACGATTAATTAAATAAATGGTTCATGGCCTTAGGACATCATTTCTGTTATTATCTGGCACTGCTACTTAAATATTTTATTATTACAGTATTTTATTGTTATTAAAATTTCAAGATATGTATTCCTTATTTTACCAATTGTATTATAACAAGCTCCTTGATGGGAGATATCATGTCTTAAAATTCCTTATGCTCCCAATGGGACCTCGCATATAGTTGTGTAATTGAAATGAAGTGGCTGTTTGACCAATCAGGAGAACAGAGAGATGAAGAAAGTGAAAAGTAACAGATACTCTGTGGTAGCTTGTCTGCAAAAACTGTTGCTAACAAATCCTTCCACACTGTCTGTGCAGACCTCTTCTCCCGTCAAGAAATAAAGTCTTTTTTCTCCCCTTGACATTTGTTTGCCTTTTGACTCAATTCGATCAACAGAAAATGGCAGAAATGCACAGTGCCAGTTCCAGATTTAGACTTTAAGATGGCTGACTTCACTGTCTTGGAGCCTGGTGCCATCACTTAAAGAAGTCTGATCATGCTGCAGGAGAGAGACCACTCCATTTGGAAAGAGGTCCTGAAGAACAACAAAGACATGGAGAGAGGCCCAGCCAGCCCCCAACTGTCCCAGCCAGGTCAGCCAAGGGCATGTGAATGAAGGGAAGCCAGCTTGCATCTTGCAGTCTGTGTTGAACTACCCCAGTCAACACCATATGGAGCAGAGATGAGCCGTCTCACTGAGCCCTGCCAATATTGAAGAAGCAGGACAAATAAATTGTTGTTTAAAGTCACTAACTTTTGGGGGTGGTTTATTAAGTTGTAAAGATCACAGAAACACACCCAAAGTGGGATAAGCAGTACATTAAATTTTGTGGTCCACAGCAGTGCTTTTCAGACTTTAATATGCCTACAAATCATCTGGAGATCTTATTATAATTCTGGAATACAGAAGGTCTAGGGTGAGACCTAAGACTCAGCATTTCTATGAAGTCCCCAGGTGAAACTGATGTTCTGTTCTGTGGTTCACAGTTTGAGTAGCATGGGTGAAAACAGGCAAGCCCATCCATTCAAAGATTTACAAGTTGCTTATTATTATCAGGCAGATTATACTTGCCTTTTTGTTGAAATTTCAAATTCTGTACTGGCTCATTCATCTGTATATTAGATACTCAAGTCTCAACACTATAGAGTCAAACAAATATGTGTTTTGACCAAGGTACTTGGCTGGGCAAGTCGTGTTTTCTTCAAGTCTAGCTTTCCTCAGAGTCATTATATGCCCTTAGGCATGGTGTCTGTTTAACCAACATGGATGCTTTGTGGCAATCATTAATCATGGCAATGCTTTCACCTACAGAGTGCTTCATTGTGAAACAGGCTCTGCACTAAGCTCTTTGTACTAAATCTATTTCCCTCTACCCTCCTAGGTTCTCCAGCTGTGGCCCTCTAAAGTAGAGTGAAAAATGACAGATTAACATAAGAAAAAACAGAAGTTTATTAACATGTACTTGCACATACACATGGAAGTACCCAGTGATGAGTGACTCAAAGGGGTGATTAAAATGTGACCTTATATAGCTTTTTAAAAAAGAGCAATAAATTTTTAGAGAAATGGTAAGACAAAGGAAAGGACTTTGAGTTTCTGCAAATTGTGAGAAGGTAAATATATGGGGGAACTAATGGAAGGGCTAGTTAGTAAAGCTTGTTACATAGATTCCTCTGGTGTCTCTTCTGGCTAGTGAATATCTAGAGTTATCTCTGATGATTAACTTTTTCTTTCCTGATAGGTGGGGAGGGCACCTTTATAAATCTATATCCTGTTTTGTGGCAAATAGGGGGAAGACAGAGAGCTTCTCTCATATCTGCTTCTTCTCAACTGCCTTCAGCTCAAAATAATCCTCATGCCAAAGTGGCATATTTTGGGGTGGCATATTCTGCCACTCCTCACCTTTATATAACATTTTCTCACTTAATCCCTATAATAACCCCATGGGATAACTGTCATCAGTTTGTTGATGAATAACCTGGGCCTCAGGGAGGTTCAGTTACCAGGTTACTCAATGAGTAAGCCAGGATTCATTTCCCGGTATGATCGGATTCCACAGTCCAGGCTGATAACTGCTGTGCCACGTTTACCCCCACCACTGCTCAATCAAAAACCTAGCACACATGAGCTTCAGGCCTTCAGATTACATGTACTGCAGCTTACATTGTATTCTATTTGTTTGTTTACTAGTTTATTCTTATTCTAGTAGTAGTAGTATACATATTTTTCCTCCATGCAGTATAATTGAGTTGGGAGATCCTGACAGAGGTACCTGAAATATGTGTGTGTACGTGTGTGTGTGTGTGTGTATGTGTGTGTGTGTGTAAGGCAGAGGCGGAAACACCTTTAAACCCATGAGATGGGAGATTTAATTTTTTTATAGCAACATTCACATAATTATTGTCAGCATCTTACAGTGGTAAAGTGCTGATATGAGAAAAGTCTTTACCAGAATAAATATCGGTTATTCTTTAAACCTCTATAGTTTCTTGTTTTCATTGTGTGTTGGCTATTGAAACAAAAATAATTTTACCCCCTCCCTTTGCTTCAGACTTATTGTTTCATTCTCTATGGTATTTGTCAGACAGAAGCTACTACTGTTAGAGGTTTTCATCAGAGCAGCATAAAATACTTCTTTTAAAAACCATAAAAAAGACTCTGGTATGAGGCCTGTTTGAAATTAGACTGCCAGGACATCTCTTCACTTGCTGGCTTTGAATGACTCTTCTGTGTTCTCTTGAAGGTTAAAGAAACTGACAGTGCTGGAAATGGCAGTGCTTGGTGGGGCCACAACCAGTGCTCTGCAGGGAACCCATACCATGAATGATCTGGGTTTAAAGGAAGATACCAGGATCTCTAGCCAGGAGGCTTTGTTTAGCTCTCAAATACCTTTACTGTAGACATGACTGCTCTTCTGAAATCACATGATGATGAAAATGATGGTGGTGGTAGTGGTGGTGGAAGGGTGTGTGTGTGTGTGTGTGTGTGTGTGCATGCAAAGAATTTAAATGGAACTCTCAGTGGCGAATAAGTATTCTATAGAATGCAGAAATAAAAATCCATGTTTGGTAAATGGGTAACACACAAAAGGGTATCATTAAATGCGACTTTTTGTGGTGCCAACTTAATCCTTATTGTCCTTTATAGCCAGTTAAAGGAAAAATATATTTGAAAAATGTCTGGAGGCTGTTCCCTGCCGGTTCCTTATAACTAGTTACAAATATGATGTTGGAACTTCCTTTTAAACCACATACTGAAATGCGGACAAAAACAAAATGATAGCTTATGATAGATACTCTGAAAGTCAAAAACAGCATTGGTTCTCATTTTTTCCTGCCAGCAAGTTACGAGCCATGACTTTATTTCTATCTTTAAAATCTCCGGTTTCTTCCCTTTGTAAGTGGGTAAAACCAAATTTGGATTATCCCAAGATAAAAAGAAAGGGTGAATATTGGCTCACATAATTGCAGGTCCAGTGGGGTGACACTGGCTTCTGTTATGGGTGGCTATGTGTGCCTTATTGTATCTTCACAACTGTCTCTCCCAGGGGTGAATCTAGGATTTTGTGGCCCAAAGCTCATACAGTTTGGAGAGCCTTCTCTATAAGAAGATTATAAATGACCATATGAACACATCGCTAGAGAAAGACCTGGGCCGGGCATGGTGGCTCATGCCTGTAATCCCAGCACTTTGGGAGGCCAAGGCCGGCGGATCATGAGGTCAGGAGATGGAGTCCATCCTGGCTAACACGGTGAAACCCCGTCTCTGCTAAAAAATACAAAAAATTAGCCGGGCGTGGTGGTGGGCGCCTGTAGTCCCAGCTACTCGGGAGGCTGAGGCAGAAGAATGGCATGAACCTGGGAGGCGGAGCTTGCAGTGAGCCAAGATTGCGCCACTGCACTCCAGCCTAGGCGACAAAGCGAGACTCCGTCTGGGAAAAAAAAAAAAAAAAAGAGAGAAAGACCTGTAAGCTTAAGATGTAGTAGCTTCAGGATAAATTCGCCTCTGCTCTCACCCCCCTCACAGTCCTCCTCTTCTCCATGTGGTCTTCATCTTTTCTTCAGTCACAGTCTTTGTGGTGGGGGAAGAAATATCTCTAAGCAGCTTCAGACTTATGTGAATTTAAGTGCCCAAGATCTCGGAAAGCCTTCTCTCTAACTGCAGATTCATACACTTCCCCCAGAAGATTTTGATTGGTTAGATTGAGTCACATTCCTATCTCTGGCGGAGAGATGGGGCACCTCAATTGAAATCCCAAAAGAACCACAAAGATTTGGGGAGAGGGTAAAGGGCGGGACAGTGCATTAAAGGAATCAGAAGATGAGCATTCAAAATAATAGGTGTTCATTTCTATGCTTCTCACCTACTCTTATAGATCTAGGAGGGGTGTGTTCTAAATTAGGTATATGAAACACCTTTTCAAACTTGAATTTTCAGGTCTTTTCAGGGAGCAAGCCAACCTTGGTAAGAGCAAAGACCATATACTGAGGCAGGCTGGGAGGTCAATTTCTGGTTTTCCCAAGTCATATATCACTAGGTATCTTTTAAATGAAAGGTACTAGGCAATGGTATCTGTCTAGGAGCCTCTCCCTTGTATGTTTACCTAGAATTCACTCTCAGCTACTCTATGACAAATACGCATTCCGTTGTTCAGTACAGCTTTTTGTCATAGAAGCCCTCTGGGAAATTGTAAAGAAAATGAAAACCTGTTTTTTAACTTCCTTATTTGTCTTTCCACATCCTTTAGACTTCCTTGTCCTTTGCCTCCTCTCTGGAATGGGATGATAAAAATAAAATAGAATGATGTGGAGTGTGCTGTATCCAAAAAAAGTATAGACAGCATCTATATATACAGAGAACCACATCACAATACTGCATTATATACTATCAGCATATCAGAAATGTAAACATGTTTCCGTTCCACAACGAATGAACTCATTCTGTATGGCAGCTGCCATCCATTTAAGATTACCCTCATTTTTTTTTTTTTTTTTCGAGACAGAGTCTCGCTCTGCTGCCCAGACTGGAGTGCAGTGGCATGATCTCGGCTCACTGCAACCTCCACCTTCCGGGTTCAAGCGATTCTCCTGCCTCAGCCTCCTGAGTAACTGGGAATACAGGTGCACACCACCATGCCTGGCTAATTTTTGCATTTTTAGTAGAGACGGAGTTTCACCATGTTGGGCAGGATGGTCTCGATCTCCTGACCTCGTGATCCACCCATCTCAGCCTCCCAAAGTGCTGGGATTACAGGTGTGAGCCGCCGCTCCCTGCCAAGATTACCCTCTTTTATAGATGGTATAGTTGCTGCAATTTCTGGAAGTACATGTTGAGTATGAAAATATTAGCTAAGGTGTGACAACAATAATTAAAATTACATTAAAAATTGGAGCATACCAAAATGAGAATATTTGGAACAGCTGGGCTCTTTGAGGGCAGGGGTCCTGTCTTAGTCATTTTTGTGTCTCTCAAAGCTCCACAAAGTACCCTTCATATGTTAGGCATTAAATGAATGAGTGAAATGAATGATTGAGTGAATGGCTCTGCTATTACAGCTTCTCTTTGTGTGTTGCCCTGCGTTTTCAAGCTTCGACTCTGGTCATGATTTCTATCTCTTCACTGGTCCCCTCCCTTTTTTTTTTTTTTTTTCATAAGAGACTTCTACATCTTTTTATATCCTGATCTTTTCTCTTTTAACCTTAGATTGCTGACATTTCCCTTTCCATTTCTCGCTTTCTTTTATAGTACAACCGCCTTTGTCTGTTTCAGTCTCTCTTCTCCATAGCTTTTTGTGTCTATTTTTCCATTCTGTGACTTTCCTCTTTTCTAGATACTGTTGGTGAGCTGGTTACTCTGTTGAGTTAAAGAGGGCACCCCATTGTGCCATTGTGAAAGAAAACTGATTAATTGTATAATGATATAATTTCTACTGTGTCAGGGGTCTTTTGGGGCTACCTACTGAGGAAATGGACTGCTCTATAATGGCATTTTCAGCATAGTCTAAACCTCAAAGCACCTGTACTTTTGTTCTTTTTTCTTTGATTTAAATGTTGATCTTCAGACTTTCTTTATATTCTCTATTTTAAAGATAATACTCATGACTGAACATACTATTTTTGGATGCTGTGTTTGTAAAATTTAACACCCCCACTCCATGCCACCCCAGAATTCCAGTTATTGCTGATCTTCTTTTCTGGTACAGGAAAAAGAACTAATTGGAACCAATTGAACCCTCC
This sequence comes from Homo sapiens, assembly GCF_000001405.40. Lineage (NCBI taxonomy): Eukaryota > Metazoa > Chordata > Mammalia > Primates > Hominidae > Homo > Homo sapiens. The sequence goes on along the minus strand of NC_000003.12, from coordinate 60,908,127 downwards.
AGAATTCTGCATTAGGCACACAGGAGATATCAGTTGCATGTAATCATAAGATTGGTGTGATTAATGTGTTTGCTCCTCTAAACAGACTTATTTATTTGAAGGGCAGAGTAGTATTGTGGATATGATAATAAACTTTGACTCTAAATTTATTAACTTCAAATTCCAGCTACTCCACTTACTAGCCTGGGCAAGTTATTTTACTTCTATAGGTTTCCATTTTGTCTGTAAAATGGATATATGTGGTATCAATCACATAGAGTTATTGCAAGGATTAAATGAGTTAGTATTGCAAACCTCTCTAAATAGGGCCTGACAACAGTGAGCATTCAAAATATGCTAGTTATCTTTGATTAATTTTTGTACAGTCTATCCCAATTACTCTTCCCCCTTGAGGATCCAGTTATTAACATTTTGTTGTAATTGTTCATTGGCTTTTTTTCTCTCATTTATTATACTTTAAAAAATCATTTGCATTTCAGTCATAGATATCATATTACCCCCTGACATTTCACCTTATACCTCCTAAGATGAATATGTAATCATAATACTGTTATCACTCTCCACATGAAATTTAACATTGATATGTAATCTAATATATTCAAATGTTTCCATTAATGTCCCTCATACCTTGTAATGTCTCTTTTTCCTTATTTCCATTTTCTTTTTAGAATACAATCAAGGATTACACATTTCACTTAGTTATTTTGTCTCTTTGGACCCTCTTAATCTAGAATATTCTCCTGCCTTTTATTTCTCTTTCATGAGTCTGTATTTTTGAAGATTCCGACCCAGTGATTGTGGAATACCACACAATGTGGATCTGTCCAATTGTTCCTCATTGTAGGCCAAAGTACTATCTAGGTAATGTTGCCTGCTTCACAGTGGATCACAGCAGAGTCATATAATTTGTTTGTGCCAGTTTTGGTGATGCTGTTTCATCTTGGATATTCTTCAGGTCACTCCATTTTTAAGGTTTTTTTTTGTTTTGTGTTTTGTTTTGCCTTGAAATTAGTATCTGTGGGGTGATACTTTGAGACTGGGTAACTATTTTGTGTCCCAAGAACCTTTCACTCATGGGTTCTATTGTCCATCGATGATTTGTGCCTAATGATGTTTTTCTCTTTGTATTATTATACATTTCTGGGCTGACGTTGTTTCTTACCAAAAGAGGTCTCCACCTCTGTTTCCATAGTAGGATGGATGACCATCAGTGTAATCAGAACAATTTATTCATAGAGCACGGTCTTCCTTTCTGCTAAAGTAAATTATATGTCTTATTTGCTGCTTGTATCACAGCTTTCTTAAAAAAAGACACTACATTTCATATTGAAATACAGCATACCTACAAAAAAATACACAAATTATAAGCACACAGCTCAATGAAGTTCCACAAAATGATATAACTATACTTAGCTCCTTATTCTTTTGTGAGGCTCAAATTGTCTGTCATTTAGCCAGTGGGATCCCCTGATGCTAGTTCCTATGTCGTTTTGACATATCTCCATCAGTCTTTGAGTATGTCCTGGAGTAAAAAAAGATGTATCAACCTTACCTTACATTTTCCCTACCCCAATCAAGAATCAGTCAAGCCCTGTCTCCCTTTACTGGAGAATGGAATTTAGAAAGAAAGTTTTGGCCGCTAGGTGGGTTCATTGCTACTGGGGTGCCATTGCCGCTAGGCGATAGGTAGATTAGATAGATTAGATAGGTAGATAAGTAGACAGATAGGTAGATGCATGTATGTTACCATGTACAACTCAACCATTCAAATTCAACATCACAGGATTCTTCCGCACTTTCCCTCATTTCATATTTGTATCTCCTTTATTCCACAGTGAGATCCTAATGTATCGATTCATTTGCTCTATCCTATAGTACACGGAAAATAGTTTCAGAATTACTATATCAATACCCCTCCTGACAATCAATCTATTAAGTAAAGTTCAAGATTTATTTGGACTTCTTTTTTTCCTAATATTCCACTAAGGATATACATTCAGAATACTGTCTTCAGAAATTATTTGAATTTATTTTTTTCCTCTGTGATTATTTACGTTGATGTGATATATCATTAGATCCATTTATGTCCTGCCTGTATGCAAGTTTAGGTTTTGCTTTATAAATCCTTTTTAAATTTTTTATTTCGAATATGTAAAACTTTACATGGTTCAAGTCAAAACTTACCTGGTTCAAGTCAAAACTTACCTGGTTCAAGTCAAAACTAGAAAAAAAAATTGTTCAAGAAAGTCCCACTCCATCCCTACCCTTCCAGCTCCATTTTTACTCACGCTCTTTGAAAATATTTTCATTAGTTTCTGGTTTATCCTTCATGTCTTCATTATAAAAAGAAGCAAATATACATACGCTTCCTTTTTATACAGAAGTTAGCATGCTATGTATACTCTTTCACCTTGCTTTTTTATCCTGGCAATTATTTCATATAATTTTATAAAGATCCTCCTCATTCCTTATTACAGTTGAATAGTAGTTCTATGTGTATATTGGTTGTTCACACAAAGGACTACTATTGATTGTATCTATGGATGGCATTTAGATTCTTTCCAGTATTTTTTACTGGAAATAACACTACAGTGAATAATTTTATGTCCACGTTTTTTCATACAGTTGAAGGTGTATGTTCAGGGTGAATGCTGTAACTGACATTGCTGGTAAGTAAATATATAGATAGGTATGTAGAAAGATAGAAAAGGAAATAGACACATAGTTTGTTAACTAATGCCAAATTTCCCTTTACACAGGTTATACCCTTTTGCACTCTAACTAGCAATGCCTGAGAGGAACTGTTGCTCTACACTCTGTTTGCTAATAGAGTATATTGTCAAGTTTTTCAACTTTTGACAATCTCATAGGCAAGAAATAGTATCTCAATGTACTTTTTTTGGATCAACTTTTTTGTTAAGAAGAGTTTTCGGTTTGCAGAAAAGCTGTGAAGATAGTAAAGGGTTCCTGTGTACACCACACCCAGGTTCTCCTATTGATAACCTCTTATGTTAGAGTAATATGGTTATAATTCTTAGTGTAGTTTTAATTTGCTTTTCTCTTATTATAAGTAAAATTAAGCATATTTTCATATGTTTAAGGGCAATTCCTATATCATCTGTGAACTACTTGTTTTTCTATTTTTCTTATTCTAAAAATGGGTTTTAAGAATTTTTTTTTTTTTTTTTTTAGACCAAGTCTCGTTCTGTTGCTCAGGCTGGAGTGCAGTGGTGTGATCTCAGCTCACTGCAACCTCCGCCTCCCGGGTTCAAGCAATTCTCTGCCTCAGCCTCCTGAGTAGCTGGGATTACAGGCGCCTGCCACCGTGCCTGGCTGATTTTTGTATTTTTAGTAGAGATGGGGTTTCACCATCTTGGCCAGGCTGGTCTTGAACTCCTGACCTTGTGATCCACCCACCTCAGCCTCCCAAAGTGCTAGGAAGTACAGGCGTGAGCCACTGCGCCTGGCCAAGAATTTTAAAATATATATTAGGGTGATTGGAGCTTAATCTGTGATATATTTTATAAATATTTTCTCCTATCATGCACTTAATTTTTTATTTTTGCTTATGGTATTTTTTGCTATGCAAATTTTAAAAAATTTCAGGTAATTGAAATTCTCAATCTTTTTTTTTTCTTTTTTTTTTTGCATTTGGATTTGAGTTATAGTTAGAAAGGCTTTCCCCACATCTAGTTGTACAGAAATTCTCTCATGTTTTCTCCTAATACTTGTATTGTTTTGTTTTTACATTAATAGTTGCCTTGATTTTTAAAACAAATCATGTTGGATCTCAAGGCCCAGCTGAACTCAAAGGATTAATTCCAGTAGAGGTTGGTTACTAAAGGAAAAGGAGAAAATGGAGAAGCCATATTCCCTACCTCTCCCTATCTCTCCTAGGCAGGAAGATTGGGAATTTTGGATCATTAGTGCAGGGCTCAGCAGATAGAAGTCATCACTGAGTAACTGAAAGGATGGATGAATAAATGAAAATCTAAATAGATGAAATGTCTTACAAATTTGCTACCTCTGGAGAACCTGATAAGCACCAAAGCTGGAAAATGAGAAATGGAAGGACAAACAAGTGATACTCTTTCTCGTTTATAGGTTGTCAGGTATGAGAAACCCTAAGTACCTTGGATCCTGGGAGGGAAGGCTCAGCTTTTGAAAAGGGCTAGGCCTGTCTTTTTCATTCTTGTTTCCTTTGTGGAGTCTCCTTTCTTGATTTTGGTTACTTTGGAAACAGTACTATTTTGGGTATTTATCCTCCAGAGGATATAGGCTAGAAAAACCTGACTTCCTCATTGGCAGTCCAATTCTTGGAGCCATCTTGATGCCAGATGTACAATCATTTTTTCCTTGTGTATTTTTGCTATGTGTTTAAGACACCAAATAGCTGAATTAAATGTGTAAAATTGGCTCTGAAATCCAGATGTTTAGAGATATAGTGCAACTTCATTTATTACCATGTGATAATATTATATGACAGCATAAACATTCTACATCTTAATGAGTTAGATGCACTCGGCACAATTATGTATAAAGGAATGTAGTTGCTAAATTAATTGTGTTGTGATGGTTTTTATAACTGAATTTTAATTTCCAAAGTGTTTGCTTCATGCCTTCCATCTAACTTAGAAGTGTGCACTAGTTTCAGTGGTCCAGATTTAGGTCTTTATTTGGCCTCTGCCAGTTAGTACTTTAACTTAAAAAGTATTTTATGTTCTCTAAGCCTAATCAAAAATGGGTTTAAAAAGTTACTTTAGTGATATTTAGAATGTTAAATGATATAATGTAGGTAAAATACCTGACACAATGCCTAACACAAGAATATACTCAAGAAATACCTCTAGTTACAATTATTGTTCATTGATCCTTATATAAGCACTGGAGTTCTGCATTGATCCTTATAATGCCTCTTGATTCTCTCTCACCGTCATCACTTAATATCTCCTTTTCATATACAAATTATTTTGTGTGTATAATAATCATACATTTTATTTTTCTTTTGTATTTGAACCAACTTAGTTTTTTTGATTCTCAAGATAATATTTTAGAATGGGTAAGGAATTATTCTCTGCATTTTGGAAATGAGGAAATACAGGTTTATAGGAGTAAAGAGAATTCTTGACATTGTATACTTAGGAAGTAGTAAGTGGTAAAGTTGGGGTGTCTGATGTCAAAACCATTTTTTGTGTCTTGTTTCCAAGACTCTCTTGTAACCTCCTTGATGAAAGATTTCTTTCTATGCTGTAGAGTCAAGAGATTTTAGTTTCAGGAATGAGGGATATAATCAAAATTGGCCTAGGCTAGAAGGAATTTTATAGGTTCATGTAACTGACAGGTCTACAGGTAGATCTTTAGGCATGTCTGGATCCAGGTGCTCAAACTAGGTTAGGAAGGTATCTCATCCACTTAGTTGCACTTTGCTTCCTGTTGGCTTTATTATCCTCAAGTTGGGGCTCCCTTGTGGTGGTGCAATAGCTACCAGAAACAGTTTCCATTATACCATCAGTAACTTCTTACCAATAGTTCTGTCAGTTGTCTTGAATCGAAAATTGTTACATCAAACCATGTGCCCAGCTCTAAACCATCCATATTATCAGGATGACTGAATATGTTATTTGATCAGGCCTGGCTATGGGCATCTCTGGAACTTTCGGGTCAGCCCTTTATAAACCACATGACCTGAAAGGAAGTATGGGTGATTTGTGAAATCATAATCCAAATCCTATTACCATGGATAAATAAACTGTGGTATATCCATAAAATAGGATGCCATTCAGCAATAAAAAGGCATAAATTACTGAGATATGCATCAAATGGATGAATCTCAAATGCTTTACACTAAGAAGTCAGACATAAATGGTTTATGATTGCATTTATATGATGTTTTTGAACAGGCAAAATTATAGGGAAAACAAATCAGCAGTTGCCAGAGGCTGGAGAATTAGGGTAAAGATTGACTATGGCAAAGTACATGGGAACTTTTTGGGATGATAGAAATGTTCTGTATCTTGATTGTGGTGTTTGTTATATAACTATATGCATTTGTCAGAATTCATATAAATATATACTAAAAGTGTAAATTTTACTATTTTTAAATTATACCTCCATAAACCTGGCTAAAAAGCAAACAAAAATGCTATTACTTAACAGAGGAGGATACTGAGGAGGTACAAAAAAACAAAACAAAACAAAAATCCCCAACGCGAGGACAAAACAGTACTTATGACGTATTCCTAGCTTATGGAATAGGATCAGTAGCAGCTAGATGAGTGGTTCTCAGTGTATTTTTCACCACCACACATATTGTTGAGATGCCCATGAACTTCCTTGAACCTACAGTGTTTGCTTGTCATCCTAGTACACATGCTGAAATCCCATCTCTTTCTCTAGAAAAAAAAAGTACCTAGCTACAAGTGAATGAGAATGACATTATTGTAGAGACAATCTTTCAAAGATATCAGATGTTAGCAGAGGGTAATACTTAGTTGTTACTGCTACTTGGACACCCAGTGTATTATTTTGCAGCACCATGATTTAGAAACTCTTGCTTCAGTAACTACACTTTTTACCTTTTGCCGTCAATGTTTATTTGATGTGTAATGACTTAGAGTTATTCTTTAAAATGTTTTTCTGGCCTTTCTTAAGTGCAAGTGAGCCCATACTATACATATTATTCTGCCACATACTTCTTTCACTTAATAAAAGATCTTAGGCTTCTTTCCACACTTAAAGTCATTGTTATGTTATTTGTCTGAGATGGCTACATCCTTGACTTTGATTTGGATGGAACAAGGTAATGCACAGTTTAAGAGAATGTCAACATACTTAGTGATCAAGACAAATAGTTTAATTCCATTTTTTTCAAAAATCAAATAAATGCCAGAAAAATCCATGATGAACAAAACATTGAAGTTTTAAATAAGGATTAGTACAGTGCCAAGCCATTTTGGAGCCTAAAGCTAAGGAAAAACAAAATAAAATTAATTTAAAGAAAGTAAATTGTTTAATTAAAAATCATTTATGATTGTCACTAGGTGATAAGAGAATGTCAAACATGGTAATTCTTCCATTGAAAAGAAGACAAACAAAGAAGTAAGTTTTGAAAACATGTTTAAATTACTTTGTCCCCTAGCCTGGCCAACACAGTGAAACTTCGTCTCTACTAAAAATACAAATATTAGCCGAGCGTGGTGGCATGCACCTGTAGTCCCAGCTACTTGGAAGGCTGAGGCAAGGGAATCACTTGAACCCAGGAGGTGGAGGTTGTGGTGAGCTGAGATCGCACGACTGCACTCCAGCCTGGGCGACAGAGAGAGACTCTATCTCAAAACATAAAAATAAAATTACTTTGTCCCATTAGAGTCAGGAAAGTGAAATTATAATGAATTCTGATTTTAGTATAAATAAAATATTTACATTTAATATTGTAAGTTTTAATATACCTACTTTCCAATTTTTCAGTATTTCTTCAATGACTTTAAGGTTCTCCAAAAAAATTAATTTTTAAAATATATTAAAAATGTAGGTAGAAGTGTCCATGCAGGCTCAAATATGGTTGGCAGGGCATTAATATTTATTTAAAATTGTGTTTTCTTCACCATGATTTTTTTGGTTTCTAAAAAGATTGCACTGAAGTATTATTATCTTGATTACTGAGGATTTTTCTTTTTTTTTTCTTTTCTTTTGAAATGGGCATCTCACTATGTAGCTCAGACTGGAGTACAGTGACTATTCACAGGTATAATCATAGTGCACTATAGCCTCAAACTCCTAGGCTCAAGTGATCCTCCTATCTCAGCCTCCCATGTAGCTAGGACTTCAGGCATGGCCACCACACCTGGCTACTGAGGTTGTTTTTAGTTCTACTTAAATTTTGTACCTCATTTGCTGCACCCTAACTGTGGCCCTGAATCCCCATTACTCTGCCTCTTGACCAAGTTGGAGATGATCTTGAAGTAGGAGAATCAATGACAGCAGTACAAGTCATGATAGTGAGCCTTTCTGACCTCACAAAGTATTTGTACCAGTAGCCTGCTATCTTGAAGCTGCCCCCAACTCTTTCTTTGTATTGCCATTTAGGTTTCCCTGAGCTTTGAGCAGATTCTTAGCTAGGCAAAGTAGCTGCTGGGGCCCAATGAGTGGGGGATGCTCAACTGAGGACTCCTGTGCCCAGTGCGGTATGCAGTGTTCAGAGAGATTTCCCTTTTCTGTGTTTGATTTGCTTTTAGGAGCCTCTCATCATGTTCCACTTTTCCTCAGCCCCTACCATCCTGTTTCTTTATTATCACATTCCATCCCCATAAGCCCAGCTGAAATTTTTAAAATCCTGGGATTATGGTCAGTTTTTGGCATCTCACAAAGATGTATCCCTGAGCCAAGGCAGCCTGATAATCACCGGCTGGGTTTTGGTATCCTGGTGGTTAAGCCACTTTTGCACATATTATTGAGTGACTGTTGAAAGACTTCTTGTGAGGTGAAGAGTCTCTGGCACACTGTTGGATGTGACAAGAGCTCCATGAACCCCGGCCTTTGGCTCCAGTTTTAGGAGCAGGTTTCCTTTATTTGCTGAGCAGCCTTTACCGTTATGAATCTTGCCTTTTTGCAGGACCAGTGGATTCTGCAAAGGTTTATTAATCTTGATTTAATATATTCATATGAAAAAATACAACAGTGAGAGAATAAAGCTTATGTAGGCGTTGCAGGGGTCCCTTTGGGGGTTCACTTTATATTACTCATAGCAGTGAAAAGTAAAAATGGCAAGTTATATTAGCTAAGTTCGAGATACAAAAGGCAATATTAATTTCACAGGAAGTGTAAAAAGATATGCAAATGTGATCAACTCCGAGGAAAACATTGCAATATACCACTCCAGGCTTTGAAATTATGCAGTTTAATAAACACTTGTTAAGAAGCTTCACACACCAAATATCGAATTTTAAAGCAAGTGTTTCTGATCACGTACTGTTTTTCAGGAATGGCATTATTTTCCTAAGCTTTTGGAACCCTAAACTGGATAATTAGGGTGTTCAAAGTAGCGGATTTATCTGTAGTAGTTACATGTTCTTGGGAAAGCACAGATGGTTCTGGAAAAAAAATGCATGTTATTGTTTTTCAATTAAAAGCATAATTTAGAAGTGTAGGCCATTAGACTAGAACCTGAAGTAAAAATTTCTAAGGCCAATGTGTTTATACAGAAACTGACAAGGGAGAATTATTTATGGATTTTTAATTGGTACAGCCCTGATGAGAGAAGCTTTCCCATAAATTCCTTTCCATAAATTTCTTAGGTCTATGCTTCCCGTATGGGATCTATCCTATGCATTTATAACCAGAACCAAACTCGGGCTCCTGAAGAATGTGAAGGGCTGTTAGGAAGTTGTACAGGATTTTAACATCGTAAAGACTGAGCTGTGCAGGAAGAGTGAAAAAAATGTTCTTCTCTGAGTGAAATGGTTTCTTAGGACATTTCAATAGACAGCTTAGAGCCTAGGAACAGGTTTACAGAGTTTTGGGCAGACATCAGTAATGTTTTGTTCTAAATTTGCTTATCTGGTGCTTTTGCAGAACTTTACACTGTTGTTTAGTCTTGCTAAATCAGGAGATAAAAAGGATTACAGAGAAAGATAACACTAATGTGGGTTCAGTGTGGGTAAAGGGAACCCACCATACACTGCTGGTGGCAACTTGACCACGTATATCAAAACCCTGAAAATCTTGTGTACTATTTAATCCTGCAATTCCACATTTAGGTATTTATCTTAAAGAAGCATTTGAACAAATTCATGAAGGTGTGTGTCTGAGTAAATTTTCTCAGAGTTGTTTACGATATTTTTTTTAAATCCTAAGAGCACAATATTTGGTTCAATATTTTATGTCTTTATACAGTATAATACCATGTAGCCTTTTAAAATGCCTTTGCAGACAACTTAGTAACATGGAAAGATGTTTATATTAAATGAAAATGGAAACAGATTACAAAATAGCAAGTATAGTAGAGAACAGAGGGTTTTTTTAATAGGTATAAAAAGAAGAGAGTTTTTAAATAGGTGTGTGTTTACATATATGCCCTAAAATATTAACAGTTCCAACATCTTGATTTGTTTTTGCCTAGCTGTAGTTTTAATTTTATCCTAAAATAAACATGGATTATTTGATAATAAAAATAATAAGAGAAAATGTACCCATCAATGAGAGACAATAAAGTATACTATTGGTGATTCTTGCTTTGTGAAAGTATGTGATTATAAAACAGATTTGTACTACTAATTCTTATTTGCTCTAGAGAAAGATTCCTATGGTTATGATGAGTGAGTAATGTGTTCTTTAGTAATTTAGGTTTAGTTTACAGCTCTCTAGTGAAGCTGGCCTGCTGAGGAAACCTGGGGTTAGGGAAAATGAAAGGGATGCAGCTAGGAAATGAAGGGCCTGCAGAAATAAAGGTCATGCAGTTTTGAAGTTGCCCAGCGGTCAGTAGGCAAATAGGATTTTCTTCTTACATACATTCCCATGTATAGTGTAATGAGGGATACTTAAAAATTAGCCAGTATAAGAAATTGCTTTATAACAAAAAGGAAAAGCACAAGGAAAGGTTTTTCACAATTCAAACTTCAGATGTAGTAAAATCTGATTGTGTAAAGTTAGAAATTAAACAAAATCCTCTTTGGCATGGCAAAAAACCATAAACCACACGTAATAAACCAGGAGGAAATAGTTGCAAGATGTATTTCTGATAAAATGCTAATATTGCTAATATATAGAAAGTTACTACACGTTGAGGAGACTAAAGAGACCATAAATCCGATAGAAAAGCAGCAAAGACCTAGAAAGTTCACAAAAATTGATAAAAAAGGGTCCTTAAGTATATGAAAATATGTTCAACTTCTCTCATAATAATATGTGCAGCATCATCGTGGTTATGTTGTAATGAGGAGATTGTTTGAATGAGCCATAATACATTAATGCAGTAGTGTGCTGTAAAATAGGATGAGGAAGATCCCTGTGAATCGGGATTGGAGTGATCACCAGAAGATATTGGTAGTGCAAAAAGCAAAATGTGGAAGACTATATATAGCATGCTGCATTTCAGGTAGAAAGAAGGGGAAATAAAAATGTCTTTATCTATGTGTCTGATTATTTTTGCAAAAGGATACACAGGAAGGATAAACTAGAAGATATGAAATTGGTCATCTACAGGGTGGGAATAGCATTAGAAGAGTTAGGGAAGGAAGACAGTGATGTAGTACTTCTCTGAATACCTTTTTATATAGTTTTGAGTTTGAAACCATGTTCATGGTTTGTATATTCCGAAATAACATTAAATAACAAGATGGGGGAAATTGAGTACAGAGTAAATGAACCTAACTATATATCAAATGGATGACATGATTACACATAGGAAAAAAATACTGATTCAAGTTATTTTGAATGCAGTACCTTGACTTCAATTTGGTTGGAAGGTACCTGCCCAGGTGGTTTCCCAGATGGGCATGGCCTTCAATCAAACAACAGAAGTACTGGAAAGAAATCTTGAACTTTATACATTTGTTCTTGGTTGTGTTATTTGTGGGACAATTCTGAAATTACTTTGTATCCATTGTAGGATTAAGTAAATGTATTATTTTGTGGGGAGTCAGGCTTATCACTGTGGAAGGAGGGCAGTACAACTGTGGATTGGGGAAAGGCAAGGAAGAGCCTGAGCTATTGGATGGAGATTAGAAGTATCAATAGGAAGACATGACTCAATATATATTTATAATTCTTACTTGTCCTCTTAAAGGGCCTGCAAGCAATAACACTCCTAGCAGCAGTGAACACACTGAGTGCCCAGCTCTTGCTTTCTAAATAGCATTCCCCACTAAAAATAAGGGCCCTTAGAACAGTGGTCCCCAACCTTTTTGGCACCAGGGACCGGTTTCATAGAAGACAATTTTTCCATCGGTGGCAGGGGAGCGGGGATAGTTTCAGGATGAAACTGTTCCATCTAAAATCATCAGGCATTAGTTAGATTCTCATAATGAGTATGCGCAGTTCACAATAGGGTTAATGTTGCCATGAGAATCTAATGCAGCTGACCTGACAGGAGGCGGAGATCAGGCAGTTAGGTTCCCCTGCCCGCTGCTCACCTCCTAGTGTGCAGCCAGTTCCTAACAGGCCACAGACTGGTACCAGTCTGCAGCCTGGAGGTTGGGGATGGGGACCCCTGCTTAGAGCAATGACTAATTGCAGTTTCAGAGCAGGGAAAGGACAAGAAAAGCCTGGAACATTTTGTTGTGCCAGAAAATAAAAACTGATTAAAAAAAAAATGAGGACCTGTCTGAATGACACAGGAACCAGCTTGAAATGGGACACTTAAGAATCAAATGAGTAAGATATAACCAAAAGAAAGAAGAAAGAAAGAAAGAAAGAAAGAAAGAAAGAAAGAAAGAAAGAAAGAAAGAAAGAAAGAAAGAAAGAAAGGAAGGAAGGAAGGAGGGAAAGGAAGGAAAGAAGGGAGAAAGGGCAGCTGTTTCTTGCACTAGAAAACCAACTAATTGCTGTGAAAGAAATAATAGAGTTAGAAAAATCACTTTTTTACAACTATTATAGTAATAATTGATTCAGAGTAGAATTGTCAATAGGTGTTAAACCATTGAGTGAAAGCTTGTTGATTAGCAGGGTGTTTACACAGTCAGAAAAAAGTCTTCCCATACATTATTAATTATAAAAGGGAAAAAGAGGAATACCTGCACATACACACACATACAGTGAGGTAATCTGGCAGAAAACACCTTATTTAAGGAATCAAGGTTAACACATCAAGAATGGGACCAAGTTTCATCAGGTGCCAACTGATGTAATGCAATGAGAAGGATATGCTATCACTTAGGTAGTATGCCTTTCAAAAACATGTACTATGAATCTAATCCTCATATAACAGTCAGACCAGCATAGATTCTCTGAAAAGCCACAGGCCTGTCCTCTTCAAGAATGTTAATGACATGATGGGCAAAGGAAGGCTGAGAAAGTATTCCAGCTTCAAGGAGGCTAAAGAGACATGACAGCTAAAAGCCAGTGCGATCCTAGACTGGAGGAAAGTGGCCATACAGGACACTCGGGATTGAAGAAAAGTAAATATGGACTACGTGTAAGATAGTATTCTATCAACGTTAAAGTCCCTGATTTTGATCATTGTATGTGTGAGAGACTACTGTAATTCCTAGAAGCTTTTAATGTTCACACCTACACCGAAATGGTTTAGCAAAAACCACTTTTCATTTGTTTGTTTGAGGGAAGGGGAGCAGAGGAGGAGGAAGAGATAAAGCAAATATGGCAAAATAATAGCAAATGGATGAATCTTGGGAAGACAGTATGGGATGTTCATGATATGATTCTTGCAAGTTTTCCACAGTTTTGAATATTTTAATTTTTTAAAGAGTGTTTTTTGTTTTTTTGTTTGTTTTTTTTTGTTTTGTTTTGAATACTAAAAGCTCTTTGAATTTTTTGCCGAGCCCCAGAGCTTTGAATATCAAGGAGCCTAACTTTCCAGATGCAGTGACTGCACTTGGCCTCCATTTCAAGATAGCTCATTTCATTCTCTTTAATGCTGTCACCCAAATGACTCCAAGGGGTATCTGTGCGTCTCACATCATCTCTTGACTAAAAAATCCTTTCACCCATTGCTGTGAAATTGGATCCTGGGGTCAAGGGGTGACAGAATTTATGTGCTCCTTCTCTCCTGGAAGTACCATAATTGTTTGCATCCCTGAGGCAGCATAGAATGCCTTGGAAAGGACGGGGTGACTCTGGGAATAAGCCATGCATAGTTTTGTCTGGCACAGGGGAGAAAGTGTCCAATAATGTTCACCTGAAAGGCTTTAGCCTTTTGGAACTAATGTATGTTAACGTTTATTTGTATCTAACAATAGCCTTTTTTGATGTGGTTAACTATACACGAGGTTAAGAATGAATGTCATCCTTTCCCATCTTTTGTTTCAGATGCCAGATAAACCAAATCAAACAAAAGCAACCCCCATCCCCACAATAAAAAGCATGCTAAATGTTTGATGTAGTTAGTGAGGATGAATTTAGAGGTTGTCAGAACCTAAGTGTTGATTTCAGGGAAGGCCAGATTCAGAGAATTCATTCTTGGCATTCTGACAACAGTGAACCTTTCCCATTATTCTAGAATGGGCCTCACTAGGGAAATATAAATTGTATACCACCCTTCTGGGATTTCTACCTGACTTTGATTACTTGTCCTAACCCCTATGTGGTGCCTTGATTTCTCTCTCTTGGTTTGTGCTAGTTTAGTGATAGTGGATGGAATCCTTGACTTTAATTTGGTTGGAAGGTACCTGCCCAGGTGGTTTCCCAGATGGGCATGGCCTTGGGGTAAACATGAAAGGGTCAGCCCTGGAGCTAGGTCAGGTGCAGTGGCAGTCATTAGGCATTAAGGATGGCTTGGAGAGATGTGGTTGCCTAGCTTAGCAGAAGTTATTCTAGCTGTCAAGAAAAGTATAATACCAACATTGCCTACATCTGTGGCAAATCTTGTCACACAAAGGAAACTATCAGGAAAGAGTATGGCTTTCTTGGCATCTACAGAGTAGAGTAATCAGTAAATATTGGCTACATAATAATTGGAACTAACTTTAATAAATATATATTTGTACACTTTAAAGTGTAGGAAAAATCTTCCCTTTAACCATTTTAGTTTCTTGGCTAGGGCTCTATAACAAAAGACAGATTAATAAGAGAAAAGCATACAAATGTATTTAATACAAGTTTTATGTGTCACTAGAGCATTCATAAGGAAGGAAAATCTGATGAATCAGTTAAACCTGAGTGCTTTTATACTAGGTTTGATGAAGAGTGGAAACTTGTGGAAAAGCATATGAACTAAGTGTAGTAAACTAGGGGAAACTTACCAAGGCTGGTTCCTGGAGTTTCTTCTCCGTGTGTCCCTCCATCTTCAGAGATAAGGATGCTCCTTTTCTCTGGGTTTAGGGAGGGACCTCTCACACAAGGGGCTTCTGACCTGCTTCAGAGAGTCCTTCCAGCACATGCTGTTTCTCAGACTCCTTCAGCTTAAAATATTCAAAATGCCAAGGTGCCATGTTTTGTGGTAGCATGTTCTGAACCCCATCAAAAGTCATATGTACCCATTGCAGAAAATCTGGACAACAGAGATTTCTATAAATATAAAAGTAGACATTACCGGTAACTCCACTATGCAGTTAAAGCTGTATTTTTTTAATCCATGCATGGATATTTTAACATAGTTGTATTTTGTAGTTATGTATCTTTTCACTTAACCTTATATCATATGCATTTACGCATATTATTACAAAGTATTTATAATCATAACTTTAATGACTAAATACTATTCTCCTAGATGGCAGAATTTAATTTTCACTCTACTGTAGGGCATTTAATGTCTTTCTAATGCTTTTATGCTTCCAGTAATGTTAGTATCAATGTTTATAAATTTACTTGTTTGAGACCAACAAATATTTATTTATAAGTATGCATAATTTGCCTTTTTCCCACCTTCTCAGGAGAAAGGATAGCTGCTTCTGTCCTAAGAAGGTGCTGAGCAGAGTAATAGCAGGAGTTATAGACGTCTAATATACATTACACTCTAATATACACTCTAATATACATTACAAAAGACAAGGGAATTACCCAGAGGTAAAGCTCCAAGGGTGGAGAGCACAGAGGTGACCTGAGAAAGGGTGTGTGGTGGGAGAGGGCTGGTTGAGTTGGTGGGTGTCAGTGAGAAAGAGAGCAAGGGTAGCTGTCAGTGTTAAAGCTGAGAGTATTGGAAACAATGGCAGTGCCTTCCAGGGGAGGCTATGGGCTTGCTTACTTTATATTTAGCCAAAAAAGATGATTTACATCTACTATTGCTATTATTTCAAAAAGAGGATATGTTAACACCAAAAGAAAAAACCAAACAAACCTGGAAGGATGAAATTTCAGGCTTTAAAAGTGAAATGAAATTGCTCCATTAAAACCTATCAAAGTTTCTTTATTTTTCTCATTACTCTGTGGACTATTGATGATTTGAACATACTCTGGCAACAGATCCCAATCCATGGACTGACATTGGGGAGCCATAAGACCAAATCACCTTTAAGGTCCATTGATTCAAGCAACAGAAACCTCGCATTTCATGAAGACTTGGTTTCCAGTCTTGGTGCCATATTTGATTTGATGGATGACTTTTGAACCACATGTCTCATTAATGTCTTAGTTTCCTTGTTTGCTCACTTAACTTTATGAAGATCAAGTATGATATTGTTTTTTGAAGTGCTGTTGTCTTAACGCCCGGGTACTTTCTGATCTATGGCTCAGAAAGGGAGTGTAATAAATTGTAATAAATTGCACTGTCCCAGAAAATAAATGGCATTCCATCATCCCATAGTTGTGCAGCAGCCCATCTTTTGGCAGTTTCTGAGAATGATTGCAAGAGATAGCAAATACAACTCAAAACAGCCTAGATGAAAATGATATTTTATTGGCTTATATACTGAAAAAATATAGACACGTATGACTTCTAGAACTGCTGGATCCAGAAGATCAAGTGATCTATGCATTGTTTGTTCTTAGGGTTTATCTCCCTGGAATGGCAAAAAGGCTGTCAGTTATATATACCCATTCCATTCTACCAGTTTAGCAACCCAGTGGGAAACAATAGAGTTTCTCATTTCCAATAGTATTGGTGAGAGTTCAAAGTTTTGATCTCATTGACACTGTCTTGAGTTATATGTCCAGGGTGATCAACCTGATCTGGGTGGTGTGCCCATGCCTGAAGCTGTGGGTAGAATCAAACCCTTCTGAGCAACATGGACTAAGAATAAAGATGGAGTAGTTTTTCAGAAAATTGGGTTGCTGGTAAAAGAAGATGGGTGCACGGATGATGGGAAGGTAGAACAACATAGAGAGAGCTACTATAAAGTAGCAGTAGCCTGTCAAGCCAGGAAATGCAGCCAGTAGAACTGCCCTGGCCTTTCTAGGAAGGTCTTCTAGGACTGTGTGTAAGACATTCTCTACTGACTGCCACAACATCACTGTATAGTGACAGGCAGTGTCTTTGGCATCAATTAAATCCTAATACCACTAAGCAGAAATTAAAAAGCTTTAATGAGATCTTCAACCTATTGACGAATGCCCATGACAGTAGCTCATGCCATTGATGTGTGGAGTCAAATATCTTTACCCACTGGGGATGTCATCATTTAAATGGCCCTATTGATTTTGAGTTTTGGCAGAGCTTCTTTAACCCTGGGAGGCTCCAAGTTGCCTGAAGGGACGTAGCCTAAGACATAACTAACTCCATGTTATGTAGTCATGAATTGGACCCAAACTAACTTAATCATCTGTCCTAGGGCAGTCTGTTCTAGGCAGAATCTCTGGGAAAACTAGAGCAGTTCATTTTATGTTTTATGTTTATTGATGAATTCATTTGGAAAAGCTGCTCCTAGGCATTCCACACATTCTAGTCATATAAGAGGGACTACTTGCACAGAAAATGTTTAATTATTGTACCAAGTTTAGATGCAGGTTTACAAAATGAATTTTCAGGTTATCAGTTTGGGTTATTGTTTCAGTTATTGATTGCTGTGTAATAGACTACCTCAAAACTTCTGTTGCTTAAACCAACAGTGATTCATTATTTTTCAAGGTTCTGTAGGTCAGGAATTGGGGCGTGGCTTGGCTGGGTAGTTGTTCCGCTCCATTTGGTGTAGGCTGGGTCAATCACTAGGCTGCATTCAGCTTTCGGCTATGCTGCCCTGGAAGATCAACGGATTCACTCGTATCTGTGCATTGGTGCTGTGCACATGACCTCAGTCTCTTCACAAGTGTTTATCATGTAGTATTCTGGATTGGCCTTTTTTTTTTTTTTTTTTTTTTTTTTTACATCATGGAAGCTAATTTTTTGGAAAGTTTCAAAGTAGAAGCTGCCAGCCTTGTTAAGGACTACCTGGAAGTAGAACACTGTGACATCTGTGCACTCAATGGGCCATAGCAAGTCAGAAAACCAACCCATATTCAATAGGAGAGTACATTATTAAAAATAGTTTTACTGATGTATTAAGCATGTGTTGACACAGTTTTATTTGGATGTTCATAAACTCTGACTGAAAAGATTATTTTAAAAAACTGAGCTGGAGCTAGCATAAGGGTATGTGCACAGACATAGACATATTTTTAAACATCTATATCTTAAAGGATCAATATGAGTTTCCCCTTTTGACAAAAAGGATTGCATATCTCATTCTGTTTACCTTTTTGTCCTGTCTACCAAGAAGCCCAGACGTAAATTGAATCATATTAACCCAATTTGCCTCTTCTTTTGATTCCTGGCTTTGATTTTCTCTTTTGATTTACTTACCTATTTCTGTCAATATTTATTTTGAGCCTATTGAGGAATGGCTGCATATACAATTTTTAAAATGAACCACCCATACAGCTATAGGGTACTACACTGTAGCATATACTACATTGTAGCATGAAAGCTTCTAAGCTACAGTCCTCACTATTGCCTCCACTGGTAAATTGTTTTTTGTAGGAATGAACTAGAAGAATGTTTGTTCATCAGTGAGCAGTTGGTCTGGCATATAGAAGTGCTCTATAGATTGTAGCTATTAAAAATTGATCTTTATATAAATGAATGTCAAAGTGGTTGTTATATATAAAGTTTCGGTGCCGCAAAAGAAACGGCATCGAATATAAAATTTTCTTTTAATTCTCAGCAAGGCAAGTTACTTCTACAGAAGGGTACGCCCTTACAGATGGAACAATGGTGAGCGCACACTTGGACAAGGGAGGGGAAGGTGTTCTTATCCCTGAGGCACATGGCCCCTGCTGCCGTGTCGTTCCCCTGTTGGCTAGGATTAGACCACGCAGGCGAAACTAATTCCAATTGGCTAATTTAAAGAGAGTGAGGGGGTGAGTGCTTTGGAGGGAAAAAAAATGGTTATGCAGCGTGGAGAATGAGTCAGGGCAGAGCAGGTAGCAGGTAATCAGAATGAGTCAGGGTGGAGTAGGTGATCGGAATGAGTTGGGGTGGAGTAGGAATTGGAATGAGTCGGGGTGGAGTAGGTAATCGAAAAAGGTTACTTTACGAGGAAGTTAAGTTTAAAAGTAGAAGGCAAAGAATTGAACATACTGGCATATTTATTCTTTGATGAGAAATTTAGAACTTATATCTAACATGGTGAAATCTGAGGTGGATTGTATCAATGTCAATATCTTGATTTACCATTGGGAGAAACTGGGTGATGGATACAAAAGATCTGTCTATATTATTTCTTACCACTGCAAGTGAATCTATAATTATCTCAAAATAAAAAGTTAAATAAATACATGTTACAGAACTATCACTTTTATATGTTCCAAACAAAACCATTGTTCTTATATGGACATTATGCCTATTGAATGTAATCAAGTAATATCTTAAATGTGTTTAAATATATACCAATTAGTTGGTTGCCGGCTGTGAAACTTTTCATTTATATGAATATCTTATTTCTTTGTCTTTTTTCCTAGAATAAGTCAAGAAACAGAAATAATTTGACATGTTATTCTAAAGCTATCATTTAAAGGAGATCAATAAACCTATATTTTTTTTTTTCTTAGAAAGAAAATTTAAAAGGGATCTTCAGCTCAGGATGTGTCAGGAGGAAGTGGGAGATACTGACACTGACCCCAGAAGAAATTTGAATTGGAATTTGATGCGTAGAATTCTACTATAATCTTTGTATTCCTATGTTGAATGTGTAGCGGCTTTCCCTTGTATCCTCGCCACCTTGCTGCCTTTTGAAACACTCAGGAAATATAGTTGGCTAAAACTGAACAAACAATAAACCTTAGGCATTGAATGGAGTTGGAGAAAATGCGGTGCTTTAGCATATTTTAACTGTTAATGTGCAACCCAAATGTCCCTGGACCCTGAAGGGCATATCCACATGTCCTCAGGAGTTAAAGTCAGATTACAACCTTCCCTCCAGGGTTCACAGTTCTTGGAGTGTTAGAAAGCTCATAACCTGGGAAGCAGAAGCCCCAGATTTCAGGCCGGACTTAATTACCAACTTGTTGTTTCTTTGGAAATATCATTTAATCTTTTAGGGATTACACTTTTCCCTATCCTCAAATCAAGGAGATTGGATCAGAGTTCACTAAGAGTCCTTTTAGCTCAGATATCGCATTATTTTCCATATAGACGTTCATGTTTATCAATCAACATTTGTAAGGGAAATTTCCTTTTATGTTTTCATAGAAAAGAGTACTTATAGACAGGCTAAAATTCATTGTTTTTAAATAGTCTTTGCTTGTCTCCTCCTGTCCCCCACACCAAATTCCTGGCACTACCTCAGCTGTGACTGATTTCTTGACATTTACTACATTCTGGCCAGAAGTCAGAACCCTTTTTTGGTAAAAGGGAGCTTAAAATTTCAAAATTATTTACTCTTTTTTTTTGTTTTTTGTTTTGGGACGGAGTTTCACTCTTGTTGCCCAGGCTGGAGTGCAGTGGCACAGTCTCGGCTCACTGCAACCTCTGCCTCCTGGGTTCAAGCGACTCTCCTGCCTCAGCCTCTTGAGTAGCCGGGATTACAGGCGTGTGCCACCACGCCTGGCTAATTTTTGTATTTTTTAGTAGAGATGGGGTTTCACCATCTTGGCCAGGCTGGTCTCGAACTCCTGACCTCAGATGATCTGCCCACCTTGGCCTCCCAAAGTGCTGGGATTACAGGCGTAAGGCACCGTGTCTGGCTCTACTATTTTTATCTTATACACTTTAAAAGCGTATTTTAACCAACTAATGAGAAAAGGCATATATGTAAAAAACAAAACAAAACAAAAGTCCTAACAGAACTGAACAACAAGTTTAAGCAGAGAAAAATAGGGATCGGAAGAAGTCATTCTAGACGACCTAAACAAGTTAGTTCTGCTCTGAGCTTCTTAGATGGCCAAGGCCATCTAAGAGAAGCAAGTTACATAACTGCCATTAGTTGCAAAAGGAAGAATACCACTTTGTCAGGAGAGACAAATTTTTCCTAACTGTAAGAAAAACTTTTTATATCAATCGTTATATATATGATGGTAAAAAAATAACATAGTTGATAACATTTGCAAATATAGTCAAATGAAGTTTGCTGTGAGATTATAGATCTAATTGTTTCCTAGATTCACCCTGGATAACAAACCACGGCATGCTATAAACTGAAACTCTGAAAAGACATTTGTACAGGTTGCTAATGTATTATGACCTAGGTAGTAGATAGTCTAGATAGCCTTTCTACTGAGCTAATTTGGTGTAGGGATAGAATGTTGAGTAAATGGAGGAATGTATTAACTGGCATTCAAGAATAGCTTCTTCCTGACCTAACCAGGAAGATCTATTTAAAAAAGAACAATACAGACAGAGGGTAGGACTCCATCATACCGTTTTTCATGACAATGAGTACTTGGAATTTGTTTCTTCAGGAATCTCTAGAATGTGTTTTTTTCTACCTCTAGATCAGCTTTAAAACCCTACCTTTCTGTCTTGATGCCAACTGCCCCTCTATTTTTTCCATATACTAGGTTTCTAGCAACCACAGATTCTGGATTATTTCTCTTACCAGAAGTCAATGTGATATTTGCTAAATACCATTGTCCCTATGAGTATTACATGAAAGGTTGCTTTTACCACTCTTGATCTCTTAGCCTTCTGATGATAATGACATATTAATTATGGAAAAGCCAAGAAGATTGCAGGCAAAAATAATAGTTTTTCAAGTTCTTCTCATGAATATTGGATCACTTTCTTATTAGCATAGGCGCCTTGCCAAGATTTTTCAATGCTTGTAATTTGGATGGCAAGCATCCTGGGGAGGGATCATATTTGCTTGTGTGCTCTGCTTGGCAATTGGCCTATTTTTAGCCATTCATGGTATTAACCCCCAAATAAGATAATCAAATTTGTCAAATAAACCCCAGATAATTGAGTCTTATGGATTCGATATTACATAAGGATATGATTTAAAAATAACTTGGTATTAAGGCAAAGATGTGTTTTATTTATTTAAGTTTATTCATTTGTGCAACAGATATTTATTGAGCATTTAATATGTGCCAAGCAATGGTTTAGGAAAGACAAGATATTGCTCTCATTGAGCTTTTATTTTATTTGGGAGAGGGGGAAATAAATATGGGAGCCAATAAATGAATATGGTAAGTCAGGCATTGAGGATATTCCTAAGACTGTAAAACATATGAATGTGTCAGAGGTTATTGGTGTAAAGGACAATTAGAGGAGGCATCTGGAGGAGGTGATATTTGAGCTGAGAGTTAAATGTCAAGCAAGAGCCCACCTTGCAAAATATTTTGGGAAAAGTACTCCAGGTAGAGAAGTTAACAAATATAAAAGACTTGTTGCCATAATAAGCTCATGATGTATCAGAAAGAGGAAAAAAGGCCAAAGTGACTGGGGTAGTGAGGTTGATAATTGGTGAGGAGGTAGAAGTGGACAAGAGTCAATTTTGAAGAGTTTCATAGACCTTGGCTGGGAGACTGGAATTTCTCATAAGAGTAACTGTTAAACAATGAAGAGTTTTAGGCCAAGGCATGACATGATCTGATTTATATTTTAAAATACTTATTATTGCTCATAAGTCTGTCATAAAAACTCTCTTATAAGATTTTCAGTGGCTAATAGATCACTTTTTGTATGCAGAAGGGTTTATTTACTATAATTTGGGCTTTTAACAAAAGTTTAATTTATTAAAGATATATTTTAAACTTAATGTTTTTTATTATTGATACATAATAATTATACATATTTATAGGCTCATGTGATACTTTAGTACATGCATACAACGTGCAATGATCAAATCAAGGTAATTAGGATATCCAGCACCTTGAACATTTATCATTTCTTTGTGTTAGGAACATTTCAAATTCTCTCTTGCAGCTATTTTGAAATATGTAACAAATTATTGTTAACTATAATCACCCTGCTGTGCTATCAAACACTAGAACTTATTCCTTCTATCTAGCTGTCTTTTTATATCTATTAACCAACCTCTCTTCACCCCTCTTGCCACCCTTTCCAGGCTCTAGTAGCACCCATCAACTTTCTACCTCCATGAGATCCACACTTTTAAGCTTCCACATAGGAGTGAGAGAATGTAATATTTGTCTGTCATTCTTATTATTTTTCTTCTTCTTCTTTTTTTTTTTTTTGAGAAAGGGTCTCAGTCTGTCACCTAGGCTGGAGTAAAGTTAAAATGGCACAGACACGGCCCTCTGCAGCCTCAATTTTCTGGGCTCAAGCGATCTTCCCACTTTGGTCTTCCAAGTAGCTAGGACAGCCAGTTAATTTTTTTATAGAGATAGAATCTTGCCATATTACCCAGGCTGGTCTCAAACTCCTGGGCTCAAATAATCCTCCCTCAGCCTCCCAAATTGCTGGGATTCCAGATATGAGCCACTTAGCCCAGCCAATATTTGTCTGTGTTGGGCTTATTTCACATAAAAATAATGACCTCCAGTTCCATGTTGCTGCAAATAGGATTTTATTATTTTTTAAAATATATTTTAGGCTTAATTGTATAAAATAAGCGGAATAGTATTTCATTGTGTGTATATACCACATTTTCTTTATCTTTTCATCCATAGCTGATGGACACTTAGGTTGATTCCATATCTTGGCTATTATGAATAGTGCTGCAGTAAACATGGGTATGCAGATATCTCTTCAATATCCTGATTTCCTTTCTTTCAGATATATACCCAGCAGCAGGATTGCTGGGTCACATTGTAGATATTTTTAGTTTTTTTGAAGAACCTCCATACCGTTTTCCATAATGGCTGTACTAATTTATATTCCCACTATCAGTACACTAGCATTCCTCTTTTACTGTATCCTCTCCAGCATCTGTTATTGTTTGTCTTTTTCATAGTAGCCATTATAACTGTGGTGAGATGGTATCTCACTGTGGTTGTGATTTGCATTTCCCTGAGGATTACGGATGCTGAGCATTTTTTCATATGCCTCTTGTCCATTTGTATGTCTCCTTTTAAGAAATGTCTATTCAGGTCTTTTGCCCAGTTTAAAACTGAATTATTAGCATTTCTGCTATTGAGTTGTTTGAGTTCCTTATATATTTTGGTTATTAATCCCTTGTCAAATGGATAGTTTGCAAATATTTTCTCCCATTCTGTGGGCTGTCTCTTCATTCTGTTGATTGTCTCCTTTGCTGTACAGATGCTTTTTAGCTTGATATAATCCCATTTGTCTATTTTAACCTTTGTTGCCTTTATATTTGAGGTCTTATCCAAAAAATCTTTGCCCAGACCAATGCCCAGAAGCATTTTCCCCAATGTTTTCCTCTTAGTTTTATAGTTCGAGGCCTTACATTTAATTATTTAGTCCATTTTGATTTGATTCTTGTATATGTGAGAGACAGAGGTCTAGTTTCATTTTTTCTGCATATGGATATCCAGTTTTCCCAGCATCATTTATGAATAGACTGTCCTTTGCACACTCAATGTTTTTGGCATTTTGTCAAAAATCAGTTTGCTATAATTAAAGGATTTACTTCTGATTTATCTGTTCTGTTCCACTGGTCTATGTGTTTGTTTTTACTCCAGTAACATGATGATTTAGTTATTATCACTTTCTTGTATATTTTAAAGTCAGATAATGTGCTACCTCCAGCTTTGTTCTTTTTGCTGGGGATTGCTTTGGCTATTTGGGGTCTTCAGTGGTTCCACATAAATTTTAGGATTTTTTCTAATCCTGTGAAGAATGATATTGGTATTTTGAAAAGGTTTACATCAAATCTGTAAATTGTTTTTGGTAGCATTGTCATTTTAACAATATAAGTTCTTCCAATTCATGAATATGGGATATTTTCCTTTTTTTGTAACCAGATCTTCAATTTCTTTTATCAGTGTCCTGTCATTTAATTGTAGAGATCTTTTGCTTCCTTGGTTAGATTTATTCCTAGGTATTTTATATTTTCTTTCTGTAGCTATTGTAAGTAAGGTTGCTTTCTTGCTTTATTTTTTCACTAGTTCATTGTTGGTGTATAGAAATGGTACTGATTTTTGTATGTTAATTTGTATCCTGCAACTTTACTGATTTTGTTGTCTCATTCTAAGAATGTTTTGGTACAGCTTATATGGGTTTCTGTATTTAAGATTATGTCATCTGTAAACAGGGACAATTTGACTTCTTCCTTTCCATTTTGAATGCCCTTTATTTCTTTCTCTTGCCTAATTGCTCTGGCTAGGACTTCCAATGTTATGTTGAATAACAGTGGTGGGAGTGGGCATCATGGTCTTGTTCTAGTTCTTAGAAGAAAAGCTTTTAGCTATTCCCTGTTCAGTATAATGTTAGGTATGGATTTGTCATATATGGCCTTCACTATGTTGAGGTGCACTTATTCTATACTTAGTTTGTTCAGGGTTTTTATCAGGAAGGGATGTTGAATTTTCTTTTCTTTTTCTGCATCTATTGAGATGATCATATGGTGTTTGTCTTTCATTTTGTTAATGTGAAGTATCACATTTATTGATTAGCATATGTTGAACCGTCCTTGCATCGCTGGGATAAATCCCACTTGATCATGGTGAATGTTCTTTTTAATGTGATGCTGGATTCAACTTGCTAGTATTTTGTTGAGGATGTTTGCATCGATGTTCATCAGGGATTTTGGCCTTTTTTTGTTGTGTCCTTATCTGGCTTGGTATCAGGGTAATAATGGTCTTGTAGAATCAGCTTGAAAGAATTCCCTTCTCTTTTATTTTCTAGAAGAGTTTGAGAAGGATGGGCATTAGTTCTTCTTTAAATGTTTGGTAGAATTCAGTAGTGAAGCTATCAGGTCCTGGGCTTTTCTTTGATAGAACATTTTTAAAATTATTGATTCAACTTGTTGCTTGTAATTGGTGTGTTTAGGTTTTCTATTTCTTCTAGGTTCAATCTTGTTAGGTTGTCTAGGAATTTGTTTCTGTTTGGTTTTCCAATTTGTGGGTGTACAGTTGTTTGTACTAGTCTCTAATGATCTTTTGTATATGTGGGTTATCAGTTGTAAGGTCTCTCTTTTTGTTTCTAATTTTATTTATTTGGGACATTTTTCTTGGTTAGTTTAGCTCGTGGTTTGTTAATTTTGTTATCTTTTCAAAAAAAGTTTTAAAAATTGATCTTTTGTAAGTTTTAGTCTCAATTTCATTTATTTCTCCTCTGATCTTTGTTATTTCTTTCCTTGTACTAATTTTGGGTTTGGTTTGTTCTTGTTTTCATTTTTGTTCTTGCACTGTTAGATTATTTATTTAAAGTCTTTCTACTCTTTTGATGTGTTTATTGTTATAAACTTTTCTCTTAGCACTGTTTTTGCTGTATCTCATAAGTTTTGATATGTTGTGCTTCCATTTTCATAAATTTTTAAATTTTCTTCTTAATTTCTGTATTGAGTCTTTGGTTATACAGGAGCATGTTGTATTCATAGAGCTTCCAAAAGTCCCTCTTGTTATTGATTTCTAGTTTTATTCCATTGTGTTCAGAAAAGATACTTGATATGATTTCACTTCTTTTAAATTTGTCGAGACTTATTTTGTGGCCTTTGTGATCTGTCCTTGAGGATGTTCCATGTGCTGATGAAAATAATATGTATTCTGCCACTGTCAGTTGAAATGTTCTGTAAATGTCTGCTAGGTCCATTTGAGCTAAAATGCAGTATAAACTCAATGTTTCGTTGTTGATTTTCTTTCTAGATGGCCTATCCAGTGATGAGAGTGGGGTCCCCAACTATTATGGCATTGGGGTCTATCTCTCCCTTTGGATTGAATACTATTTAATTTATATATCAATGTGTTCCAGTGTTGGATGCATATATAACTGTTGTAGCTTCTTGCTGAATTGATTCCTTTATCATTATATGATGATCCTCTTTGTCTCTTTTTACAGTTTTTTCACTTAAAGTCTGTTTTATCTGATACAAGTAAAGCTACTCCTGCTCGCTTTTTATTTTTATTTGCATGGAGTATCTTTTTCTATTCCTTTGCTCTTAATCTGTATGTATCCTTAGTAGTGAAGTGAATTTCTTATAGAAAGCATATAGTTGGATCATGTTTTTGTTTTCTTTTGTTTTAAATCAATTAAGTCAGTCTATGTCTTTAAGTGGGGAATTTATTCTGTTAACATTCAAGGTTATTATTGATAAGTCATGACTTGCTTCTGTCGTTTTGTTAACTATTTTCTGGTTATTTTGCATATCCTTTGTTCTTTCTTCTCTTATTATTTATCATTGTGGTTTAGTGATTTTCTGTAGTGATAAGTTTTGCTTCTTTTCTCTTTTTTTCTGTGTATCTGCTCTACTAGTGAGTTTGTTGTTGTTGTTGTTGTTGTTGTTTGTTTTTGAGATGAGTTTCACTCTTGTTGCCCAGGCTGGAATGCAATGGCACGATCTCAGCTCACTGCAACCTCCACCTCCTGGGTACAAGTGATTCTCCTGCCTCAGCCTCCCAAGTAGCTGGGATTACAGGCATGTGCCACCACACCCAGCTAATTTTGTGTGTTGAGTAGAGACAGGATTTCTCCATGTTAGTCAGGCTGGTCTTGAACTCCCAACCTCAGGTGATCTGCCCACCTTGGACTCCCAAAATTCTGGGATTATAGGCGTAAGCCACCATGCTCAGCCTCTACCAGTGAGTTTTATACTTTTGTGTGTTTTCTTAGTAGTGATAATCATTTTTTGCTTCCAGATGCAGGAGTCCCTTTAGAATTTCTTGTAAAACTGTTCTAGTGGTGATGAATTCCCTGTTTTTACTTCTCTGAGAAACGTTTTATTTCTTCCTCATTTCTAAAGGATATATTTGCTGGATATAGTATCCTTGACTGACAGTTTTTTTCCTTCAGTACTTTGAATGTAGCTTTCTGTTCTTTCCTGGTCTATAAGGTTCTGCTGAAAGTCTTCTGTTAGTCTAATGGGGATTCCCTTAAATGTACTGTGACACATTTCTCTTGTTGTTTTTAGAATTCTTGCTTTGTCTTTGACTTTGACAATTGAACTATAATGTGCATCAGGGCTTGAATCTATTCGGGAACCTTTGAGTTTCCTGGATCTGTATATACACATCTCTATCCAGACTTGTGAAATTTTCAGCTATTAGATAATTAAATTAGGTTTTTTTTTTAATACATCTTTTCCTTCTGGAACTGCCATAATATGAAAATTTGTTCACTTAATGGTGTCCTATAAGTCTTGTAGTCTTTTTTAAAAACTCTTTTTCTTTCTTATTTTTTTTTCTCTCTAGCTAAGTAATTTTAAATAACCTATTTTTAGGTTCAGAGATTGTTTTCTATACTTAAGTCTGTTCTTGAAGCTGCCTATTGTATTTTTTATTTTATTAATTGAATTATTTTTTATAATATCTATCTCTGTTGAATTTCTAATTTATATAATAAATTCTTTTTCTGATTTTGTTGAATTGTCTATCTGTATTTTCTTGTATCTTGTTGAGTTTCTTAAGAGTACTAGTTTGTATTCCTTTTCTGGCAATTCATTGATTTTCTTGTCATTAGGGTTTGTTACTAGGGAGTTATTTTGTTCCTTTGGCATTGACATATTTCTTTGCTTTTTCATATTTCTTGTGTTTCTACATCAATGTCTATGCATTTGGTGGAAAAATTGCCTCTTCCAGACTTTCTAGAGTGGCTTTTGCAGAGAAAGACTTTCACCTGTAGTTGGATCTTAGTGTGCTAATTAGGAAAAGTGTGGTGACTTTGTTTCCAGGTAGGTTCAGTGGTATAGTATCTATGCAGTTTCTTCAGCTGCATTCAGTGTCAACAGTAACTGTGGATGCCTGAATGACTTAGGCTGTAAAAGTGTATGGTGGTGCTCATCATCACTGGCCATCAGAGAAATGCAAATCAAAACCACAATGAGATACCATCTTACACCAGTTAGAATGGCGATCATTAAAAAGTCAGGAAACAACAGGTGCTGGAGAGGATGTGGAGAAATAGGAACACTTTTACACTGTTGGTGGGAATGTAAACTAGTTCAACCATTGTGGAAGTCAGTGTGGCAATTCCTCAGGGATCTAGAGTTAGAAATACCATTTGACCCAGCCATCCCATTACTGGGTATATACTCAAAGGATTATAAATCATGCTGCTATAAAGACACATGCACATGTATGTTTATTGCGGCACTATTCACAATATCAAAGACTTGGAACCAACCCATATATCCAACAATGATAGACTGGATTAAGAAAATGTGACACATATACACCATGGAATACTATGCAGCCATAAAAAAGGATGAGTTCATGTCCTTTGTAGGGGCATGGATGAAGCTGGAAACCATCATTCTCAGCAAATTATTGCAAGGACAAAAAACCAAACACCGCGTGTTCTCACTCATAGGTGGGAATTGAACAATGAGAACACATGGACACAGGAAGGGGAACATCACACACCGGGGCCTGTTGTGGGGTGGGGGCAGGGGGAGGGATAGCATTAGGAGATATACCTAATGTAAATGACGAGTTAATGGGTGCCGCACAGTAACATGGCACATGTATACATATGTAATAAACCTGCACATTGTGCACATGTACCCTAAAACTTAAAGTATAATTAAAAAAAAAGGGGTATGGTAGTGGCAGTGACAACATAGGTTGTTAATGTCCTCAGTGGCAGGGCTTTTGGGGTCCTCCTATTCTGATTTTCCTCACAATGGGGATAATTAAACAAGAGGATCCCTCTTACATGGCCTACAAGCAGTTCCATTGCTTTGAGTTCCAGGGATTGGTACTTGAAGTGGCTATGGAGTCAGGGTGCTAATATCAGAGTTTCACAAGCCTATTGTGGCTCTTGGGTCCTGGGGTACAGGTTCACTCTCTGTAGCTGGGTCAAATATAGGTTTCCCACAGAGCCAGAATCTATGACTGTTAGGCAGCCCCTACCAGCTTTGATTCAGTGGGTCAGGTTGTAGCTGTGATTCTACCCCTGGGGAATAGGATACAGCCCTGGCTCAGCTCTGGGAAAGAAGCAGAGTTTTAGGGGTTTGAGCACAGCATGCATGGTACAGCTATAATTTAGGAGCCTAAGCCAATAGGGTTCAGTGGCAGCTTAGGTCCCTGAGAATGAAGAACTATGTAGTGGTAAATTTAGACCTTGGAATGGTGGGGCATATCTGTATCCCAGACTCCATGTGGCCAGGCGCAGTGGCAGCAAGTACCCTAGAATGACTGAGCATGGGTATTGTTTGGGTCCTGGAGGGCAGGGAGTAGCACAGTGATGAGTCCACTCCCCAGGAAACAGCAGGTCTTAGCAGTTCAGACTCTAGTGGGCTAGTCCAGCTTCAGGAAAGCAGGGTACTAGATTGTCCAGTAGGGTAGACTGTCTTAGGTCATGTTCTACTCTGTTTCCTTGGGACACAAGATACTACATCAGCTCAGCCCTGGGATGCACAGTTGTTTAACTTGACCAAGGCAATGATTCCCCAAGGGGCAATGTGACACTTTAACTCAGGCATGACTGTTCTGTGTGGCCCAGGCACCATTTACCTGGGATACAGGGTCCTACCAAAGCACTATTTCCTTGGGAGATACTGTGCCATTTTGGCTCAGACCCCTAGAAGCAGTGTACAGTTGCAGCGGAGAGAAGCAGATGGAGCTGTTCTGCCAAAGCACTGTTTCCCCAGGAGGGAATGTATTGCTTCATCTCTAGCACAAGAGGGCAGGTGAAGGGAGAGGGCAGGTGAAGGTGAGGGAGGGCAGGTAGAGCAGTTTTCACTGTTTGGCTCCATGGGGAAAGGCATTAACAGCTGCTGGCAGCTTGGCTGTGGCCACTGGTTTGGGGTGGTTTGGAGGCAGCTTAGCCTTATGGAGGCAGGGGTGTCAAGCCTGCTCACCCTCAGAGAAAATCACACTTCAGCAGTAGTTCCAGTTCTAAGATGATATAGCACAGTTGCCATGTGGGCTACAGGGAATAGAGCACAGTATTAGTTCCTTCTCTGAGGTGAGTGTGGCTGTGTGGCCTGTAGGCAGCTCCCTCAGCTGGACTTAGTGCCAGTGAAGACTACAAGGACTCCAGTAGTGAGGACTGTGGGTGTCCAAGGTGTTGGTGGAGGCTACTGGAATCCTCTTGCTTGCCTTTTTCCTATAGGGAAAGTTTCCTCTGGGTTTCTGGCTCATCTCAGCTGGGGATAGGGTGGTGGAGTTGTGATGTTTCCTTCCATTCTCTTTGTGGCTGTCCTGAGTTTCTGTGCTCACCAGGGTTTCTGTTACTCCTTTGATGTATTCTAGCACTCTCCTTCAGTTATGTACATTAAAGTGTAGTTGTTTATTCATTGTTTTGGCTGTCACTGTGGAAGGGATGAGTGCTGGAGTTTCTAGTGAGCCATCTTGCTGATGTTGCTCCCCTAAACTTAAGTTTGAAAAGCATTTAGAGCAACTCAGGTTATCTTGTGCAATTTATGAATTTATGAATGCCATAAAAGAATAATGTCTACTTAAATACACTTTTGTATTTACTTGTTAAATGTATTCATCAATATTTTAAAATAACTTTACACATTTAACAATTTTACTTTCTTTGTAAACACTTCGAATACTTGGCAGTACAAGCTCACAACCTTAACAAGCAAAACCTTTCTAAGCTTTGAAGCCATGTTTTGAATCAAATATACTAGACTCATAAAGAATAAATTCAGTTATTTAAACATCTCAGTACTACTTAAAAACATCAAATTCTGTTAAACTTTTTAACCTAAAATTAGAAGTCAGTAATCAATTGTACTTCTAATTGCAGGGGCAATCTGTCAGATTCTTAAATATGATAAATCCTCTTAAACATCACAAATACTTGATACAAAATTCTCAGATTGTTCCATTACCTAAACTCAACCAAAAAGTATGAATATAATGGATTTCATTGACCATACAATCTATTTTTTATCTGTCTCAGGGTTGAAAAATCCCTTGCTTACTAAAGGAACAGTGATAAAATCTCAGGTGGTTTAAGGTTAGGATCCTGATAACCTGAGGTTATTTATCACTGTAAAGTTATGAAGTCAAAAATTTATGTTCATAATATGGTCACTTCTTCAGAGATCTCTGATTGCATTGAGGCCTGGGAAATAGATATATAAGTAAATGAATATCTATTCATTTACACACACACACACACACACACACACACACACACACACACATGAATAAGTTTTCCTTAGCTAAAAATTGACACCCTGAAATTTTTCATACTTATTTAGAATGGGGGCTGTCTTCTCAATTCTATGTCTGCTACTTACTACCTGCATAACTTTTGGCCATTTGCTTAACTTCTCTAAGTCTCAGTTTCCTCACCTATAAAGTAGAGATAATGATCATAATCTACTATGTAGGATTGTTATGAAAATCATATGAAAAAAATATATTTAAACTGCTTAGGACTATGCCTGGCATCTACTAAGAGCTCAAAAATTATCATTTTACCATTATTATCCATTATGCTGCCTTCAAGTTTTCACTCGAATAACTATGGATGTCTTAAACTTAATTAACCTAAATTTGATAACTTTCATGATATGTGAAAAATGGGAGAGGCCCATTAAATTAAAGGTCCCTGCATGCTGAACAAGCACAATGAACCAGTTAGCACTGTGGCAGAGGGCAGAAAAGGTTTGAGGATAAGGCTTGTCTGTGGATTGGGTTTGACAGAACTAACTTGGCATTTAAGGAGTATGTTGATGGGCAGCCATTCAATTAAGTGGTTAACTTGGAAAGTGGGAGTAGGATAGTCAGTCACACATTGTAACAGGGTAGCCCAAGAGGTGGGTAGAATTCTAGGATGGGGAATCCAGTATCTACACACATGGTACAGAAAAATGAATGTTGGACAAGTAGTAAGCATCAGAAAAGGTTTCCAAGGTAGTCAGACCTATTTCTTTGGATGGGTTCAAGTATGTAGGTGGGAGGAAGAATAAAGAAGCCAGCAAGGGCCAGAGTTTATTCCTAGAGGGATTTGGGTCCTGGGAAGGTGACCAAGGGTGCCAGGTTGAAGCCCAGGTAAGAAAAGAACATTGCTGAGCATCTACTGTTGCCTGACATATGCTCCCATTTTAAAAATATTCTCTATATTATCTCATTTCTCTCTCATAGACTCACAATGTAAATCTTATTGTATTTATTTTATAGGTGACAAAAGACATGATTAAGTAAACGTTTCCAAGGTCACACGTCCAGTAAGTGGTCAAGCCAAATCAAACACAGACCTTCCTATTTCAGAGGTCATGATCATTCCATGACAACACCCTGCCTCAGAGGTGACTTGATGTTGAGCTTAGAGCATTGACCTAGCTAGTCTTAAATCTCTCCTGCCATATGCCATGATTAGTCCTTAGAAGAGGATAGGTTGAGACTGCAGATGGGAGGTGGGTCTAGGATCGCAACTCTTGGGAGAGGAGGCCCGCAGAAGCTGGGAGAGGGTGGAGACTAATCAGCAAGAGTGACAGATGCATAGTCTCCTTCTTCTGTCCCTG
This sequence comes from Homo sapiens, assembly GCF_000001405.40. NCBI lineage: Eukaryota > Metazoa > Chordata > Mammalia > Primates > Hominidae > Homo > Homo sapiens. The sequence continues at coordinate 60,874,597 of NC_000003.12, read as the reverse complement.
TCCTGGTTACTTGTTCTAAACAGGACTCTAGTTCTCCGTTAGAAGTAGAAAGTAGATAAAGGTAAGCTAATGACTACATATGGCAATGATTCTTAACCTCTTAATGTGATGAAAGATGTGAGGTTTTCTAGAAAAATGTGCACAGACCAGTAGTTATACCATTCCACATTCAGTTTCAGAGAGTTCCCAGAGCTCTTGAAATTAATGAAGGATTTGGTCACTAGCCCAAGAGACTCTTTAGACCAAGAAAATCTTCAGACCTAGGATGCACACAGCCTTTTCAGAACTGTTTTCTTTGAGGAGTGTTGGCGTGATTGCCGACCGATGCTGCTGCTGCTGATAGCAGCAAACATGTATTTAGAGTTTAATAAATACTAGCCTTTATTTTATTAAATTATTTTAAAATTCTAACGACAGCCCTACAATGTAGGTATTACCATTAGCCTTGTCTAGATAGATGAGGAAATGACTCAGAGGGGTTCAATATCATGCCCCAGGTTACACAACTCATAAGTAGGGGTGTGCTCAATACAGTTCAATAATTTCATAATTTAAAAAACAAGAGGTTTTGATCTGGTGTAGTTGGGGAGAGTGGACAATTTTTAACACATACCATATAAATAGTGATATTTTATTTTTACTATAGGCACTTGCTTAGGAGTGACAAATTTCACCCACCACATTTTAAAATGCCATAGCGGGAAGCCCTGCTGTTTACCTTGCTGTTGCACTTTCTATACATCGAAGTTTATCTAAATATTGTAAAGGGCTTTGCTGTTGAAACATACTCTCTGAAATGGGAGGCACACATTAGCTGGGTTATATTTCTTTCCATTAGCAAATTATAAGATTACTACTTAGAATTTTAAACAGTGCTTGTTCCTTCAAAGGACTTTACAGCTATCAGCCAGTTAAGCTTTCTCAGTCTCCTGTGGAGTCAGTCAGTGTGAATTTCCCATCCTGTAGGCCACTATTTAGTACTCTGGATATACCAGGACCATCAGATAGAGGCAGCTTGGATGGTTTGTTGGTTTGTGTACTTCTGAATAGTCTTCATTCAGAGAGAATGGTAAACCCATCTGTAGAAGAAGGGCAGGCCCTTTGTCGGGAGAACACACAAAGCAACAAAGGAACCTGTTGAAGGAAACAAGGCTGCACAGCAAATCCACAGCTCCCTGGGACGGCGCTGAGTGCTTACTTTTGTAAGACTGCTACTAAATATTTTCCTGACATGACAGAAAACAACTTGCCCAACTTTACATGTGTGTCTTTGGAGAGAGCCATAGGTGGTTATCAGAAAAAGCACTCAATAGTTTCAAATCTTTCTTCCTCCCAGTAAAATCATCTGGAGGGAAAAGTTGTATCCTTTTGCTTTCATCCACTTTGGTTCTGCATTGCAGGTTTCTTTATGAAGCTCCTGGTAGTGTGATCTCTCACTCTCTCTCTCTCTCTCTCTCTCCCTCTCCCTCTCTCCCTGCCTTGTTCCCCTCCTCCAAAAACAAAAACAGACAAAAAACCCAAGTTGGTTGGCATGCTACCCTACAAGTTTTTTCATCATTCAGAGACCTTGAAGATCAAATCTAAGAACGCAAGAGTTATAGTCATGTTGCAGGAGTGTCCGGTGCACAGGAAAGTAAATAATAAATAATCTTTATTTTTTGAACGGGGAACAATTTAAGCATCTTTGTCTATGAACTCAAAGGCAAAACTCTTCTAGACTTTTGTGAGTTGTTGCCAGTCCTTGGTTATGTTACTACCCTATAATTCAGGGTTTCCTGAAAGGAGTTAAGCAATTTTAAGGCCATCATAAATTTTATTATTATTTCCTGAGATGTATTACTTGGGTTCTCAGGGTGATCATTAAATTTGTATTCTCTTTGAATCATTCTGATTGAGGATTTGTCTCAATAAATGATCATTATTCTTTATTTTCAAAAGGAAAATTGCCGTTATGGGCTAATGACTGAGGAAAATGAATTTAGAGAATAATGTGGGATTATTTTTGAGGCATAATTTTCTGTTCAAAAGCCAGGAAGCAAAACTGGCCAGCTTATAAAAATGCAGAGAGTAATGTATTTTTGCTCCTTGAGAATTTTTCTGGGTAGAAGAATTAAAGAGAAGAAAAGGAGAAGGAAAGAAGGAGGGGGAGCAAAAGAAGGAAAGATATCCCACTGATGTGAAATATCTAATTACCCTTTCCCCAAAGGGTCTCACAGAAAGTACGTATTTATTGGAACCAAAATGAATTACAGGATTATAGAGCCCTGAGCTGGACAACTTATGTTAGGGAATTAACTTTCTGCTACAAGTTTTTAATATGTGTGAAGCTGTTTGCCTACAAATGTTTTTTGCAACAAGCGCTCATGAGATATCAAAAGAAATGAAAGCATTTCCTCATAGCATGGAATTTCTACCACAAACAAAACAAAGCAGGCTTATGGCAAACTAAAGTCCCATTCAGGAGTGTGTCACCCTTAGGGACACACAGCAGGCAAAACATGCAATTCCTACTGAATTCATACTGAAGTATGATCTTGTAAATTGTATTCACCTGCTCATATTACAGAGGTTTCTTTTTATCAGTTGAACTCCATTTGTATTTTCCTCAGTATATTCCTTTTAAAAATATAATAGGAGCTGGGCACAGTGGCTCACACTTGTAATTTCAATCCTTTGGGAGACTGAGGCAGGAGGATCATTTGAGTCCAGAAGTTCAAGACCAACCTGGGCAACAAAGCAAGACCTCGTCTCTACAAAAAATAAATAAATAAATAAATAAATACATTCAAAAAATAAAAAATCTGGGTATGGTGGTGTGTGCCTATAGTTCTAGCTACTCAGGAGGCTGAGGTGGGAGGATCACTTGAGCATGGGAGGTCAAGGCTACATTGAGCCATGATTGTGCCATTGCACTCTAGCTTAAGTGACAGAGCAAGACTCCATTTCAGAAAAAAATAAACAAATACAGTCAGACATTTAGCATCCTGACTTACACGTTAAATATGTCACCATTCCTGGGCCCCTTCCTTATTTATACAGAGTCCTTTATAAACAGGCTGGAACTTGGAAAGTATCATTATATACCTAATAAACTTACTATTTTTAAAAATGATCATGTTTAGTGCTGAAAAAGTTGTGGTGACAGTGTTATGTTATTAGACTTCTGGTAGCACTATAGGTTGGTGAGTTCCTTTTGCTGAGTAGTTTGATAGTAGAAAGCCTGATTAGGAGAGATAATCATGGGAGACAGGAGTTCTCGGAGACTTTTCCTAAGGTAGTCATGTAACAGAAGCAGAACAGAATATTCACTAGAGTGCCACCATAAAGCTCTCTATAGTTTCACTGTGAAGGCAATGTTAAAATATGCAAAACGGGTTCTAATGTAACTTATTATAATGCTTCTGATATAACGAGAAAAAGGAAGATACAAAATGGCAGGCATGCAAGAGCTGCAGATATGCAAGAATGAGCTGCCCTATGGATAAGGACAGAAAGGCAAGAACCACAGATGGAAACGGGTTTACATGGGATTCCTTTTCTTCCTAAAAATCATGTTCTCAGTGCTCCTATTGTGCCATCTTTTTAGAAAATTTAATTAAGAGTAAGGTAACAAATGTAGACATCAACGAGGAAATGCTCCAAGGGGTCCATGTTGACAATGTCTGGGGCATCACCAGGAGAATAGGCTAAGTGACTATTTCCCAAGCAGTTCTCCTGGGGTACACTCATTTACCATGGTCCATGGTCTTACCCATGGGGGACTCTCTCTTCAAGACGGAATTACATTACCCAAGTTTGTGAGACGCGGTAACCTAGAAGGCCCCTTTGTGATTTTACAACCAGCAGTTGGCCCACTGCACAGACTAGTGGGACTATTGCATTCCATCCTCTAAGCAGGCCTGAGGTCCATGGGAAGCCAGAGCATCAGATAGTTGTGTGTTTAGCAAGAGAAGAGAACAAAAGGAATTGAGTGATGCTATGTTTTCATTTGACACAACATACAATATGACTGTCAGACTACAGATAGCTTCATGCTGCTCAGTTCTCATGATAAGGATAGCCTTGCCTGTGGAACTGAAACTCCAAGGCCTTAGCTACCTTCCACCTCCTGCATCTCTTTCCACAGTAGGGGTGCCGTGTCCCTACATTAGAATACTTGAAGGCCATTAACTAAAGGCTTCCTTTCCCTAGACAGAGCTTAAATGGCCACTGCCAACATCTCTTTGTAGCTTTTCTTTGTATATTTTTCTACAACTGACCACTTTTTCTACCCATAAACATGTTAATATTCTCTATCAGTTGAAAGTCAAGTCTTGCTGACCTGTTTTTTTTTTTCTTTGTGTGTTTAAATACCTCTGTATTGATCCATTATGCATATAACAGAGCAATATTAGTTTTCTCATTTCTGAGTTCTGTGGGCATGCACTTTACTGTTGCTCATACATGCTGAAAATAGTAGGTGACAGAATTGAGCAGCAAGGTGAATTTATATGTCAGACCAAGAAGGAAAATGGAAGCTAAGGTAAGTCAACAGATTGTGTTGTGCACTATGGTGGATTATTTCTAGGTACCCACAATATTTATTGCAAGTCTTTATAAGGAAAAATTAAGAATCAAATCAAAGTACTTAATTTGTTCTTTTGTCAGAATCCACACTAAATGGTAAAGCAGGGTACTGAGGGCCCCTTGGGAACCGAGAAAAAGAGCTCAAGAACAGACATTCCTCTTCGTTGGTGTCAGACATGAATATTTGAAGTCATGTCAATTCCTATAAAGGGAGAAGTTGGATGAGACAACTTGCAGTGATGGTGGCCCTTGCTTAAACTCTGGCTCCCTATTATTTATCTTGGCACTTCTGGGGTGGCTGTGGAGTCTAGAAAGCATGTCTTCTTTTTAGTGAACTATCTTCCATCTTTGTAAGAGTGGTCCCTTGGGCCTTAGAAACATATTTGGCTACTACATGGCTCCGTGGCAAAAGTTGTTTGAATTAGAGTTAGACACCGAATCCAAGCGTGCCCCATCTCCCACCCCAAGGTCTCACTTTCTGAAATTTGGAATTCAGAGATATGCAGTCATTCCTTGCATGTGGCTAGAACTATGACAGGTAAACCTGAGATCTGTGGACAACCATATTTCCCTATGAGAATTGAGAAGCAGAGATAGAAGGGGGCTGTATTCCCTGAGTTCCTGCCCACCTTCTGGTTCCCGGCACTGGGGGGAACTGGCTGCATCTTTGCCTCTGAGTCCTTGAGACACTCTTGGGTCCTTCTAATGATGCCCCTTCAATTTTAACCTAGCCTGATTTGGTTTCTGTTACTTAGAACTGAAGAGACTTACTAATACATTCTGTACTTCAAGCCAATAACACATGAATAATTGTCCTCAAAAATTAGAATTGATCTTCCACAGGGGGTTAGGAGATTTGGGTGAAATAGGTATTATCTTTAATTTAAGTGTGTTAGGGGTATTTCAAAATCTTCATTAAATTTTCCAAATCCTTCCTGTTGTGTTGCCAGAATCTTTCCTTAGGTAAGAGACCAATCTGAGGTTGGTTCCTTGGGATTTTGTTAAGCTGGGAAATCCCTTCAGAATGACAGAAGCCAGGCTATACTACAGTATTAAAAGGCCAAAGACTGAAACATTCTAAAATGTAGATAATTAAGTTTCTCAGAAGCCTCCTCTTCCACTCGCCTGCTATCCCACTCTGCTCCTCAAACTCACGAATTTTCAAAGGTATTTGAAGCTGAAATGGGCCTTTGAGTTGTTACTTGATATTTTCATGCATGTCCTGAGATTACGGCCTGGAGCTTCGCTTTGAGAATAATAGTCAGAAACAGCTATTTGATTGTGTCTTTAGACTCCTAAGTAAGTTAACAGGGGAGTTAATGTCGGTATGAAACAGTTTAGCTAAAATGTATCGCCATATCCTTATTGAAGACCATTTACTACTCATTCAGAAATATGTTACAAAGAGAGTATATTGTCAATGAATCCCACTCATGAATTGATTGGAAAATATAATTTATTCCTAGATAAAAAGGGAGCTCTGATTGTATGAGAAAGGGCTTCTTCAGGCTTTCTGATTCTTATTGGTTGTTTCAAAATGTGGAATTTAATAAGGCACAAACAACTAGGAAGAGAATAGGGAGTGACAGGAGAGCAGTAAGTGTAATATACAGCAAGAGAGGGGAATCTATCAAGCAGGAACACTTTCTTGGTAGAGAGAGAAAGCATTGCCTTGTAAAATGGGATAGCTTTGAAGGAATTTCAAGTCTTTATTTTTGGCCATTCAACTGTAGACTAGGGTTTCACAGGACTCATGTTAGGTTTAGAGGTTATGAAATACTGTTTTCCAAATGGAAATATATGGCTTGCAATCTCAAAGAAAAAGAAAACAGAGGGAAAGGAATGCTTCTGGCCAAGGCATCAATAATCCTGTTATTCTGAGATGTGTAAAGATCACCCACAGGCAGTAGCTCATTCTGCTGCCTTTCCAACCTTCTTATGTTTTTATTTAAAAACCTTCAATTCTATTCAGATATGTCATAACAAGCTATGTCTTGGTGAGCACACAGGTTTGTCATTGAGAAAGGTCATATAAGACATGACTTATAAGCTACCTCTACTGTGCTCTGCTTTTCTCCATCTTTGGGAATCTCTGTTTTAGTTAGGAGAGACTAAGTTATGCTGCAGTAACAAATGAGTCCCCAGATCACAGTGGCCTATCACAAAGAAAGGTTTAGTTCTTGCTAATGGTACATGCCCAAAAAAAGTTGTCAGGGGGCTCTGCTTATTGTAGTCATTCAGATAGACCCAGGCTGAGGGAGCCACTAACATCCTCTAGTTACCCCAGAGCATGTGAACTTTTGGGGGAGAAAGATTGGAGAATTAAACATAGTTTTTTCTTTGACTTAAGAAATGAAACATGTTACTTTTTCTCGTGCCCCACTAAGTAGAGCTAGTCACATGATCCTGCCCACTCATAAGAGGCTGAGATGTGCAGGAGTCTCTATGCTTGGGGCTAAAGGAGAACTGGATGAAACAAGTAGTATCTGTAATAGTATCTGCCATAGTTAAACCTTCTGAAGACTTTGTTCCTGCATAAAGGCTGCCCTGATCAATTCAGCTCACAGCCATAACATCTTCTTTTGAAGATCTGTTAACACTTGTGTGTACCATTCATTTGGCCCTTAGCCTTCACTGTCTTTGATATGTAAATGTCTACTTAAGCATGTATGTGAATATGAATACATATTTGCATCTTTGTGATGTCTCCTATATTTGCTTATGAGTACACTGAAAACAGACAAGCTATATTTTTTGCATTACCCATAGTGCTTTCCATATTCAGTTAGTGTGTAACAAATGTAGTTTATGGGTAAACCTGTGTTCAAAGGGCAGGAAATAGATAATAAGCAAATTTGCTGATTTTATTTAATTTATTCCACAAATACATAGCAGCTTCCTTATGGGAGTGGGTGTTCATAACAAATTAACTAAGAGTCCTCACAACCTTCCTCTGGTCATTAAAAAGACTATTGTAGGCTCATGTTGCTGAGGGTCATGCATACTTTGTGATCGAATACATTCAATTTCCTGGCTTCTGCTCATGTAGGAGGAAAAGAAAAGGAGGCAAACTGAAGAGAAGGGACTCAATAGTTGAGGCAAACAATTTCAACAGTCAATGGGGAAAGAAAAGAGGAAAAATCACAGGAACCCAGTTATTCATCAAGCATGGGAAGGGAGACTGCAATAATGGATGACTTGGTGCTTGTGTGCAAGAATCACAGCCTGGATGGTAAGATAATTATATCTCCTGATAATTGTGAGAGAGAGCACTAAATATGAAAAGCAGCTTGTTTCATCTGTAGACTTGCCCATAGGCAAAGCTGGAAAAACCCTCTGGGTTAGGTACCTATTGCTGCATAACAAATTATGCCAAAACTCAACTGCTTAAAACTGCAGTAAACATTTACTATCTCATGTTATTTTGGTGAGTTAGGAATTTGGGACAGGCTTAGTAGAGTGGTTCTGGCTCTATAGTCATCTGAAGGCTTGACTGGGGCTGTAAGATCCACTTCTAAGGTACCACATGCCTGGCAGCTTGATGGAGAGTATTGGTGGGAGGCCTCAGTTCCTCCCCATGTGGGCCTCTCCACTGGCTGCTTGAGTAACTTCATAGAATGGTGACTGGCTTCCTCCAGAGACAGCCACTCAAGAGAGAGAAAAGGGGGAAAGCTTTAAGGACTCATGGCTCTTCTAACCTAGCCACAGAAGTCATACATTTCTGCAGCATCTTATTGCTTACACAGGTCAGCCCTCTTCCACATGGAAAATGACTTCACAAGTGTGAATACCAAGAGGCAAAACTTTAGGGGCTGGGTAGCACATCCTCTACACTTTTTGTGGAAGGAGACTCAGATTAAAAATAAGTATCAAGTACATTCCTTCCAGAGAAAATAAAGAGAAGAAGTTATAGAGAGAGGAACCCTCAGTGTATTTGTGGCAGGAGTTTGGAGCCTTTGGGAACAGATGACAGGCATCTCTGATTCAGGGCCTCCATCTGAGCAGACTTCTTTCCTACTTGTTGAATGCTTCCCCGAGTCACTTCTTAGCTACTGCTAGAACAGGAGGATTTTGACCATTTAAAAAAAAATCTACAATTGTGTGCAAAAGAAATCTTATCTCCCTCTAAGTAAACCCCATCTGTGGAAAATTTAACTGTCTTGTCTACATACTCTACTTCTCTAAGCAGCAGTAGAGCTACTTAAGAAGAAATAGATGTTTCTCAAGTGTTAACCCTGAAAAGATGTTGTGCCCTCTCTTTGCTTCAGCCTTGTCACAGCCCCCCATTTAGGGAAAAATGAGAATAAGCATGCCTATCTCACAGGGAGTCATGAGCCTTAAGTAGCATAACAGATATGAAATGCCTAGCACAGAGCCCAAGACAGAGCTGGGGCCTAATACAAACTGGCTCCTGTCTCCATAGAGAGTCTCTTGATATAGACTCTCTTCATACTAAGAGGAATGAAATACATACAAACGATTAAAATGAAAATTCAGACTCTTATAAGTAAGTCTGAATTTAATTACATAATCTTAAAATAAACTGAATTTTATTAGGCATGTCTAACAAATCACTACTTTTATCTAAATAAGTAGTTCATTTTTTTCCCAACAGATATTCCTGCAACAATGGACATGTCTGATACATGTGCTGACCAGTACAGTGGCCAGTGGCCTCATATGGCTGTTGAGGACTTGAAATGGGGCTAATGGGACTGAGAAAATAAATTTTATTTAATTTTACCTTATTTAAATTTAAATAGCCACATATAATTAGTGGCTACCACATTCAACAGCATAGGCTAAAATGCCAAATACCTATGATTTTTTTCAACGTCAGACAGAAATGGGAGAATTTTTTAGTTTTTTGGTCAACACATGCATTCCCTCTTAGGTACCTTATTTATTTATTTTGGGGGATTCTGATTTGAGCAGTTGGTTTGTTGCTACTGAGAAATTTTCTCAAAGCCAACAGATAGATTTATTCCCTATTTTATTTTATTATGATTTATTTCTATTTTATTGTGAACTAAGGCGATTCAGAAGCTGAGCAGTGTCTCTGTGGTTGTGGATATGAAGAGCTTTGTAGATAGAAGACAGCTGGATTCTTACATGCATCTACCCTTTATCCTCATTTCCATAGAGTTAATCGAATCTTTTAGGGTTTTGATGCATTTTCAAAGGGTGTTTTCTAAGTTGTATTAATAAGTGTCATTATACTTGTGGGCTATACACTGCGTTCCTAAGAGTGTCCACTAATATCCCCTGAAACAATGTTAAAAATGATATGTGAGTTGCTGAAGATGATTTACCGTATCATGCTCTTGAATAGGTTCTTTTGATAGCTTTAGAACGAAATTCAAACTGCTGAGAGGTTCAAGTCTTTCAAGTCAGGACAACTTAGGCTCCAACCTCATCTGCCACCCCTCCTTGCCAATACAGAGCCCTGTTCCAGAATATGCCACACCATCCACCTTCTTCCTGAATCTCTGGCTTTACCAATGCAGTTTCTTCTACTGGCTCCTCCTTTTCTTGATGAAGGTATTCATCCCAAATCTCAGCCCTTCTGTGAGGCCTCCTCACCCTTCTGCAATGAGAGACAGCACAATGAAGTGTTTAAAACCATGGGCTCTAAAGTTGGACCTCCTGTGTTAAAATTCCAGCTCCACCACTTACCGATAGTAACTTTAGGCTGGTTTCTTCACCTGCCTGTACCTCAGCTTCTTAATCTGCAAGATGGTATGAATCATGGGTCTGTCTCTGCTATGGTTTGGCTGTGTCCCCACCCAAATCTCATCTTGAATTGTACCTACCATAATCCCCACATGTCATGGGAGGGACCCAGTGGGTAGGAGGTAATTGAATCATGGGGGCAGGTTTTTCCCATGCTGTTCTCGTGATTAAGTCTCATGAGATCTGATGGTTTTATAAAGGGCAATTCTTCTTCACATGCTCTCTTGCCTGCCACCATATGAGATGTACCTTTGCTCCTCCTTCACCTTCTGCCATGATTATGAGGTCTTCTCAGCCATGTGGAACTGTGAGTCCATTAAACTTCTTTTTCTTTATAAATTATCCCATCTCGGGTATTTCTTCATAGCAGTATGAAAATGGACTAATACAGTCTCATAGGCTTGTTGTGAAGGGAAATGAGACAAGTACTCAATAGATGTCAGCTGTAATTATTATTCTGTACTCCCTTATTCACACTTTTACTGATAGTTTTATAATGATGATGTTAATATCTTTATTATGTTCTTTGCATTATTGTTGAATGTACATGTTTCTGTCCTCCACTTCCATTATGAGCTGTTATAAACAGAGGATAATACCTATTTCACTACTGTAACCTCAATACCTCACCCAGGGACCATCAAAGAGGAGGCACTGTATGCATATTTTTAACAAATGAATGAAAATATGAGTGCATTAATTTATTCCACTAATGAGCACCCATCAAGTGTTTAGTAAACCTCAGATTGATGAATGATAAGGTGATAAGGCATACTTTAATACCTATTTTCTTAAACCCTTTCTTTTCTGTGATATTTAATGCATAATGGTTTATTAGTCTTCTATTACTGTCATAACAAACTATGATGAATTTAGTGACTTAAAACAACACACATTTATTATCTGGCAGTCAGAAGCCCAATACATGTCTCACTGGGCTAAAATCGAGGTATCAGCAGCGCTGTGTTTCTTACTGGAGACTGCAGAAAAACCAACTTCCAAACTCGTTCAGGTTATTGACAGAATTTGGTTCTTTGTGGTTGTAGGACTGAAGTCCCTATTTTCTTTATGTCTGTTAGGCAGGGCTCCACCCTTAGCTCCCTCAGGCCTCTTTCTGGTCCTCACACAGAGCCTCCTACATTTTAGAACCATCAATGATTCATCTTATCTTTTTCTTTCTTGTGTTTGGAATCTGACTTTCCCTCTGCAGCATAGCTCCTGCATCCTCTTCTGCTTTCTCACTCTGACTGATTCTTCCACCTTCCACTTATGTTTTTACAACCTCATGTGACTAGGGTAGGCATACCCAGATAATTCAAGATAACCTTCCTATGTTAAAGTCGGTTGACTAGTAACCTTGATACATCTGCTAAGTCTCTTCATGGCAGCACCTAATCTAGTGTTTAATTGGATAACCAGGGACAGGAATCTTTTTTTTTTTTTTTTTGAGAGGGAGTTTCACTCTGTCGCCCAAGCTGGAGTGCAATGGTGCAGTCTTGGCTCACTGCAACCTCTGCCTCCCGGGTTCAAGCAATTCTGCTGCCTTAGCCTCCCAAGTAGCTGGGATTACAGGCACTCACCACCATGCCTGGCTAAGTTTTGTATTTTTAGTAGAGACAGGGGGTTTCACCATATTGGCCAGGCTGGTCTTCAACTTCTGACCTCAAGTGACCCACCTGCCTCAGCCTCCCAAAGTGCTGGTATTACAGGCGTGAGCCACCATGCCCGGCCCAGGGATGGGAATCCTGCAGGGACATCTTTAGAAGTCTGCCTATTGCAGTGGTCAATTCATGACTGTGTTTAAGCTGTTTGAAAAATCCATCATATTTTGGCTGGGTGCAATGGCCCATGACTGTAATCCCAAGCACTTTGGGAGGCCTAGGCAAGAGAATTCCTTGAGGCCAGGAGTTTGAGACCAGCCTGGGCAACAAAGTGAGACCGCGTCTCTATAAAAAAAATACAAAAATTAGCTGGGCATGGTGGTGCAAACCTATAGTCCTAGCTAGTACGGATGATCACTTGAGCCCAGGAGTTCAAGGCTGCAGTGAACTATGATCTCACTGCCGCACTCCAGCCTGGGCAATAGAACAAGACACTGTCTTAAAAAACAAAAACAAAAACAAAAACAAAAAACTCCATATTTTTATTTACCTTTCATCTCTATGAGGGCAGGGATTATATCTGTTTTATTTACCAAGTTATATTCAGCCCAATGCTTATCTCATGGTAGATATTCTATAAGCATTTGTTAGACACATTGAAATTCCTAGACCCAGATATTTGGGTTTGTTTTTGTTTTAATCATTTTATTCTAGGTTACCAAAGTGATCAAACCGGCCTTTTTTTTTTTTTTTTTGAGACCGAGTCTTGGTCTGTTGCCCAGTGCAGTGGCGCGATCTCAGCTCACTGCAAGCTCCACCTCACGGGTTCACGCCATTCTCCTGCCTCAGCCTCCCTAGTAGCTGGGACTACACAAACTAGCTTTTTTAAAAAAGGATTATATTTATTTTGGTTCTTACTTTGTTTTTTGGTCTCCTATAACTTTGAGTTTACTGCTTGATCCCTTACCTTTTCTTAAATTTTAGTGTCATTTCACTTTTTTCTCCTAAAAAAACTGGGCTGGACCTCTTTTGGAACTTTGAGTCCTTTTGCAGTGATTTCAAGGGGAACATGAGAGACTAGACTATCAATATCCTATGATGATGATGATAGCAATGATGGTGATGTTTTGGCCAGTGTGGGCTGCTGGTTCTCAATCGGAGGCGATTTTGCAGGTGACATTTGGCAATGTCAGGAGACATTTTTGGTTGTCATGGCTACTGGAGAGGTTACTACTGGCATCTAGCAGGATAGAGGCCAGGGATGCTGCTCAACACCCTACAATGCATAGGACAGCCCTCCATAACAAAGAATTCTGTAGTCCAAAATATCAGTAGTGCCCAGGCTGAGAAACCCTGAAGTAGGCTAACTGCTGTAATGAGCTTCGTCAAAACCCAGTAGCTTAACTGAAAAAAAAAAGAAAGATATATGATATGATATATCATATGTATCATATATGATATGATATATCATATATATCATATATATCATATATATCATATATGATATATATCATATATATCATAGAACATATGATATATATGTATATAGATCATATATACATATATCATATATACACATATAGGATATATGTGTATATATGATATCTGATATATATGACGTACATCATATATACACATGATATATATGACGTACGTCATATATACATGATATACGTATATATGTATCATATATATGGATATATACGTATATATGTATCATATATACATGATATATACGTATATATGTATCATATATACATGATATATACGTATATATGTATCATATATACATGATATATACGTATATATGTTCATATATACATGATATATATGTACATATGTTCATATATACCTGATATATGTACATATGTATCATATATACCTGATATATATGTACATATGTATCATATATACCTGATATATGATACATATGTATCATATATACCTGATATATATGAACATATGTACATATATACCTGATATATATGTACATATGTACATATATACCTGATATATATGTACATATGTACATATATACCTGATATATGTACATATGTATCATATATACCTGATATATATGTACATATGTATCATATATACCTGATATATGATACATATGTATCATATATACCTGATATATGATACATATGTATCATATATACCTGATATATATGATACATATGTATCATATATACCTGATATATATGATACATATGTATCATATATACATATATATGTACATATGTATCATATATACATGATATATATGTATCATATATACATATGATGTATGTCATATATACATATGATGTATGTCATGTATACATATGATGTATGTCATGTATACATATGATGTATCTCATGTATACATATGATGTATCTCATGTATACATATGATGTATCTCATGTATACATATGATGTATCTCATGTATACATATGATGTATCTCATGTATACCATATATACATATGATGTATCTCATGTATACCATATATACATATGATGTATCTCATGTATACCATATATACATATGATGTATATCATATATACCATATGTATATATATCAGATATATCATTTATATATCATATATCAGATATATCATATATATATCATATATCAGATATATCATATATATGTATCTTTTTGTTTTTTTGAGATGTAGTCCCACTTCTTCACCAGGCTGGAGTGCAATGGCACAATCTCGGCTCACTGGAACCTCCGCCTCCCAGGTTCAAGCAATTCTCCTACCTCAGTCTCCCCAGTAGCTGGGATTACAGGCACGTGCCACCACACCTGGCTAATTTTTGTAGTTTTAGTAGAGACAGGGTTTCACCATGTTGGCCAGGCTGGTCTTGAGCTCCTGACCTCAAGTGATCCACCCACCTCAGCTTCCCAAAGGGCTGGGATTACAGGCATGAGCCACCGTGCTCGGCAAAAAAAAAAAAAAAAAAAAAAAAAAAAAAAAAAAAAAATCGTATTCAGAATCCACTGCAAATGTTTCTGAAGGGTGGCTCTCCTAGGAGGTTCTTAGGTAGGATCCAGGTTCTTTCCATCCTGTAGCTCTAAATTCTTTAACAAGTAGCCTTCAGGGTGCCTGAGAAGGGAAAAGGAGAGTGAGGAGTAGAGTCTAGAGGATTTCTGTAGGCCCATCCAGGAAAGGGTGTACATCACTTCTGCCACATTCCATTGATCGGAACTCAGTCATTTGGACCCACGTAACTCCACTGAAGCTTGGAAATGCGGTCTACCTGTGTGCATGGGTGGAAATGCGGTCTACCTGTGCACATGGGTGAATACTAATAATCTCTGCTAGAAAAACTGAAAACAGCAGCAAAACAATATTAATACCATTAACATCTAACATTTATTAAGCTCTTCTGTGCACGCATAGTAATTTACCTGATATAGCTGAGACTCAAAAAGGTTGAATACCTTGCCTAAGTTTATGAAGAGGTCTATGAGGAGCCCAGAGATGAACACAGGTCTGCTTCGTTCCAAAAAACATGTGCTTAACCACTATTCGATACTCCTATTGGGATAGGAATTGAATACTGCTCTTAGTGGGGCTTTATTTTTATGAAATAGAAACAAAAGCTGTAAATACCACAAATGCAGAATGTTCTAGACTTCCAGAGCCGCTAAAACAATTCTTCCTAAAGAGCTGGTGAAATCCTTTTTAGGGAATATCAATATACAGATTGCATTCCAAGTTTTTGTCTGGATCAAAGATGAATAGACAGGGAGAGATGAATGTCCTGGGGGAACACTATCATGGTGCTTTTTAAATCATCCTGTTGCACTTAGGCATTGCAGCCTGTGATTATATATATTTCAGATAAGTTTTCTGTAGTCCAGAGGGATTGCTAGCCAAGGTAATGAGCACTGCTAGGAATCTTGACAGCAAACTGTAAATGGTCTCAATGCCACAGACTTTCAAGAAACTGGGACCTTCTTGAAGTGAATGGCTATTTCTGTCCTATTTAAGTAATTCATTCTCATCTGTCTCCGATTAGTGGTGAGCCTTGTGTCATATGTGATAGTTATAATAAGGCACTTACCAAAACTTCCTTTTAAGGGTGGAAGGCATTTTGGGTTTGATTGTCATGGAGCAAGGTAGAAGAAAGAAGCCCTCACTTCATAAAAGGCCACACTGGTAGACAAAGCAATATGAAGGGGTGTAATATGTGAACAGAGTTCACAATCTTCCTTTAGAATGAAAGTGCAGCGGTTTCCTGGAATGTTTTAATCGAGTTTTCAGGGTCTGAAAGCTGACCATACATGTGATGGTTCTGAATGCTGCTCCCTTCATTATCGGCCTCTGCTTTGACCATGTTATAGCACACAATTCTCAGTGAGTTCTCTATTTTGTGCCATTGAAATGGGAACTTCTAATTTTACTGCTTAAAAGTGTGTTTTTCTTTTTAGTAAAATCAAGCCTGTTCTTTTTTCCTGTCTCCTTCTCTGTGGAATACTGCCTTTCTCTATTCATTTGCTTACAAGAGAATCTGCACTATCATACTGGTTAGATCTTTAAGTACTCATTAAGTGTTCATTGCATACACACCATGTGTCAAGCACTGTGCTAGGCACTGGGCTGGAGTAGTGACCAAGACAAACATGGACCTACCTGATCATAAGGAAGTCATGTGCTCAGGTGAGCACTAGTACTTTTTGCCACAAATAACAAAACAATAACACCCATAGTAATACTACCTAACAATTGTTAAGCTCTTATAGGCTAGTGATCCAGTTGATTTATTTTTCCTTTTAAGAGATGGAATCTTAAAAAGCCCAGGCTGGAGTGTAGAGGCATGATTATGGCTCACTGCAGCCTTGAACTCCTGGGCTCAGTTGATCCTCCTGCCTCAGCCTCCCAAGTAACTAGAACTACAGGCATACATCACCATATCCACCTATTTTTTCATTTTTTGTAGAGATGGAGTCTTGCTTTGTTGCCCAGGCTGGTCTTGAACTCCTGGCCTGAAGTGATCCTCCCACTTTGGCATCCCAAAGTTGGGATTACAGGCATGAGCCACCAGGCCCAGGAGCAGTTGTGTTTATATTCTGTCTCAGATGTTGATGGGCAGAACAATAAAGAACTCTTTATAACATTTATTGCATGCTAACTCTGTGGCAAGCACTGGGATGAAAGCTTTCCATGTATTATCTAATTTAATCCTCACAAACCCTTATTGAAAAGCTTTTGTCATTATCCCCATTTTAAAGATGAGGAAACTAAGGTTTATAGGGATTAGAGGGATTATATCACCTCACACAGCTGATAAGTAGTGAAGCTGGGCTGTCAAATGCTGTCTGATACCTTAGCTTGTGCTCTAAACTCAGTTGTACAAAATCATGGAACATGATAGGGAGGACACTGATTTTCCTTTGATGTCTAAGTAAAATAGTAAAAGGTATACCCCAGCCATTAAACCACTCTGAGTAACTTTTTTCTATTCTTATTATTTTACCATGAGTCTGTTTTTCATACATGCCCTTGAACTATTAGAATCCCCCCTCCCAAGATGGCATCCACACAATGGTAAATTACACCTGGCCATTTATTGTATGTATGTTCAGGCTTGTTACACATCAGAAAGAGACAGACATGATCCTTGCCTTTATGGATCTTACAATGTAAAGGAGAAGAGAGTCAATCAATCACAAGTGTGATGAGTATTATAAAAAAGGAAGCTGAGTGCTATGGCAAGTATATCACATTGGGAAGGTAACCTGGTTTTGGAGTGGGGCATGGTTGTGGATAATCTCCATGTGGAGTGAAGTACAATCTCAGAAGCCAAGTATGAGTAGGCATTAGACCAGTGAAGAGGAAGTCCAGGATGTTACATGGTTTTGAGGCCTGAGAGAGTACAATAGGGTCCACGCACTGAAGAAGTTGTCAGGTGGGAGCATAGAGAAGGCAGAGTGTGGTGGGAGATAAAGACAGTGAGGCAGGCAGGGATGGACAATGAAGGCCTTGTGGATTGTGACAAGGTTTTAGGATCTTATCATGGAAGCAGTAGTGAGCCACTGAAGATCTCTGGGCAGAGTGGGAACAGGAAATATTTGGATCTTTAAAAGATCACTTTGAAGATTATATTTCCAGGGGTCATTTCTGTGGTTCATTACTTAAAGGAGTTTCCCCAAGTGTGTAGAGCACTGGAAACCACAGGAAGATATGCAATGTTCTCTCCCGAGCACGAAGCTCGTTCTTGGTGTTGCTTCATTGCAACTGCCATTTGCCATTGATCATTGTTTTTTTCTTCCTTTGGGGAGATTAAGAGGAAGAGGACACAGTCTGAGTGATCTTCATTTTAAAAAAAATCTCTTTGGCTGCAGTATGCAAAAGGAGTTAAACTGAGGAAAACTGGAAGCCTTGGAGTAGGGTTATTGCCATTCTGCTATTCTGAGATTTGGTGAATCAACCCCCTTTCCCCCCCAGATCTGTGCCTTTTGCAATTTTGAAGACGTATGTCAGGGCTCACCCCACCTCTGTCTAGCAAGAAGCAACTTTATCTGCCTCGAATGCATTACCATTTTGGTTGATGGCCTCTGAACGTTTTCCATCACAGTCTTCTGCCTCTCCTCCATATTCTTTGCTAAATAACATGTTGGGAATGGTCTCCTTGTCTTCCACATCAAATAATTTAACTGAAACACCATCATAATTACAACTTAATTTCTCTCATTCAAACAGAGGTGATGCATCTTCTCCCCAAAATAAAAGCCTCCTTAAGCTTACACTCTCACACTCCATAACATGGGTGTTTACAAGGTTCTTTGCTTTTCTTGCTTGTTGTTACGTCTTTTGAATTGGATTCACCCTCATTGTAACTCATTCATCTTGTCAGTCTTAAATTAAGAGTTCCTTAGGGCTGGAGAGAGGGAAACATATATCCTTCTAGGCTGTGGAAAGTACACTACAGAACACTAGAACTTTAAGGGAGTCCCACAGGGATACGACAATGAATGTAGTTTTGTAGTCACTCTTGAATATACTCTTGGCCCATAACACATGGAAGATGATGTTAAGATAGTATGTGAGTTCTGAATGCTTTCAGCTGCCTGTAACAGAAAATTAAAGTGATAGTGCTGAAATCACAGGGATATTTATTACTATGAGAAAACAGGAGGTAGAGGATCCCAGGGTTAGTTTGGCAACTCAGTAATATCATAAAGGACCCAGTGTCTTTCATACTCAGGCTCTTTCCTCTTTTGGCTATTGCCTCATGGTCACAAGACGGCTTCTACAGCTCTAAGCACAAAGCGTTAACATGACAGCATCTAAAACAGGAAAGAAGAGGCATATGAAGAAAAGGCTTTCTCCTCTTGCAACTATGACTTTTTACCAAAGGTGAAAAATCTTTCATGAGTCCCCCCAGTGTATGTCCACTCATTGGTTAGATCTAGGTCACATGCCTACTACTGAATACCAATCAATGGCAAAAGAACATAGTATCGCCATGATTGGGTTAGACCAGTCATTATTCATTATCTAAGGCTAAGCACATGCTGCCCGTCAGAATTTGGGTTTTGTTATCAGAGAAGAAGGAGAATACATTTTGTCACATTTGGATTAAGAACAGAAAACCATAACACTTCTAAATGGTGTTCTAAGAGGAATACCATAGTAGGAAATTTCAGAGATGAGGAAATGAAAGCAAATGAGATGACTGACTCCCTAGTTCCCTGGCACAAAAGAGATCTTGAGTAATTCCCTGAACCTCCCTAGATAGGAAGAGGCACTTAGCCATGTCTGCTCACCACAAATACTTGTGTATGGTAGGCATTGGTTGTTCCCTTCCTAAGATCCACTTTACATCCATTCTTTCCTAACAGAAATCTGATTTTGTTTGGAGCAGCAATGCTCAGCTCATATCCAGCTTCCCACACTCTCTTACAGTTAGGAAAGACTGTATGACCCATTTGTGGCTGGGCAGATGTATGTGGAAGTCACTGGATGGAACTTTCTGGAAAGCTTTTAGAAAGAGACTGACTTGGCTGGCATCCTCTTTCCCCTTTGCCTTTCCCCCTCTTCTTGCCTAGGGAGAATGTGTCAAACTTGGAGATCCAGCAGCCGTCTATGACAATGAAAGTGAAAGCCTCACTGAAGGACAGCAGAGGAAAAAAAAAAAAAAAATAGAAGTAGGCTGGGGCATTCATGACACCATGAGATACCAGCTCAGTGTCAGATTATACCTTCAGACATCTTGTTGCATGAAAAACAAAACAAAATATGCACACATGCATATCCGGAAAAGAAAGCTTTCTGTGTTTAAATCACTGTTGGGCTGTTGGTTAGCTAGATTGCAATTAATGCATCTGAAAGCAATCCCAAGTGATACACCTTCCAAAGCTAAAAACACTGAATAAGACAGTGAAGATGCATTTAAGTATTACTAAGTGCCAAAGGAAATGTAGGAAGCTTTGTATGAGAAAAGTTAGGGAAAGAGAGGAAGTGAAAAATACAATTGGTCTGATGTGGCCATGAAATGTCCTGGTGTTGGAACACTTTGAGCTTACTCTATCAGTGTTACCATATGCTTGTGGGATATGATACCCAGGTGGCCAGATGATTTGGAGGAACCACAACCCAAGAAGTTTACATTCTAGTCCCACTGGTGAATCTGAACATTTACACTTCCTTCAACCTGGGTATTATGTTTTAGGCATTTGGATATTATGCTTACTTTTGTTTGGTGTTTACGGTTTTTCACAGTAAGGTAATCAGGACTCAAATTAAGTTTTACATGAAGACATCTTTGCAGTGTTACTAAGGACACCAAAGGGACTATGTTTAACAAATCTTGGGAAAAATCAGGTGTTTTTGTGTATGTGGAACATTTAAATACATTGCAGTTGAATGTTAATGCAAAAAAATAAAGCTTTATTGTTGGTGATTACACTGCAAAGAAAAAGAGTACTTATGTTTCTTTCAGGATTTGCAGGTTTACTAACTAGCGGATCATTAGATAAAAGATGAAATGAAGCAGAGATCACAACTGCCATTAAGTCAGCTGGCACTTTATCTTAAAGGCAGAATTGCACTAAAATACACCAGATATCCTCAAATACAAAGGTGAGGTTTGCTTCCCCCTGAATTTATTATCCCTCAGAAGAGACGACCTTGCTTTATATTTGGGTCCTTTCAAATACTGCTTTAGGAAGTCACAGTGGGCTGAAGTGGCTTCACCCAAGGTTTGTTTTGGGTGCTCGTGAAGGTCATCTGCTAGGATCCATAAAAGAGGAGCAGGGAAATTGAACACAGTTAGTCATGATTCCAGGGGCTATGACTTCACAATTCCAACTGTTGGATGTTGTTCCAAACAGCGATTTTGAAAAGTCTATTTAAAAAGCAATACAAGAGACAAATACATCATAGACATCAAAATATATACCTGTTCAAAGAAATATTTTTATTTAGAAGAAAAAGCTGCTAATATTATATAAATAGGTACTTGTGCCTTCAGAGACAACTTTCAGAAACACCATCATACATGATTCAAGGAGTGTCCTGTTTTGAACCAAGGGAAGAAAACTCAGTTGGAGTTTTGTGGAAAACTCTGGAAAACTCAGTTGGAGGGCTAAAAAGGAGGCTCTTATATGGTGGAGATGCTCACATCAGAATTTGAATAAACCATGTGTTGAGATGCTCACATAAGAATTTGAGTAAAGTACATGTTTTTAAGTATCCAATTAAATTAATGAAATAAAAAGTATAGGTAGATATTTAACTATGTGTTTCATATCCCTATATGTTTATATGTATAAGCTGTCCATTCTGCCTTTTGAAATTTGTTTAATATTTTTACTGAAAAAATGGAATATTTCTTTTTTTGAAAAAATCTTGATTTTTAGGGGATAGGGTCTCACTATGCTGCTTAGGCTTGTCTCAAACTCCTGGTTTCAAGCAGCCTTCCCACTTTGGCCTCCCAAAGTACTGAGATTACAGAGGAATATTTCTTTTTTTCAAGACTGCCTTATATTTGGCATTAGTAACTACTCTTTTCAGTTTATTCTCACTATATCCTTTCTTGATACATTAAATTTTAATATAATATACAAAGTTTTAAGTGCCTAAAAGAGTTCTAGAGCGAGTGATGGAATGACATATGGCAGCTCATGAAAAAATATTACATACTTCATAAAGAGACATGCAGTTAGGTGCCAGACTGATGAAGAAAGTTGTTCATCTTTGGATTTGGGTTTGGGTTTAATACTTGCATTTGGGTTTTTATTTGGGTTTAATATTTGTATTAGTCAGGGTTCTCCAGAGAAACAGAATCAGTAGGATGTGTGTATCCATATGTATAGAAAGAGATTTATTATGAGAAGTTGGCTCTTGTGACTATGGAGGCTGGCAAGTCCCCAGATCTGGCATTGGCAAGCTAGGGACCCAGGAGACCCAATGGTGTAGTTTCTGTCCAATGATCAACAGGCTTGAGACCCAGGAAGAGCCAGTGTTTCAGTTAGAGTCCAAAGGCAGGACACAATCAGTGTCCCAGCTGAAGACTATCAGGTAAGAGGAGTTTCCTCTTTCTTGCATGAGGGTCAGCTTTTTTTTGTCCTAATCAAGCCTTCAGCTGATTGGATGAAGTCCACACACATTAGGGAGGGCAATTGCTTTACTGCATCTGTTGATTTAAATATTAAAAGTGTGTCCAAAGCACCCTCACAGCCATACTCGGAATAAAGTTCGACCAAATATCTGGGCACCTCATGGCCCAGTCAAGTTGATACATAAAATTTATCATCGTGACACTTATAGAAATGTGGACTTTGCTTTTTTTCTTTTTTCAGGATTTATATCAAGGCTACTTTCAAAAAATATGTATAAAATATTACAAGTTTAACTATACCATAGAAAGACTCAGTACTGGCTTGTTTTATTTTGATTTTTTAAATTGAACTTGTAAGGCAATTCTTGAGGGAACTTCCCTGAATATAATAATCTGTCTATATTGTTGATAGACTGCATTAATGGGGTCTATGTGACATGATAAAGTTCTGTGGGGCTGGCATCTTTTGTTTTTTGAGAAAGACTTTATGACATAAATGAGTGATCTTAAATATAATTGAGTTGCACCTTGTGTGCATTGAACTTTTGCCAATTTAATCACACAGAATTGGCCAAAAAAGTGAGAGTAGGAAGTACTGATGTAAATAATATAGGTCATTCTGTTAGACGTTCCCCTCAATGAATATATGCCTCTTAGAAAATGTGAGATGGGTTCTGGGAGTCATTCTCATTTTCCTGAACCTCTTAGTGTGAGCATCTTAGTGCTGAGTGAGATTCCAGTGTTGACATTTTCTGTTATATATGAAAAAATATATGCCTAGTAAATTCACACCAATGACTTCATCTGATCCTTGATCAAAGAAGGATCTGTTCTAATGCTAGAGGAAAGCCTCTATTGGACCTCCTGAGAATCTGTACCATATTTTATTCTGTGGGGGAATTAAAGAGATTTCCAAGAGACTTTCTAAGCTCTGACTTAAAAACTATCTTCAATTTAAGATGCCACTCAGCTATCTTTGGTCTGGGATTGTGGCTTTCTTAACAGTAAATGTTAACTACTAATGTTTTCAAGAGCATTATAATTTTAGGTTTGCTCTTTTAAAAGAGTATTTCTCCTCCCTCCTCCTGGAGATGATCTGGAATGCAAATGTGAGCTTTCCTTTGTGTATGTGTGTATATGGGAGTGAGTGTAAAAGGTTTCTTTGAAACCATCCCTGTGGGTAAGAAAGGCATCTAGCCACTCTCTTATAGGTATGTGGGGACATTCACTTAGCTGTGTGCCTTATACCAGGGTTTACTGAAAAATACCAATAAGGTATACTGAATAAGATGCTATTCAAAGTAATGAGTAGGTTATATAAATTCTGCTTAGAGAAAAGAAATTTATAAGATAAAGACACCTCATCTGAAAGTGTGAAAGCCTTCAGTATAGCAGCTGGTGTTCTGGGTCAGCTGAGGAGAGGAGCTTTATAAAGGAATTCATTGGACCTGGTTGGCCATAGGACATGGCAGGTGTGCATCTACTTTGGACAGGCACCTGGCTCTGGATAAACAAGTGGTGAGCACAATACCTTTTTGTCTTCATGGTGTTTTAATAAGTGTGTTTGGGAAGGAGGTAGGGATGGGCAACAAGCAAATAAAGAAGAAAGTAATGGGATGCAATGAGAGCTATTAACAAAATAAAAGATTAATGTAATGGAGTGAGTTGGTGGGAATGAGGAGTCTGCTTTAGACTGGATAGTCAGGGAAGGCCTCTCTGAAGAGATAACATTAGAGCTGAGACCTTAGTGATTTAAAGATGCAGAGCATGAGAGAGAGAGAGAGAGAGAGAGAGAGAGAGAGAGAGAGAGAGAAGTGCAGACACAAAGGCCCTAACATGGAAATGGCAACAAAGTACCACCCACTTTATTATTAGTTGCACCTGTGCCCAATACCTTCCAGTGTAGAACACTGATAAAGGTAGGTACTTTAGATTGGATAGTCAGCGAAGGCCTCTCTGAAGAGATAAGATTAGAGCTGGCAGAGGTCTTAAATGGGACTTCCTAAATGCCCCCTCAAGCAAATAGCATGCTTAAGAATTCTGAATGGGGGCCTGTGAGGGGATGGGGAAGAATGAAAGTGTTGAGATAAAAACAAGAATCCCTGACATCGCCTGGGCTCATGGATGCTATTGCCTCAAATTAGAAAGAAGGCAGGAAAGAGGGAAGGAAATAGTTAGCCTGACCTGAGAGATTAGAGTTTTTTCAACTTAGAAGAGAAGAAGTAGAAGTGGGGGAAGTCACGTTTATTGTATAGTGACCATGCCACTTAGTAAATAAGACTCCATATGCTTGAATTTGATCAATTACATTAGGAATTGCTCCTTGGAGAGACATGGGATATAGGGAGAGAGAGAGAAAGCATGGCAAGCCTATTTTCTACCTATTTTCATACCTATTTTAAGGGTGAAGACTCCAAGTGCATAGGTAAGAAATTTGCCCAACAGGTAAATGGCAGAAATGGCATTTAGAAGCAGGTCTGTTTGATACCAAAGTAAATCAGACTGCTCTTTTTAGAGATCAGATCGGAATCAATCAATTTTTCATTCTCATGCTCTGAAAGAATTTACTTATCTTCCAAAGTAAAAACCTCACTTACTCTGTTGGATCGGAGCTAATTATTTTCATGGTTTCATTTAGATATTTGGCTTTATTTTTGAAATCATAATAATTTTATATATATATATATATATATATTTCATTTTTGTATTAACAAAAGTCCTGTAGGGAAATGACAATTTTATTCTCTTTGGGTTGAGAGGTAGATGTCTCATTGTTCAGTCTGTTCCTATGGAAAGAATTGACAACAATCCTAAATGGTATAATCACACATCTACGTTGGTACACGGAAGGGCCAAAAGCCAAATAGTATTCCTTGTCAAATTTCTTTGCTTTCATTCTCATTCTCTCTGTCTCTCCCTCTCTCCCTTCTCTTCCCTTTCTTCCCAGTCTCTTAGCAAATATCTACTTCTTGTTCTTCCCTTATATAAAAGGTTAACATGTGAAAATCTAGTTATAATTACATGGTTTTCCCTTTCAGGAAATGGTTTTGCAACTATTGATAAAAATATTCAGTCTGCATGGATAACTATAGTAAATATACTTTAAAAGGAATGTATTTTCTGAAATAGAGGCTCATAATGTTATATCCAAATTTATAACTGATTACCTATTCCTTTGGTTTCAAATCTATGTTTGTCCCTAGTTTTCAATTTCAATTTTAAAGTGTTTAGTAACTTCTCAAGTATGTAGACATGGAATTGGGTGGTATTTGGGAGTAACATCTACTTAAGGTCAGCTTGATGAGCTTTCTTGGAAAAAAAATCCATTATATACAAAATTTTAACTCATAACAATAAAAAATAGCTACCAGTTTGAATGCTTACCACCTGCTAGACATTGTGTATATTTTACAAAGATTACCTCATTTCATCTTTATAACAATATGGTGAGGTAAGTATCTATATTCTTATTTTTCAGATAAGGAAATCAAAGCTCAGGAAAGTTAAATGACTTACTCTAGGTTGTATTCAAATTAAGTGCCAGAGGCTGGATTTGAACCCATATCTGTCTGACTCCAAAGCCTGGACCTCCAATTTTCTGAAAACACTGAGTTGAAATCTTCAGGGGTTGAAGGGTGGCCATCTTTGAAGTTTTGGGCATGGGTTGAAAGAATGTGCTGTAACTCTAGTCATCATCTTGCAAAGTGATAAAACCTACAGCTGAGATCTGAGACCTGGAGCCATGACTTTCCAAAAGTCTAAAAATCTCCTTTTAGTTAAAATTGCAAAAAAATTATCTTAAAAAGTACAATTTGATAGTAAAGTTCTCAATAGTTTCTAAATGAAAACCCCTGTAAATGTAGAAGAACTGTGCTTAAGGCCCAGGAGGGCATAGAAATGAAAGGTAGAAATAAAAGAGTTTCAACTTAAAGGAAATAAAAGAAAGCTAAACCATCTTATGAAAAATAATTGGAAGCAGATTTCAATAAAGGAAGAGGGATGGAAAATAGACTAATGCCAAAGGGGAACTGAAGACAATGATGTCTGGATTCAGTCATTTGGGAGCTGCCTAGAGGCCACAGCCATTGGCACTCCATAAATTTGTGATGGTATGCAGCAATAAGTAGGAAGTGCAAACTAGGGGAAAGAGGAAAAGGAAGTGACTGAGTTGCATTGCACCATAAATTCAGGAGTAACATATTCTCTCTACATATGTCAAGGATAAAATTGTGCTTCAAGTTCTTTATTTCATTTGGCATACTTTATTCCCATAAAGAAATACCCTGGAGGGAGTTCATACGGGGACCAAAAAAAATGAGTGTATCACAGAAATGTCGACTAATAGGAAAATTCATTTGACTTTCCTTCTTCCTGTGGTTTTACCACAGGCAGAAATTTCAAGGTAAGGAAGAAGAAAAGAAGAAAGGGAGGAAGGAAAGGAGAAGGGACGGAAAAGGATTCCAGTTTCTGAATTTTTGTGGCATCCTACTGTAAGTGGCAGTAAAAGGGGCTTGTGGGTGTATTTTCCAAGATAAGAATGAATGGATAACATGAGTTCATGTGCTTTCCTGGGAGAGTTGATAGGGATGCTTTTTTTGGAAAAGGGGATCTCCTCATTTGATAGCCCTGTGATTTGAGCCTGATGTGCTGTTAAGGCTTGGGAAAGGTAGCCCCAGTCAGGGGTCCAATCTTCTGCAATGTGATCCAAGCATAAAGAAGTGCTTCTGTGTGCAGTGGATTCACCATATGCCCACTTAGGAACCCAGCATCAGGTGTAGATCTTCACCATGCCTAAAATGTGCAAGCAACAGCTGTTCAGAGGTACCCTAACTGGAAATGCCATCTTGGAAAGAAAAGGTGCAGGTTGTCATATTCTTCTCTACAGGATTTTAAAGAGCAATGTGTTTGTGGGTCTGATGAAACAAGAGTTAGATTAAAATGTAGCACCCTATTGAGTATCTGCTCTGGACCAGACCCTGTGGATGATGCTTTTGCTTATGAAATAAGGTTATCAGCCAGGCTCATTGGCTCATGCCTTTAATCCTGGCACTTTGGGAGGCCAAGGTGGGTGGATCACCTGAGGTCAGGAGTTCAAGACCAGCCTGGCCAATATGGTGAAACCTTGTTTCTACTAAAAATACAAAAATTAGCTGGGCTTTGTGGTGCATACCTGTAATCCCAGCTACTCGGGAGCCTGAGGCAGGAGAATTGCTTGAACCTGGGAGGCGGAGGTTGCAGTGAGCTGAGATCATGCCACTGCACTCCAGGCTGGGCGACAGAGCAAGACTCCATCTCAAAGAAAAAAAAAAAGAAAGATTATGTTACTTAATCTTAACAATGACAAATACATCCATTAATGCATATGTCCAAGTTATGAAATGTGAATATTAAAACAGTGGAATAAGCCCTGTTGGAGGGTTTACAGCTTTGCACTTCATCACCTACCTGATAAAAACTCAGAGGTGGAGATTTGCTAGTTTCTTAAAGAAGAGGTTGTTTGAATACCCTAATATCTGTAGGTGGACTTTTCTTTGCTTCCTTCTTTATTCTAACTCAACTGATTTTCTCAAATATTCACTGTCAGTCTTGAATACACAAAGCAATGTAACTTGCACCCTACAGGTGATTAAAGTGATCTTCAATGGTAAGTTTGACTATATGCAACATTTACCTTAGGCTCCGGCTTTAGAACTCAAATCCTCTCCCTTAGGATATGACTTTGCTATATTTGTGTATAGGTTATTTAGATCCTTGGGAATGTCTTGAAGTTTGTGTTTCCTACATACCTAAATGTGTTTCTAACTCCTACATTCTCTCTTATTGTTTCACATATGCTCTTGCTTTGTGGTACATCTTTTTTAGAGACAGATATCATTTACAAATATATAATACATTAGGCAGAAGGGTGATAACCTTTTAATTTAGCTTCAGGTTTTAAAATTTTATGTATTGCCTTAAGAATAGGGCATGCTGTATTATGTAGTGTTGCTCTCTAACAATGTAGCTAAGCTGTTAAAGACAAGCAGAGCCCTCAGATTCCAGCTGAGGTTCAGTCCACGTTTTTCTGGGCAATCTATCTATATAGAAAAGGAATAAAGCCGTAAGTGCTTATGACTTTCTTAATAATCTTATGCAAGAGGCTTATCATACAAGTTACAAGGTTTTCTTTTATTTTTCTCTGATACCTTTGTTTAGATATGTTGCCAATGGTTTAAAACTGCATTACTATGTATCAGCCATTACCTCTTATGTATTTGACACTGACAGACATTTTCACTCCAATGTTTTCATATAAATTTATTAATTACTCAAGCAGTCTTTGAGGTTGTCCCAGACATCGACCTGTGAGTTAATGGTGAAATTTCATTTACAGCAGGCTGAGAGCTCTTGAAAATTTATGGGATGATCAAGTTTATTTCTGGGGTATGTGTGTTTATGACATGTAAAGGTAACTGAAGTCTGCATATGAAATAATCAGCATCAGAATTGGAGGATATTTGTATAACCTAAATAAATTCTGGGGCCCCATGTGGTTCAATCTTAAGATAGCATCGCAAGTGAAATAATTAAAAAATAAATCTAAATTTTATTTTTACCTCTCCAAGAATTTTGAAAACTATTTTATGCATTACACATGGCAACTGTCCTTAAAATTCCCTGTTATCTTTTTTCTTCCTGGTGATCTTTCTCTCTGTGCTCTGCTCAGAAGCCAGACGTTGTCTCTCTCTTAATCATTTACCCTTAAGTAGCTATGGTAGTTCTATTAAGTCTGCAGCCTTAGTTTTTTGGTTTTTTTTTTTGTTTGTTTGTTTGTTTTTAGTTTACTCCTACCTTTCTAATTATTTTTTTCTTATTGTTCACATAATTCTGCATCACAAAAAAAATTTTATTTTTTAAGAAAGTGGATTAAGGGGAAAGGCTAAAAAAATTAATTTGTGGGGAAATGGAAAGCTTGGAACACTAACATTTTTACAAAATTTGCCCTTAATATATTTAAACATTGATTAAATACAATTCTTATTAAATTCATTGTTAGAACCAAGCTTGGAGTAAAGAATTATGAATTCCTTTGAAAATAAACTTCATATTCAGAATGAATTTAATAAATAGAAGTAGTAGAAGCCAAAAATAATGGGATTTATTAATTTAGAACAAATCTAGAGTAGACTATCAGAAAAAATCCAGCAGATCACATGATTGTAACATAGTTAGTGAATAAATATGCACCCTCAGGGAAAATGATCAGGGGGTCATAGGGGACCAAGAATAATAAGGCAGCTATGTAGCGCTAATGAAGAGCAAGCTGAATTCAGAAATAAATCAAGAAAATGAAAAACATTTTCTTTACTTCATATTAAACCTGTATAGACATTTCTAGTTCTTGTCCTGATTTGAAAGGGATTCAGAAAAATTTCAAGTAAGTTTGGAAGATTGTCACAAATATGATTAATTACATATGAAAGGAAAAAGCCAAAGTGTGATTTTTATGAGAAGAAAACCATTAGCTACCTTTGCACTTTCACTTGTGGCATTAAGAAAGAATTGATTTATATAATAGTGAAGCATATTTGGTTAGTCATTGGGGAAAATTATCACATGAAATTAAGTGGCAGAAATTTTTTTTTAAAAAAATAGAAAATGTGTTGAATCACATTCTGGGGAAGTCTTAGGAAACAGGTTTTATCATCGGGCCTTTACAACTGTGGAGGCAGGAAAAAGAATGCTGTGGGTTTATGTGTGTAGGGTTTTTTCCTGCCCTAGAGTCAATGATTTTATGAAATACCTAAGAAAATCTATTCCCCAGGATTGCACAAAATGCCTTCATTCCTCTTGTTGATATACATGATTTATTTCTTGTTTCTGGAACTTACTACTTCTGCTTTTCACCAAAATTTTAATCGGTTACCTAATCAATAAACTTTTCTCCTGTTTGTCTCATTTAACATTTGTCCAAATCAGAATGGGTGAATAAGATTCTACTAAACACTATAGTATGCCTTTGTATTATTTATAAGGTATTTGCTAAGCTCTGTATTTCCTTGGAGAGAGTTAACTTTTTCCAACAAAATTATATTAAATCATAAGTGCTCTTGCCCTATTTTGAAATCAGTGGCATGTCTTTAAGATATATATCCAAGCTCTATTTTTCACTGCTATTTCTCCCTCTTGATTACCAGAAATACATACATGCGTGCTTGCCTTACCCCTAGAGTGTCAGGATTGAGGTAGCCTGTAAATTAACTTTATTTCTTAGAAATATGCAGCAATCATATACTCTACCCAGAGCCCACCTATAGTTACCTGCGTTGGACAAGAAGAGAAGGATGAACACTAGGTCATTCTCTCCTGCTTATCATGGTGTGCTCGTGTCTTTCATTAACACAGAGAAAAAGAAATTCATGATAGGCTTTCCTTCATTTCATTTCAAACAAGTATAGGATTTTTACTATGCTTGCAAGAAATTATATTTGGAGAAGCAGCCTGTGATATCAATAGGTAAGTTTTCTAGTTATCCAGGTGTCCCTGCTGTTAGCCTTTTAAATTTCACTTTGGGAGCAAATGCTCAAAAGTTTCAAAATCCAGCACAAGAACACATAGACTGAAGGAATGTTCTTCTGGTTGCTTTAGAGGGCAAAGTATTTCCAAGACATGCAAGGCTCTTTTGGTTAGGATCATAGAAATGATAATTTTGTCTCTAGGTGGCATTTATAAGAAACTATTTATAGTGGTGGAAGTCTCTCTCTGACTGTGTTTTTATTTAGCATTTTTCTAAAAGATAGATTTGTATCTTGATATTATTGGAACATAATAAGGTACTTATTTCACTTCTCTTTTGTGAGAAAAAAACCTGTCGTATGAGACTTTCCAGCCTCTGGAACCACCTGAATGCCTCGGTCAGCTTCATTTCAGCCCCAAAGTCAGAAAGAATTCTCTGTGGTTCTCCTTTTTAGCTTGTGGTTCCCAGTCCTAACTCACCTTCACATTGCCTGGGGAGTTTTTAAACTCCATTCCTACGTGAATTTTAAACTGTATTCCTTTCTTTCTTACTTTCTGCAGACAGACCTGATGCACAGCCTGCTGTGGAATGCCTCACCACAGGACACTCAGATGCAAATAAATCTTTGGTATATCTATGATAGATTATATCTATCTGATATATCAGAAAGATGCCTGGTAGATTTGACCAGTCTGGAGATAAGAATAGTGGGGAACCCTAAGTACTTAATAGCACCCCTGACAATTTTAAGGGGTACTTCTATAAAGAACCATGTCTTCCCAGCTGGGATGGATAGCACAGTAGTACGGGTGATCCTCTGCTCCTAAACCACAGGACTGTGTGTAAAATCCTTTGGATAGCTTAAGCTAATGATTTCTCCTTTAGATATCTTGCCCACATTAACTTGAATGATCACACCTTAATCTTATGTGGACTTTCATTTTTTAAAGGCCTGTCTCCTTTGCCTAGCAAGGGAAAAAAAAAAAAAAAAAAATATATATATATATATACACTCATATATATATGTATATATATATACACTCATTTAATTTCTCTAGGTTCTTTAATAAGCTTAAGTAACTTTCTTATCTGCTATTTGAATATCAAAGATGTTTTAAATATAAAAAATATCACATATACCTTGCGAAGAAGCCTATGGGTCCTTGGCTGCCTAGTTGATAAAATATCTCAGGTTATGAAAAGTGTTAGCAATGAGTGAATGAAAGAGCATGTTTTAGGGTGTCATTTGGGCTAAGCTAGAAAAGAAGTCACACTCTGAGTTCTTTTTTTTTTTCTGGTGGGAGATCAATACTGTCTAGACATGGTCTCATTAGGAGTTTACATTGACTAAGGCAGACTCGGATAACAGTGGGACTGTTGGTGAGATATTTGTGTTGCTCATTACTACAGAGAACTCCAGATTCACTGGTGTCAATTCTGTGCATTCCAGCATCCTTCTACTCAACTGTAGGGTTATCCGTGAGGGCAGGATATGCCCACCCATGACTTTGTCAAGATTCTGAAGCCTAGAAGTTTTGGGAACTACTCTCTAGGATGTCCTAACATGCTTGATGACAGTTGTGTAGGCCCTCGGAGCGTCCTTGGAGCACTGGAATTCCCTATGGTCTTCCAAACATAAAACCAGAGATGTAGTTCGATTCACATCTAAAGGCCTCAGCCCATCCCTGAGAGCCAGAAACTTTCCTGACATACAGCCTGCCTATTAATTTCTGCAAATAACATCTTCATGTATGGAAATATCAGAAATTTTTTTTTAATATTTAGTAGCCTTCTCAGTTCTAAGACATTTTTGTCCATTTGTATATATTTTTTTAAATTGAGGAACTTTATGATTCCTCACCTAGGACCAGAACTTAAAAGCCCTGCATCCTTTCCCTTAGGCATTCAGACTGCTAGATATGCTGCTCTGCATGGAATTTTAAATCCTTCATTTGCGGTTTCTTGTTGGCATTTTGCAAGGGACTGAAGCAATGTCTGAGCCACTAGAGGCCAGAGGTGGCCCAGCCCAACCAGGTTTCTGACAGTAAAATAAATATCTGTTATTTGTCCAGTGTCTTCACTTTTCAACTTTGGGCAAGATAAGCATAGACATTGAGAAATAATGCTGTTTATACAAAGGATTGCTCATGATAAAAGATCTCTTTCTGGGAATTTAAGTTTTCCGGTACATTAGCATTATTGATTATTTATTCTCTTTCCACATAGTCTACAGATGATTTTAGAATCCCAAGACTATTATTCTCCCTTGTCTAGTGTAATTACCAGAACAGGGAATAATCTAATTAAAAGACAACAAGGATGGGTTCTAATTGTTCTAATAAATTATGTTAACACACAGTGCATGCCGTTACTTTTCAACAGGAATTTATTTAACACATTGACAGCTTGTCCTTTACTGCCACAATCTTAGATTCCATTTCTTCTAAACAAGACAACTTACAATAGGGTAGTTAAATATTCAGAAATCTGTTGGATTGGTAAGAGAATCTAAAGATCTATGTGGTAAATACAGATGAAGAATTGGATTTTGGGTTCTCCAGATAAAATAATGACCCGAAACAGAAGAGGAGAAAATAAAGAGGAATAGAGTCTAAAGTAAAAATCAAAAACAGACTGTTGTAATAAGCTAATAAACTTTTCATTTGCTTTTCTATTATCAAGCAAAATGTACATGATAAGATGATACTAACTCATATAATTGCATTTGCTTAATTTTAGACATTTTACACAAATCTGTTAGACACCACATTGAAAACTGCATATATGAGATGGTGCCTTCAATAAAGTCATGTCATGATATGGGCAAAACTTCATTCATTACTGATAGGCCATATGTTTTTAACAGAAAACGTCAGTCTCCTTGCTTATTTGAACATAATTCAGATATAATTTGTCACATAATTATAAGAGAAAGCCCTCAAGGCAATACAGAAAAAGAAGAATGTGGGGAGAAAATAAAATCTATGTAGAGAATGAAGGAAAGTGTACAATCAATTCTAAATAAACACAGACACTCTTTACCTATTTCAGACAAGCAGATTCCCAGGTTGGCTTGTGTTATTGTCCTTGATATAAAAACCTTTGACATTTAATTAACAAGTTTACAGGTAAGTAGGGATCTTTCTCACAAGGAAAACTGGGGACTTTGTAGGAATAACTTTTCACCTCTGCAGAATTGATTCATTCACATGTCAAGTTCATCGCAGAATATGGGGCTGGCAAACATGCGGACTGTAGTTCATATTCTTAAAGCCCACTTATTTTAGAACAGCAGTCATAGAGAGAAAACAAAAAACAAAAGATACATCATGAAAGATGTGAAAATTAGAAGAAAAATCATCTTTATTAGCAAAGGAATGCCTCCCAATTTCCTCCCTATCTGCATATATCCTGGCCTGCCTGGGTGAGGATTTTTGGCTCCTTCCTCGCTGTCTATTGTATTCTAGTTCACACCTTCATTTCTGATGGGCCACTTTCATGCTTGTTTTTCTGTTTTTAAAAATGTGTCATTTCTTTCAAGGCCTTTAGGCTCTGAAGATATCTTTCCTCTAAAGAGGACTGAGTGCTAGAGAGCTCCTCACGGAGCTGAAGGACCCTCGCCACCGGGTCTAAATAAGATCAAGTCCCCTCTGAGAGGCAGCATGAAGGTGGCATGCAGTTTTAAAAAAAAAATAGTTGGACTGTAAAGGAAATAAAGACGTAGTTAAATAAGCCCTTATGTTATCACATAGACACTTTTTATTCTTCTGTTTATTTTTTTCTGTGTTTTTCTGAAACTACTTTTCACCAGAAGTGCGATAGCAGTTATGTAAATGCAGAAATCTATTCCATTTCATGTCTAGAGCCAACTCTAGATGCTTCTAAGGGGGTGGGGTGAGCTATGTGGCTGGGCAGAGGGTCAGCATAATAAACGGGAGAGGGAGAGGGACAACAAATGAGCTGCAGTCCCTAGAGGTCTTTGGGGACTGGGCATTTCTGGGGCATCGAATGTGAACTTGACATACTGTATGTAAATCTGATTTTTTTTTCTCAGCCACTGTCATTGGAAAATTTTCATTTAGTAAATAATGCAAAATATACATTAAGAAATGTTAATGTTTTGACAGACACTGACAAATGCCAGGGAATCAGAAGCAACAGGAAAGCTGAAGCACTTCACTGAATGTGCTGCCATCTAGCCATGATCTCATTGCATGCTGCTTCACTCACTGGTCACAGAGACACTGAAGTCATTCGGCAGGCAGGATGGAGTGTGTGTAAAATGGAGTGTAGAAGGCAGGGAATCGGCTGAGTCTTTTACTTTTATTGGCCATTAACACATCCTACCAGTCCATAAACTAAATTTTGATACGTATTAGACTAAAGATAATGTTAATAATTCATGGAAAAGCTACTTTAAAAAGAGTGTTATAGTAGCAATCATTGCTTTAAATATTACACTCACCATTTTCGTCTGTTCGGTAGCTCCTCGTGGTACACAGGATAAAGTTTACTCCTTAGTAGAGGATGAGGCCCTCTAGCCCAGCATCCTTCCCTTAGCTGTCTTTTCTACTGCATCTCTTGCTTGTTCCAATGGGTGTTCTATACCTCAGCCAGGCATTCAGTCTCACAGATTCTCAAATGTACCATCTTTTCCGCTTTTCTCAGGGCTTTCGTGCTGGGTTCCCCTTCACCCAGGAAGTCCTTTTACTACCTAACTTTCAGAACCTGGTTCACACATCTCTGAGAAGTTTTCACTGATTCTCTCAAGCAGTGCTGATTCTCTCTGTGTGTCAGCATCGTGACAAGTACATACCTGCATTTTTGCACTTATCACACATTATTGTAATTATTTTTCACATGTTTATTTTTTCTGCCAGAATCAGTTTCTTGTAGCCTGGTGACATTTAAATTCGATAGGATCCGGTTTATTGTATATTTTTTTAGCTCTTCCTACATGTATTATTTTTGAGTTTCTGCTGAGACTCAGGAACTTAAAGCTTTCAAAGTCCTGAATGCAGATAACAATCAACAGTCAAGCCAGTATCCTATTGCCTGTGAAAATATCCTCAGGAATAAAGGGGAAGTAAAAATATTATCAGATGAAGGAAAACTAAGAGAATTTGTGTTTTTTGTTTGTTTGTTTGTTTGTTTTTGTTTTTGTTTTTGAGACGGAGTCTTGCTCTGTCGCCCAGGCTGGAGTGCGGTGGCGCGATCTCGACTCACTGCAAGCTCTGCCTCCCGGGTTCAAGCGATTCTCCTGCCTCAGCCTCCTGAGTCGCTGGGACTACAGGCGCCCACCACCACGCCCGGCTAAT
The DNA here is from genome assembly GCF_000001405.40 of Homo sapiens. Taxonomy (NCBI): domain Eukaryota; kingdom Metazoa; phylum Chordata; class Mammalia; order Primates; family Hominidae; genus Homo; species Homo sapiens. The sequence goes on along the minus strand of NC_000003.12, from coordinate 60,838,321 downwards.
TTTTTGTATTTTAGTAGAGACGGGTTTCACCGTGTTGCCCAGGTTCGTCGCGAACTCCTGAGCTCAGGCAATCCGCCTGCCTCGGCTTCCCAAAGTGCTGGGATTACAGGCGTGAGCCACCACGCCCAGCCGGAAAACTAAAAGAATTTGCATAATTGCATCACTGCACTCTCCAGCCTGGATGACACGGTGAGACTCTGCCTCGAAAGAAAAGAAAAGAGTTATCTAATTGGAAAGAAGACAATTAAAAATGGATCTCTTCAACATCAGAAAGGAAGAAAAAAACATAGCAAAAACATTTGTACTCTTGAGAGCTCTAATTGTGTTTGAAGTTTGAAGCAAAAATTGCAATATTCTGATGTGGATGTAAATGCATGTAAAGGAAGTATTTAAAATAATTATATTATAAATGGGGAAGATAAAGGGATGCAAAGTGCGGAGATAGGGTTTCTATATGTTACTCAAACTGGTAAAATGATGACACCAGTAAACTGTTTAGTTATAAATATATAAAGTAATACCTAGAGAAACCTTTAAAAAATTATATACAGAAATGCACTGAAAGACACTTTAGATAAATCAAAACAGAATTCCAAAAAGTGTTCAAATAGCTTATAAGAAGTCTGGGCAAAGAAAACAGAAAACCACAAAGAGAACAAACAGAAAATAAACAAAAAATAAAATGGCAGTGTAAATTCTAAAATATCAATAATTACATTAAAGTTAAATGGTCTAAATATACCACTTATAATACAGGGAAGAGATTAGCAGAATTGTTTAAAAAATATGACCCAACTATATTCTGTCTATGAGAAGCTCACTTTCAATATAACAATAGACGAAAGTAAAATAATGGGAAAAGATGTATCATGCAAACTTTAATCAAAGGAAAACAAGAGTAGCTGGTTCTTTGAAAAGGTTAATAAAACTGACAGTCTAGCAAGACTGACAAAGAAAAGAGAAAAGACACAAATTACCAATATTGTAACTAGGCAACTTAACTTCCAAATGCATTTTAAAACATTTTTTTCTCTTCTCTTGGTTTTCAAGATACAACCTTGAAAAACTGCAGAAGCCTTTTCCTCAGCCTAGAAATAGGCTCCACGTCCCTCCCTTTTTCACCATATATACTCCCTTCACATTTGTCTAAGTATATACTAGTATCTAATTACTGTGCCTTCTTAGAAGTTCCAGGGGCTAATCTTGAGACAGGCGGAATAAGCTTGGAGACCCAGCTGCAAAATTCCAGAGATTACTTCAAAGTGGCTAGTTAAAAACCTGGCCATGGCTGCTCAGGAACTTAAAGCATTCAAAGTCCTGAATGAAATAATAATCAACAATCAAAGCAGTGTCCTACAGCCCGTGAAAATATCCTCAGGAATAAAGGGGAAGTAAAGATATTCCCAGATGTCTTGACTCACCATCCAGGTAGACTGAGACCCAAGATAGCTACCAGAACAAGACACACAGATATTATACTTAGTACAATTCTTGCATGCCTTCCTTATCAAGTTTTCCCTTTTTAAACCCCTGCCTTCCCCCAAAATCAAAGTGATTGCTTTGGGCGGGAATCTGACCATTTCCCCTTTACTGGTTTTAGTAAAATGACTTTCTTTCTACTAGACCTCACTCTTGTTAACTGGACTCTGTAAACAGTGGGCATCTGGACCTGCATTTGGTTACAATATCAGGAATGAAAGAGGAGATATCACTATTGACCCTGTAGACATCAAAAGGATAATAAAGAAATGCCATGAACAACTCTACACACATAAATTTGATAACTTAGATGAAATGGGCCACTTCCTCAAAAACACAAATTCCTACCATTCACCTATCATGAAATAGATAATATTTAAAAGCCCATAACTATTAAAAATTGAATTAATCATTTAAAAACTCCCTGAAAATAAATATTTAGGCCCAGATGGCCTCACTGGAGAATTTTACCAAACATTTAAAGAATAATTAATAGGAGTTTTATACAGTCTCTTCCAGAAAATAGGAGAGAACACTTCGCAATTCATTTTAGGAAGCTGGTATTACTCAGATATGAAAAACAGAAAAAACAGTGCAAAAAAGAGAAATATATACCAATAACTGTCATAAATAGAGACACAACAATCCTGAACAAAATATTAACAAACAGGATTCAGGCTAAAAGAATAATATACCACGACGAAATGGAGTCTAGTCCAGCAGTGCAAGGCTGGTTCCACCACTCCTATTCAACATAGTGCAGGAAGTTCTAATCAATGCAATAAGGCAAGAAAGGGAAATGAAAGGCATACAGATGGAAAGAAAGAAAACTGTTAATATTTGCTGATGTCATGATTTTCTACACAGAAAACACTAAGTGATCTACAAAGACGAAAAAACACAAAACCAACTCTTAAAACTAGTAAGTGGCTGGGTGTAGTGACTGATGACTGTCATCCCAACACGATGGGAGGCCGAGGCAGGTGGATTGCTGGAGCCTAGTTCAAGACCAGCCTGGGAAATATGGAGAGACCTCATCTCTCCTCAACAACAACAAATGAACCAGGCCTGGTGGTGTATGCCTGTCATCCCAGCTACTTAGGAGGCTGAGGCAGGAGGATGGCTGGAGCTCAGGAGGTTGAGGCTATAGAAGGTTGTGTTTGTGCCAATACCTGTGTGCCACTGCACTCCAACCTGGGTGGCAGAGTGAGACCCTATCTCAAGCAAACAAATGAAAAACTAATAATTGAGTTCATTAAGGTGGCAGGATATGAGATAGACATTTAAATTATCAATTGTATTTCTTTGTACTAGCAATGAATCTGTGGACACAAATTTTAAAAATATAGTACAATTTGCCTTAGCTCAAAAATATGAAATACTTATGTGAATCCAATAAAACATTTATAAAACTTGTTTGTTGAAAACTATATAATGTTGATGAAATAAATTTTAAAAATGTAAATAAATGGAGAAAAATGTTGTGTTCATGATTTGAAAGTCACAGCGTAGTAAAGATACCGATACTTCCCAAATTGATATACAGGTTTAAAGCAGTTCCTATCAAAAATCTCAGTATGATTTTTTCATATATAGATGACATTATTCTAAAATTTATACAGAAACAAAGGAACTAGAGTAGCTAAAACAATTTTGAAAAAGAAATAATAAAGTGGGAGCAATCAGTCTACCCAGTTTCAAGAAGTATTGCATAGTTACTATGTGGCTATCCATGGAGTGACAGAAACATAGATCAACGGAACAGAATAAAGAACCCTTCTTTTAGAAGGAGAAGGCATTAGAGAAAAATCTTTGGAATCTCTGGCTAGGGAAAGAGTTCTTAGATTTCACATAAACACAATCCATAACAGGAAACAAATGATATATTGGTGATATATTGGACTATATCAGAATTAAAACTTTTGCTTTTGCACCGTGAAAGAGTTTTTTTTTTTTTTTTTCTTTTCTTTTCTTTTTTGAGACAGTGTCTCACTCAGTTCCCCAAGCTGGAGGGCAGTGGCACGATCTCGGCTCACTGCAACTTCTGCCTCCCAGGTTCAAGCAATTCTCCTGCCTGAGGCTCTGGAATAGCTGGGACTACAGGTGCATGCCACTGTGGCTGGCTAAGTTTTGTATTTTTTTTTTCTTTTTAGTTGAGACTGGCTTTTGCCGTGTTGGCCAGGTCTCAAACTCCTGACCTCAAAAGATCCACCCTCCTCGGCCTCCCAAATGCTGGTATTACAGGTGTGAGCCACCACGCCCGGCCTAAGACCCTTTTAAGAGAATGAAAAGAATAACTACAGGCTGGAAGAAAATATTTGCAAACTACATATCTGACAAAGGACTAGTATTTAGAATATATAAAGAATTTTCAAACTCAACAGTAAAAAAATCCAAGCAACTCAATTAGAAAATACATGGCCAGACATTTTACTGAAGAGGTTATACAGATGGCAAATAAGCACATGAAAAGATGTTCAACATTATTAACCATCAGGGAAATGCAAATCAAAACCACAATGAGTTATCACTATGAACATATTGAAATAACTAAAATAAAAGATAATGATAACAACAAATTCTGGTGAGGATGCAGAGAAATTGTGTTACTGGTGAGAATGTAAAATGTTATAGCCACTCTAGAAAATGGTTTGGCAGTTTCTTACAAAATTAAACATGCACTTATCATACTCCTGGGCATTTATCCCAAGTAAACAAAAGCTTATGTTCACACCAAAGCCCATACATGAATTTTCATAGAGCTTTATCTGTAATAGCCCCAAACTGGACACAACTCAGATGTCCTTTATTGGGTGAATGGTTAAGCAAACTGTGGTCCATCCATACCATCGAATACTACTCAGCAATGAATTATTAATACATGAAACTACTTGACTGAATCTTCAGGGAATAGATTAAAGGGGAAAAAAACACAAAACCAAAAGATTACACACTGTACGACTCCACTTGTATAACATTTTTCAAATGAAAAAATTATATAAATGGAGTACAGATTTGTGGTTAAAAGTTAAGAAGGGGTGGAGTGGGAGGGAAGTGGGTGTGGCTATTAAAGAGCAACAAGAGGATCCCTGGGATGGACACATTCTGTGTTTTGAATGTGTCATTGTCAATATCTTGGTTGTGTTACTGTGTAATAGCTTTCCAAGATGTTACCATTGAAGGGAATTGGATAAAGGGCATATGGACCTTCTCTGTATTTTTTCTTACAACCTTCATGTGAGTCTACAATTATTTCAAATAAAAAATGTTAGTTAAAAAAGGGGAGGGGAATATGAACAAAAATCATAGAGGAGAAGGTCACAGAATACAATTGTAGAAGCTGCCTTAAAAGGCCAGGGACTGATTTAAAAGGGGAGAGAAACGGTAAAATCTAAACTGAGATTCTAGAACGTGTCAGGAATTCATGGCACTGTAAATGTATGAAAGTGGGAATGAAGGAATATTAAAAGAACATTGAAAGAATGACAAATAACTGCTAATCAGTCCCCAGAGTTCTTGCCCAATCCGCATAGCCTGGGAACTGCCTCTCCCAACTGCCTCCCTCCCTACTTCCCCAGGAGGAAGACTGGAGGGGTTGGACCAACTACAGGGCTCGTGATTGGAGTCACCATGCATAGCTGAGGATGGGTATAATGATGAAAATCGGGGCTTAAGTGAAAGACAATATGATGGGGCTTCTGCTCTTTCCCATACTTAAATCTCAGAACAATGGCACCCAGGCTTATACCCCTAAGGCAGGAGATTGAAAGATATCTTTCTGGGGAATTTGACCAGCCCAAGGAAAGAGACCTATAAATATCAACAACCAGGGCTTTTCTAAGCCAATCTTTCTAGAACTGTGTTGTCTAATATGGTAGCCACTAGCAACATATATGGCTACTGAGCATTCAGACTAATCAGGTTAGTCTGATTTGAGATGGGCCTTAAATGTAAAGTACACTCTGAATTTTGAATGCTTAGCGTAAAATCTCTTATTAACTTTTATTAACATGTTGAAATAATATTTTTGATATATTGGGTTAAGTAAAAGCTATTATTAAAATAGTTTTTAAAATGAATAAGAGACTGAATTTCTTCCAGATTGAAAACAGGAAAAACGACTTTTATGGTGCCTCTGTGCTTTTTTTTTTTTTTATGAATTGATTTAAAGCAGCACATTATCAACACAAAGGGAGTGATTAGCCAGGAAGGAGAAAAAATAGTTGTGACCACGTATGTCTGACATACCTGATGTATCTCTTTCTTGCTGGTTTCTATTGAAATTGGTTTTTTTAAAGGCACAATCTGCGGAATGACAGTAGGCAGGTTATCTGGGCATCCCTATGTATTTCATCCTCCCAAGTTTATGTTAAATTTGTTACTTTGGGTGAGAGTGACACAGACATTGGGCATGGCAAGGAGGTTCTTTATGTATCAGTAGGAGTGCCTCCAATATGTTTTGGGTTGTCCAGTGAGTCATTCTGTCTGGATCAGAATCCAAGATCTGCAACTTAGTAACTGTGATTTAGGTCAAGTAATTTAACTCTCTTTGCCTCTGTTTCCTCATTGGTAAAACAGGAATCAAAACAATAGAACTCTTTTTTTTTCTTTTTATCTAATTGTATTCTTATACAATTAGATAAAAAGTACAAAATAATAGTACTTTTAAGGTCATTGTGAAGATTGCATACTTTAATGTGGGGAAAAAAATGTTTAGATGGTGCCCAGCACATAATGAGCATTATATAAATGCTGCCTATTATTATTATTATTACTTGGGGCTAAGGGCTCTAGTATTATCTCTGATCCTTAGGCCAGCTTGTAAGGTAAGTAGTGTTGTTATCTAAGATTCTGAGGCTTAGAGAAGAAGCTGCTCAACTGGGCTACAAAGTCACTTCAAAAACCTGAGATTTTTTTCCATTATACAATCATGTCTCATAAATCTTAGCGCCCTATTGCTGAAAGAAGCCTTTTAGATCATCCTAGGAGGTTTCTGAACTATTCTGCAGAGTGAGTGGTTAAGGGTTGGGCTCTGGGGTCCAAAAAAATCGTGTTTGAATCCTAACCCATCACTCAGAGCAGCTGGGTGGTCTTGGACAAACTCTTCAACTGCTTTTCTCTTATGTGGTGTCTCCCTCATAGGTTGTTAGGATGATTAAATTAGATAATATATGAAAAGTTATTGGCATACTAAGTGTTCCATAATTATTAATTTTTATGATTATGGTTTTATTGTAAATATGAACTAAGTCTGAAGCTGGTGGCAGAGGTACAACCCGAACTCTGGCAGGTCTTTTTATTCAGTGCTCTCTCTTCTCCATTTTGCTATCTAATTGGTTAGTTTTTATTCATCCTTTTAGAGTCTACATTTCTAAAGTCAGGGCTGTTAGTGAAGATTTTAGAAGAACATTTTCCAAGAGTTTTTTTGAACTGCCAAGTCCAGAGATTTAGGATGTACCTTGGTGCTGAAGTAATTGGCTCTCTTAGTCTTGCATTATAAGAAGTTCTCTTTCAGAGTATAAGGTTGAGAACCATGAGAAGAACTCTCACATTTTAGTAATTGCTTTATGGAATAACTTACCTCCTAAAAACATATGTTTTTCAGCTTCAACTCGTTCCTTTCCTTTCTGTGCCATTTTGAGAATCTCCTCATTATATATAATCACAATCTTATGTTCTGAGTTTCTCCTTTTAACTATTTCCTCAAGTGCCATCACTTAATAATATTTTCTTTTCTGTTTATCAACTAGTTGGGGAAGTGGTATGGTTGTTAGTACTGATGAGTTTCTTAGGAAAATACAGAAATAATTTAATCTTAAAGATTTTCTATCTGTCAGAGAATCTGTCATAAAACATGCCTGAAGCAAGCTGCACAGTATTTACTGCCCTTATATCACACCTAGACACAGTTCACGATTGGAGATTAATTCAGAAATTCTCATTAATATGTTAAGCTAAGGACAAGGATGAGATGTTTTAATACTTCCATAAATGCAACATTTGTTTTGTGTGTGTGTGTGTGAATTGGATTGCTTTGCTGTGAACAAGGCAGATCTCTACTTTGCTCTAATATCGATAATGTAGGTGTCTTCCAAATTTCTTTTAAATTGATTTCTCCGATTCCCGATAGTTAGCCAGATAGGCCATATTATAGCTTTTTGCTCTCCTAATGTAGAAGAGACCAAAGGACTAATAGTTTTTCCAAAATAACTGAGAGAACATTAGGATATAGAATTACAAATATATTTCCATTTTGTCATAAAGTAGCTTAATATTTTTCCCTGTTGCTTAGACATTAATTAAAATTGTGACATTTCTCTTATTTTTACTAGCACCAGAATAAGAAAGGTAAATATTTTGTTACAAGAATCTTATTCCCTGAGAGAAATCTCTAATGGTACCTTATATTTCACTTACCACTCTCTTCTTTTGGTTTATGTGGTGCTTCTGTTTGGTTATTGGGCTGCTTTACAATGAAAATCATGCTAAACTTTTCAGCCACTTTTTTGAGTTCTTTCCTCTGAACCTGGAGACTACAGAAAAGTAAGTGTAGGGAAGGAAAAATAATTTTCTCTTTACCCTTTATGGTCCTTAGGTTGGGATAGACCCAGAAACAAGAGAAAAACAAACAGAAGTTAAAAATATGTGTATCTCATGTACACGTGGAAGATACCCAGAGATATGAATAAATCTCAAAGAGGTGGCTTTGAGATCAGGCTCAAATACCATTGTCCACTGAAAGAAAAAAAAGAAGGGTATGGGGGATAGTCAGTTGTGGAGGGATGCCCAGGAAAAGTATGGTAAACATGAGTAAGGTTTGTTATGCAGATTTAAGTTGGTGTCTTCTCCATTGGTAAGAGTCTCTAGTGATTTGGTCATCCTTCTCTTCCTGGTACAGAAAGGGAGACACCCTTATGAGTAGAAATTTCCTTTATAGATGTAAAATCCTTTTACAAAAAGGTAACTTCTCTTCTGTTTTCAGATCTTCTCCTGTAGCTGCAGTCTCTCAAAATAATCAGCTCAAAATAATCCTTATGCTAAAGAAGGATGTTGTGGGGAGGCATATTCTGATCTACCGAGTTTCAGTTCTTCCCTCCTTCTAATGGAGCCCAAGTTGAACCAGGAAAGCTTTATATTCTTCATCCATCTGACAATCAGAAGTTATTAAATGCTTTCCATCCAGCACCATGTTAGGTACCACGAATACTACAGAAAGCACATTGGACAATTCCCAGATCTCAAGAAACTTGAGATCTCTTTTCCTTGTTTTCTTTTACTTTTTTCTCCTCTTCTAATAACTTTCCAAATAATTTGAGGCTGAGGCTGTTTACTAAATTAAAGGTAGTCTACAAATAATAGAACAATTAATCATGAAAGAGAAACATGGCCATCTTTAGTAGTATAAGTTGGTAGGCCCATGGAATAAACTAAATTTGGTTGTAGATATCCAGCAACTAAGAAGAAAGGGAATTATTTGGCATATGTAACATTCCTTGTCTGACCAGAGAAAGCATTCCAGTTTTTCCATGCAGGTGAAATCTCTCTGTGATCAAACCCAGAGGGGTAATTTATTGGTTACAAAGTAAATATTGACTTTGGTGTGGTTTTCAAACATAGTAGTAGGTGTTGGGAGGTAAGGATGCAGGCATGGATCATATCTGTCTTTACTATGGTGTTTCTAGAGTTTGGCACTGCGCTTGGCTCATAGTAGGTGCTTGTCACATAGTTGTTAGATTTAATTGAGCTATTCAGTAGATCATTTTGCAATGACTTTTGATAACAATGATAAAGTGCTGTATACTCCATGCCTTTGAATATTGTTGTGTTTCTCTCAAGAAAGCCATCATTCCATCCCTTGTTCTCCTTCTCATCCTTCAGGTCTCAGGTTTAATTTAAGTTCCTTTGTTTTAGTATCTCTTAGAGTGATCTGCTCCTTTGTTTTTGTTTGTTTATTTGTTTGTTTTGAGACAGCATTTCACTTTTGTTGCCCAGGCTGGAGTTCAGTGGCACCATCTCGGCTCACTGCAACCTCTGCCTCCCGGGTTGAACTGAATCTCCTGCCTCAGTCTCCCAAGTGGCTGGGATTACAGGCACCCGCCACCATGCCTGGCTAATTTTTGTATTTTTAGTAGAGATGGGTTTTTGCCATGTTGGTCAGGCTGGTCTCAAACTCCTGACCTCAGGTGATCAACTCACCTCACCTCCCAACGTGCTGGGATTACAGGCATGAGCCACCATGCCTAGCCTGCTCCTTTCTTTTAGACCTGTTCCCTGAGTTTCAAAGGTTTCACTTCCTATGGGAGCCTTTGACTCATGCCCATCTCCTCTAATAGCTTCCAGGAGGATTAGATCACCTATGTACCCTAGCCCCTAGCATATGTGCCTGGCACATATAACAAAGTATAAATACTTTGTTAAATGAACAAAAGTAATTAATTACTAAACAATGTAGTGAGTTGTGCTTTTAATGAGCGTTGAAGGAAAATTGAATAATGGATTAAAATGAAAGTAAGGTTAAATATAATAATAATGATGACATATATAATGATAATGTTAAAATGGTTATGTTAATGTTAAAAAAGGTGAATGATAATGTTAAAAATGTGATGATAATGTTAAAATGATAATGTTAAAAAAGGTGAATTCTAATCATGTGCCAGGTTCTTTACATAAATTATCTCACTGAATCCCCCTAATAACTTAATGAGGAAGCCAAAGTTATTATCCTTATTTTACCAAATAGGAAAATGAGCATGGAGAAGACTGATGATTACTTGGGTACAATCATGCACCTATTTGGTTGGTAGAGCCCAGGATTCAAACCCATGTCCTTAACCACTATCCAAAATATATCCCTGTGCTATTTTACTAAAGCATTCTCAAGTCCACAATCTGGAGGAACAGAATTATCTGTCCTCATGTGTCCTGAGTAGTGTGACAAGTTACCCTGTGACAACCCAAAATAGCAACAGTCCCCCATCATTTCACAGTGAGGCTTCAGCCTTGCTTCTGTCCAGGAACAGAAAATGTAGCAGCAGAGGCCATATGATTCTTTCCTTTCACTATCAGTGGAGCTGGAGAGAGATGTTCTTATCACCCATCCCATTTTAGTGCACAGCTCCCTAGCTGAACGCCCTTTGCTGCAGTTCCATTTATAAGGAGTATCACATACTTCATTTGTTCATTTGAAAACCCGATGTTTATTGCAGTGCAGAGCAGCCACATTATTATAAGTACTTACTCAGACAAATTAAATGATTCAGTGTAGTAGCTCTGAAAAGTCTAATTTCCATGTGTGGAATCATGTTTATCAACACTCAAATTCAAAGGCGCAAAATAGCATATTTACATTGGTAACTTATTCATAATATTCCTTTTCTACCTTGCTCGTTTTATTGTTAGAAACCAATCCAAATCCCATTTTTAGGATGACACGTACAAAAGGATGATATGCAACTATTGTAACTGTGATGGAGGCCAAGCAATGAGAGCAAAGCCAGCATTCTACTGGTGCCTCCTGCCTTCTAGTTTCATGTATTGGGATTTGGGGATGGCCAGATTTTTCTTTGAAGGTTTGGTTGTTTCTTTTTAAACATACAATATTGACCCAGGAGGAAGTATTCAGGTCACTTTGGGCTTTCACTTCATGATTACTGAACTTTCCTGCAAACTTTTTTGCCTTCACAGACTCTCTCTCCAGGAAGAGAAGGAACATTCTTCACAATTCTAGCCCCTTTCAAGAATGACCTCCTTGGCTCAAAGAGGATCTTGCAGTTATTAGCAGCAAAAATGAATTATCCTAAAGCAAACTCTTTTTTTTTTAAGCAAAGTTTTCTTTTTGTGGGGGGAAAACCTAATCTCAAGTCCTAGAACATGGAAGGTTAATGACCAACTTGCTTTAAAGAGAGAAATATGACAAGCAAAATTGCGAAATCTGCTGAAGAACTAATCAAGCATATTGTTCCCTTGATTCTAGAAAATTGCAATGTGCTTTTAAAAAGGTTGAAAAGATGTCCATGGTGTACCCTTGGTTTACTTTGTCTGTAAATGTGTGTTCCTGTGTCCTGTAGTGTTGGTGGTTCCAGGGCCAGTGGGGATGCAGTGAAGACCATGGCTGCTTCCGGTGTTCTGGTGTTCCCCTGGCAGAGAGCTCCTTGTCATTCCAAATGACAGATGGTTCCCTCTGCGGGCTGAACTGAAATTCAGCCCTCCACGCTGAGACAGTCTGCTAGGAATCACCAATGGTCACGCTGATTATTAAAACATAGTTTTGAGTTTCATCCTTAAAAAACTAACCTCGACCAGCCTGACCAACATGGAGAAACCCCGTCTCTACTAAAAATACAAAATTAGCCAGGCGTAGTGGTGCGTGCCTATAATCCCAGCTACTTGGGAGGCTGAGGCAGGAGAATCGCTTGAACCTGGGAGGCAGAGATTGCAGTGAGCCGAGATTGTGCCATTGCACTTCAGCCTGGGCAACAAGTGTGAAAGTCCATCTCAAAACAAAACAAAACAAAACAAAACAAAACAAAACAAAACAAAACAAAAAAACTAACCTCATCTATCCCCATCTATGATTAGCGATTAGCTTAAGTGCAGTCCAGAACTGGTAACTCCCTTCCTTCCTTCTTTCCTTCCTTCCTTCCTTCCTTCCTTCCTTCCTTCCTTCCTTCCTTCCTTCCTTCCTTCCATCCATTCATCCCTCCCTCCCTTTCCTCCTTTCTTTACTCGCAGAAAACAAAAAAGCACAGATGAGCACAAAAACTAGTGTAATGATCATCTGTACTCTCACTATCCCAAAACGAGTATCCGTTTTTGTTTGGTCAGATTTGCTTCCAGTGTTGTTTTTTTCCTTTTTAAAGAAGTTATTGATAAAACCAAATCATTTTCACCAATAATGTCCTGTCCTTCCCTCCACCCTCCACTTTCTTTGCTGCCTGTACCCCTGCCTAAAATTCCCTACCATAAATTTGGGATGTATTTGACTAGTCCGTTGTTTATACTTTTACATACATATATGTGTATCCACAGCAGCAGTCCCCAACTTTTTGGCACCAGGGACTGGTTTTGTGGAAGATAATTTTTCCATGGATGGGGAGGTGGGGGGTATGGTTTTGGGATGAAACTGTTCCACCTCAGATCATCAGGCGTTAGGGTCTCATCATAAGGAGCAGGCAGCCTAGATCCCTCGCATGCACAGTTCACACTAGGGTTCCTGCTCCTATGAGAACCTAATGTCCCTGCTGATCTGACAGGAGGTGGAGCTCAGGCGGTAATGCTCGCTTGCCCACCACTCACCTCCTGCTGTGTGGCCTGGTCCCTAACAGGCCACAGACTGGTACTGGTCTGCCGCCTGGCGGTTGGGGACCCCGACCTATAATGAATACATACTATTGTGTTTGTATGTTAACATTTTCCTTTGTGTTGCTTTTCTGCCCATGACATTTATGAAACATCCACACTGATGCCTATAAAACCAATCTATTCTTTTTAACAGCCATATGTCCTTTAATCATATAAATATAGCATATTTTATTTACTGATTTGCCTTTAAGGGTGACTTTTAGGTCATTTCCAAGTTTTGTTATACTGATTTAATATATGTCCCCTTATGTGTATGTTTCTTAGCCCTGGTATACCCCCCAAGAAGAGTTACTATGCCGTGGCATATGTGTACTGTCACTTTTGATAATACAGTAAAATTGCTCAATAGAATAATATACCAATTCATGATTCCGCTGGAAGTAAACTAGAATAATATGCTATTTTTTCTCATATCTTGGACAACACTGAATTGTGTCAGTCTTTTTCATGTTAACTAGTCTGATAGAAATAAAGTAGAATCCCATTATTTTCATTTGCATTTTCCTCATGTTTAGTGAGAGTATTAGTCAGTTTTCATGCTGCTGATAAAGACATACTGGAGATTGGGCAATTTACAACAGAAAGAAGTTTAATGGACTTACAGTTCCGTGTAGCTGGGGTGGCCTCACAATCATGGTGGAAGGCAAGGAGGAGCAAGTCACATCTTACAGGGATGGCAGCAGACAAATAGAGAGCTTGTGCAGAGAGACTCCCATGTTTTAAACCATCAGATCTCTCGAGACTTATTCACTCTCATGAGAACAGCATGGGAGAGACCCACCCCCATGATTCAATTACCTCCCACCAGGTTCCTCCCATGACACATGGGAATTGTGGGAGTTACAATTCAAGGTGAGACTTGGGTGGGGACACAGCCAAACCATATCAGTGAGGTTGAGCTGCTTTTCTTATGTCCATGGTCCATTGTTCCTTCTTTGAATCATGATTTTAAAAAATATTTATTTGTTTACCTTTTTCTTTTTGTTGATTTTAGGAGTTCCTTATATATTCTGGTTACTTATTCCCTGTCTGTTAAACCTGTTGCTAATATCTTTGGCTGGTCTGGCATTTGAGAAGATAATTTATTCAGATGATCAGTACAGTTAAGTTGTTACGGTTTCTAATTTAATTCTATGTACTATCAAGAAGTCAGGCGTATCTCTACCTGCAATCTATTGCAAATCCTTTTGGATCTGCTTTCAAAATATTTCGCATAGGACTGACCAGTTTTCACTCTCCTGTGTGCTACCTGGCTAGCACCTTTATTCACCAGGATAACTGCAGGAGCCTCCTAAGTGGCCTTGTTCTTCAGTTTATTCTTACCGAATAGCCAGAGAGAGCTTATTAAAATGTAAGTCAGATCTTGGTTCACCTCTGCTCAGAAGTAGGCAATGGCTTCCCACCTTGCTCCAAGTAAAAGCCTAAGTTCTTAGAGTGGCCCATAAGGTCTAGCACCCTCCAGCTCCTTGTCATCACTCTGACCTGGTTTCCTGCCACTCTCCCCTGGCTATTCCAGCCATACTGGCCTCCCTGCTGTTCTAACATACAAACATGCACCTGCCTGGGAGGTTTGTACTTTCTGTTCCCTCTGCCTAGAATTTCTTCATCCAGAGCCATCATCATGGTTGTCCCCTGCACCTCAAATCTTCCCTGAGACATTACCTTTTCAGTGAGATCTTTCCTGATCTCCTTGCTCAAAAATGCAACAATCTCCCCAAACACACTGTATTGATTTCCTAGGGTGGCAGTAACTAAGTACCATATACTGAGTGGCTTAAAACAACCGAAATTTATTGTCTCATAGTTCTGGAGGCTACAAGTCTGAAATCAAAGTGTCACCAGGGCCATGCTCCCTCTAAAATCTGCAGGGGAATCTTTCTTTGCCTTTTCCTAACTTCTAGTGATTTGCTGGCAATCCTTGGCTTGCAGCTACATAACTCCAATCTCTGCCTTTATTCTCACATGGCGTTCCTTCTCCCGTGTGTCTCTGTGTCTTCACGTGGTCATCCTCTTATATCCAATCATATTGGATGAGAGGCCTGCCCACCGATCTCCAGTATGACTTCATCTTAACTTAAATAATTATATCTGTATCAATCCTATTACCAAATAAGGTCACATTCTAAGTACTGAGGGTTAGGACTTCAACATATCTTTTTTCCTGATGGGGAGGGGTTGGGGGAACAGAATTCAACCCATAGTACTCACCATCTCCCTTCCTACTTTGTGTTTCTCCAGAGTCCTTAGAACTATTTAACCACTCATGTATTTTACATATGTATTTTGTTTGTTTGTCTCCTCTACCAGAAGGTAGGCAGCATGATGGCCTGATCTTGGACTATTATGTTCACTGCTATAGAGAATAGTGCCTGACACCTTAGTAGAGTCTCAATAAATACTTGTTAAATGAATGATCATCTGCTTTCAATTACTACATTGAGCTGACCATGTAACATGATGTAGACCAAGATTATTAGATTAAAAAAGGAAACGATTACCTCTAAATGAGATCCTAGGGAATGAATTGGTGTTTATGATATTTTTATTTCAAAGAAGTGTACATGAAGGAAACCCAGAGGTAGAGGTCAGAGCAGTGAGGAACCAGCCAGTTAGGGGATTAGTGCATTGTCATTGAGTGATTTATGAGCAGCAAGGTCTCAATAGCCTCCCTGTCACTTGTCCACTTTGGGGTTATCCCTGCAAGTAAGGTGGGTCATGGGGCTTTCACTTTGCCCTAGCATCTAACATGTGCCAGAAACTGTACTTGGTACTTTATTCTCATTTAGAAAAAAAAAATCCTCTTCATAAATGTACCCTTCAAATATTATTATACCCGTTTGATAGAGATAGAAAGTGAGCCTCAGTGATGTTGAGCAGCTACATAGGATACAGAAGTAGTAAACACATTACTAGGATTCAAACTCAGGCCAGTGGGACCAAAAAAACCCATGTTTCTTTGCTTGTCAGATTCCTTCAGATTCTGTGGACACCAGAGTTTCAAGGGAAAGTGAGTAAACTGGCCACACAGGACACTTCAGACAGGTGACTTGGCATAGACCACCAGAAAACCAGAGAAAGACTCTTCCCACCAGACTCACGGGTCAGCCTCATCTTTTTGCAAAATGGAAAGCCCCAGTGCCAGGACTTTCCAGTTCTTGAGGAGGATCAGATGATGTGGCTGAAACAACCCTGGACTAGGAATCAGAAATGAATAATTAAGGCATGGTTCTGCCCCTTTTCTTGTGTGATCATGTATGAACCACTTACACCCTTTTGAGCCACAGTCTCCAATGTACAGATTAATGACAATGCCTGCAAAAATCACATATGTACCTTCATTCTGCCCTTTTAACAATACCTGTGTGGCAATGCTCAGTATTCATGGTGAACGTTCCTAATGAAATTGTACCTAGAGCCATCTGGATCACTGCTGAAATAATCATCTGAATTTCTTGTCCTTGGTGTAGGTATCCTAGGAATACCTGCCTGCTTAGACCCTCTATAAAAGCTCTGTGCATCCTGCCACTGAGGACTCCGAAGAGGTAGCAGTCTTCTGAAAGGTAGGTTTACTTAATTTTGATTTTTTTTTCAAAGAGTTTGAAATAATTGACCTGCTGTGAGTATCCTTATAATAGTAGTAATGTTCCTATGTACTTGTAAAATAGAACTTTTAAAATGGTAAAATTTCAGGGCTAGATTCCCTTGGAGAATTTACCCTCTTTCGACTTCTATTTGTAGCTGCCATTTTAAAAATTGGGGTATAAATATTATGTCAGTTAAATAAAAGAATGATGACTTCACTTTCTGAAGAAAGCATTCCCCTTCTTTTCCATGAAATGTAGCTTACCTGTTACCTGACTGACATGCCATTATATTATCCTCCCCCCAGCAGTTACACATATTTAATAATTTTTACGTGTAAAAAGTAAGGTTAAACAGTTACAAAGTCAGGTTGTTATGTTTTGCATGACTTTGAGAATGCTAGTGGAATGGAAATAAAGTTAGGAGCAGCAGGAGGAGGCTCTGTTGAAACAGATCTCCTTCAGTGGCATGGTACTGTTCATGGTCAGAGGAAGTCCTAGGGCATATGCTGGGACAGACAGTGAAGGGTAGGTCTTACAAAGAGGCTTTACGTTAGAGTAAAATAATCACTTATCTGTATGCATCTTTGAATGATTTCACCGGATATGTTGAATATGTATTTTTAAAAATAGCAGCAAAGGGCCTGTAATCCCAGCACTTTGGGAGGCCGAGGTAGGTGGATCACTTGAGGTCAGGAGTTTGAGACCAGCCTGGCCAACATGGTGAAACCTCATCTCTACCAAAAATCCAAAAATTAGCCGGATGTGGTAGCAGGTGTCTGTAATCCCAGCTACTCAGGAGGCTGAGGCAGGAGAATCACTTGAACCTGGGAGGTGGAGGTTGCAGTGAGCTAAGATCATGCCATTGCACTCCAGCCTAGGCGACAGAGTGAGACCCTGCCAAAAAAACCCCATAATAATAATAATAATAGCAAGAAAGTAGGAGCAATGCACTAATCTGGTAATCTCTAGCATGTCGTCAGGGGACTGTGCTCATGTAACCCCTCCTTAGGACTCATATTTACTCCTCTCCTTTTCTGTTACCTCATCTCATCTTTACTCCTTTAACAGTATCTCTCATTTCCGGGTCTCAGACAATTTAACATGTATAATAAATATGTATATTGAATAATCCTATGTACCAGAACACAAAGATACTGTATTCCTTTTCCTGCTTCCGGTTAAGTCCCAGTTTCCTGTATCCACTTTACAATGTCAGCCAGCTTATCCTTCGTGCTGCCTTCCCTTTCCCTCTCATTCCAAAGTCACTTGAAACCCACGGTTTATGCAAAATTTGCAAAGTTGGGCAGGATTGCCCCTAGAGTTGTAGAACTGTGAGACATTGCTGCATCTTGTTGTGGGATGAGGCAGGCATCTTTACTTCCTAATGTGCCAGATTTTTCTCTGGCAGGTCACCTGCCTGTTTAGATGGTTTACCTGGAAAACAAAGTTTAAAGGCAGTAAATGAAATGAGGTAAAATGGAGCACTGGTGTTATGTGCCTTTTCATATGAGCCTTTACATATAATTATTTGATCCTTTTGTTATTGTTTGGGTTAGTGTTTTAAGCCCTGAAGGAGGGCTTTCTTTTTTGAAATGGAGTCTCGCTGTCGCCCAGGCTGGAGTACAATGGTGTGATCTCAGCTAACCGCAACCTCTACCTCCTGGGTTTAAGCAATTTTTGTGCCTCAGCCTCCCAAGTAGCTGGGATTACAAGCGCCCGCCACCAGGCCCACCTAATTTTTGTATTTTTAGTAGAGATGGGGTTTTACCGTGTTGGCCAGGCTGGTCTTGAACCCCTGACCTCAAGTGATCCACCCACCTCAGCCACCCAAAGTGCAGGGATTACAGGTGTGAGCCATCACTCCCGGCTAGAAGGTTCTTTTTAAACATAAAAGCTGTCAATATAAAATATATTGTTTCTGGAAGGGTGGCATTTTAATATCAATAATTACTGACAAAAAGGACTGTAGACTATTTAAGTTTTAGAAACCCTACTTACTCCTAGAAAGACTTCTATTTTCTCTCCTAATAGTAAAGAGTATGTGCCTGATGTCTCCAAAACCCCTTTGCTATTTCTTCTCTTTACAAAGACTGACTCAGAGTTCTACTGTTTGCTGTGTGCTCTTAGTGAACTCAACCTCTCGGAACTCTGGTTACTTCCTCCGTAAAATGAAGCTAGTTATGGGAACTGCTCAAAGAATAGTTGTGAAGGATTAACTGACAATTAATGTAAAGTGGTTAGCAAGGTGGCTGGTATACAGAAGCTTTCAAGAAGTGGAAGCCATAATGATTATGATTAGAAGGAATTGTGCAATTACCAACTCTGGGTTGGCATTTTAGGATTTTCAGTATTCTGTTTCTCGTGGCATATTATCTATTGCAGTTTTCAATGAGGCAGGATTTAGAGATATCTGAGACCAAAGAAATAAGGTAAAATAACGTGGCAAAGTACCATGTAGATAATCACTGGTAGTCATGATTCTGTATAAGCCTCATTGCTTTGAGATTAAATGCCACCAGTCTAAGAGCTAGAATTGATTGATGTTCTATCATTCTATCATTTAACTTTATGCTGTGTTTTCATTCCAAGTCTTCTCATGTACTTGGCAAGATGATCAAGGAAGCCCTGAGCCTGGCTTCTATTTCTACTTAAAACCAAACTCAAATGTCACTAAATGAGGGAATGGACGGAGGTTAAGTATTTTGAGGAGAGGTGTTAGGAAATGCAAAGGAATGTTTCCTAAATGTTTTTACTTGTTTCCATTTCCAATATGGCTAAGTAAGTTCTACTGGATCTGAAATTCTCACAGATATCAACTATAAAGTACCAAAAGACCAAAAACAAAAAAAAAAAAAAGAAAAGAAAAAAGAAAAGAAAAAAGAAATTACCTGGAAGCATTAGAGAATAAAAATAAGCAGACAGATTCTGGAGGGGAGCTGAAATTCAAAACTTGGAAGCACAGATCGGTCCAGAGTGAGTTTCCCATTTTACAACTTTTAGAGTGAGAACAGGCTAAAATTAATGTCATTTCGGGTGGCCATCCTCCAATAGAAAACTCACAGTGTTTTTGGTTTGAAGACCCAAAGAACAGGGTTCAGGGCAATCATAGCCACAGGAAAATGAATTCAGAATCTTGGAAAGAAGAGAGGCAGAGAGGGGAAGCTCCCAAATCTGTATATAAACACTACCCAAATTTCTGGTTGACCCTTGAATTTATTAATATGAGACAAACTAAACTTTCAGACAAAAAGAGTTACCAGAGATGAAGGAGAACATTTCATGATAGTAAATCATTATATTAAGAAGAAGTAGGAATTGTAGATGAATATGCACTTGATAAAATTCCAAGTGAGATCACGTCATGTAATTCTGAGGTATATGTCATGTGTATATTCTTGATGGAGCAGACACAAATTATCACAAAGATAAAAGAACTGAACTGAGATTCGAGCTGCTACCCAAGGGATAGTTTTAAATTTGAGTATAAATAATTGCCTGCTAAAACAAATAAATCAATACCCTTCAGAAAACTATAACAGGATTGAAGCTCTGCATACAATAACATCAATACTTGCATATCATACAACCCCAAATTACACGCTATATGGAAACCCAATAAAATGTGACTCATTCTGAAGACAAAAAGCAATTATCTGAGACCAATTCCAAGATGAGCCAAATGTGGGAATTAACAAAGATTTTAAAGTGGCTATTTTAACCATGCTCCACAAATAATAGGAAAATAAACTCATAATGAATAAGAAGGTAGTAAACAGAAACTGCAAAAAGAACCAAATAGAAATCCTGAAACTGAAAAATACAGTATTTGAAATAAAAACTCATTGAGTATACTTACAGCAACTGGAGGAAACAAAGGAAAGTGTTAGTGAACTTAAAGATAGATCCATAGAAATTTTCTTTTGGAAGAACAGACAGAAAAAAAGACTTAAAATGACTGAATAAAAAAAATAAACAGAGACTCAGGGACCTGTGTAACAGAAATTAAAATGTCTAGCTTACATGTAATTGGAGTCTCAGAAGGAGAAGAGAAAGAGAATGAAACAGAACAAAATATTTGAAGAAATAATGGGCCCAAATTTTCAAATTTGGTGAAATACATAAATGCATAGATCAAGAAATGCAGTGAATCCCAAATGGGATACATTTGAAGAAAACTGTGCATAGGTACATCATATTCCAACTGGTGAGGACCAACAATAAAGAGAGAATCTTGATAGTAGCCAGAGAAAAATGGCACGGTATCTTTGGTGGAACAATGCTTTAAATGAACGATGACGTCTCATCAGAATTTATAAAGGCCAGAAAAATTGAAATGATGTTTTTAAAGTACAAACGAGGGGTAAAAAAAAAAGCAAAACACTGTTAATCCAGAATTCTATGTGTAGCAAAAATATCCTTTGTGAGTAAAGGCAAATTAGTACATTTTCAGATAAAAGGAAACTAAGAGCATTTATTATCAGCAGACCTGCCCCACAGAAATGCTAAAGGAAAGATTGTTCAGGCTATAAAGTGAGATAACACCAGATGGAATCTTAAGTCTTCAAGAAGGAATGAAAAAATTTTGGAAATTGTAAATATAAAAGACTAGTTTTTCATGATAAGATCTTTAACTACACAGGACCTGTTAAAGCAAAAATTATAACATTGTCTTGTGGTGTTTATAATGTAATATGTACAGATGTAATCCATATGACTTTATAGCATAAAGAATGGAGGCAGTGGCAAATGGATTTATACAGTTGCAAGGTTTTCCAATTTTATATGAGATAGTATAAAATTAAATCTAAGTAGACTGTGAAAGATCAAGAATATATGTTTTAATTCCTAGAAAAACCACTGAAAATCCAAAGATAAAATAGAATCCTAAATTAAGAAAAAAATGATCCAAAAGTTGCAGAGGGAAGAAAAAGAAAAACAAGAAGTGGAGGAGCAAACAGAAAACATATAATAAACTTGCAGCTCTAAATGCAACCATATCAGTAATCAGACTAAATGTCAGTGGACTAATCACTAATTAAAATGTAGCAGTGTCATAGCAAAATTCTACCTGATGTACAAAGAAGAGCTGGTACAATTCTACTGAACTATTCCAAAAAATTGAAGAGGAGCAACTCCTCCCAAACTCATTCTGTGCATCACCCTGATAGCAAACCTGACAAACACACAATAAAAAAAAAAGAAATCAACAGGCCAATATCCCTGATGAACATAGAGGCAAAAATCCTGAACATAATACCAGCAAACCAAATTCAACAGCACATCAAAAGGTTAATTTACCATGATCAAGTAGGCTTCATTCTGGCATGCAAATTTGGTCCAACATGAGCAAATACAAATGTGATTCACCACATAAATAGGATTTTTAAAAAGCCTTAGAATCATCTCACTAGATGTAGAAAAAGCTTTTGCTATAATCCAACATCCCTTCATGATAAAAAACTTCAAGAAAGTAGGCACTGAAGAACATACCTCTAAATAATAAGAGCCATCTATGATAAAACCACAGCCAATATCATACTGAATGGGCAAAAACTGAAAGCATTACCCTTGCGAACTGGAACAAGACAAAGATGCCCACTCTTACTACTCCTATTCAACATAGTACTGGAAGTGCTAGCCACAGCAATCAGGCAAGAGAAAGAAATAAAATGCATCTTAATAGGAAAAGAAGAAATCAAACTATCTCTCTTTGCAGACAATATGATTCTATTCCTAAAAAACTCAAAGACGCCACCAAAAGCCTCCTAGAACTCAGAAACAACTTCAGTAAAGTTTCAGGTCATTAAATCAATGTACAGAAATCAGTAGCATTTCTGTACACCAATAATGTTCAACTTGCGAGCCAAATCAAGAAGGAAATCTCATTTACAATAGCCTGAAAAAATAGAAGTATATAAAATACTTAGGAATACATCTAACCAAGGAGATGAAATGTATCTACAAGGGGAACCACAAAACACTGCTAAAAGAAATCATAGAAGACACAAACAGATGGAAAAACATTCCATGCTCATGGATTGGAAGAATCAATTTCATTAATGTGGCCATACTGCCCAAAATAATCTACAGGTTTTATACAGGTAGTTTATAAAACTACTCTACCATATTTCACAGAACTGGAAAAAACTATTATAAAGTACATGTGGAATCAAAAAAGAGACTGAATAGCCAAAGCAAACTTAAACAAAAAGAACAAAGCTGGAGGCACACATTTTCCAACTCCAAGCTATACTACAAGGCTACAGTAACCAAACCAGTATAGTACTGGTACAAGACAGACACAGAAACCAATGGAACAGACTAGAGAACCCAGAAATAAAGCTGCACACTTACAACCATCTGATCTTCAACAAAGTTAACAAAAGCAATGGAGAAAGGTTTCCTTATTTAATAAATGGCGCTGGGATAACTGGCTAGCCATATACAGAAGAATGAAACTGGACCCCTACATTTCACCATATACAAAGCTAACTCCATATGGAGTAAAGATTTAAATGTAAGAACTCAAAGTATGAGAATCCTAGAGGAAAACCTAGGAAACACCATTCTGGACATCAGCCTTGGGAAAGAATTTATGACTAAGTCCTCAAAAGCAATTGCAACAAAACCAAAAATTGACAAGTGAGACTAATCAAACCAGAGAGCTTCTGCACAGCAAAAGAAACTGTCAACAGAGTAAACAACCTACAGGATGACAGAAAATATTCACAAATTACACAACCACTAAAGGTCTAATATCTGGAGTCTATAAGGAACTTAAATGATTGAACAAGCAAAAACCAACCCCATTAAAAAATGGGCAAAAGACATGAACAGAAACTTCTCAAAGGGAGACAGACATACAAGTGGCCAACAAACATGAAAAAATGCTCATTGTCCCTAATCATCAGAGAAATACAAATCAAAACCACCATGAGATACCATCTCACACCAGTCAGAATGGCTAAAGTAAAAAAAAAAAAAACAACAAAAACAAAACAAAACTAAACAAACAAAAAAAAACCACATGTTGGTGAGGCTGCTGAGAAACAGGAATGCTTATACACTGTTGGTGGGAATGTAAATTAGTTCGGCCACTGTGGAAAGCAGTTTGGTGATTTCCCAAAGAACTTAAAACAGAACTACCATTCGATCCAGCAATTCCATTACTGTGTATAGATCCAAAAGAAAACAAATCATTCTACCAAAGACACATGTACTTGCATGTTCATTGTCACAGCACTATTCACAATAGCAAAGATATGGACTCAACCTAGGTGCCCATCAATGGTGGATCAGATAAAGAAAATTTGGTACATGTATATCATGGGATATTATGCAGTAATAAAAAAGAATCGAATCATGTCCTTTGCAGCCACGTGGATGCAGCCAGACACCATTATCCTAGCAATTTAATGCAGGAACAGAAAACTAAATGCCACATGTTCTCACTTGTAAGTAGGAACTAAACTTTGGGTACGTGTGGACGTGAAGATGGTAACAATAGACACTGGGGACTACTAGAGCAGGGAAGAAGGGAGAGGGGAAAAGGTTGAAAAACCAAATGGTGAGTACTATGCTCAGTACCTGGGTAATGCTACCATTCATATCCCAAACCTCAGCATGATGCAATATACCCAGGTAACAAACATGCAAATATACCCCCTGAATCTAAAATGAAAGTTGAAAAAATAAACACATAAAAACAGATGAATGAATTTTTTTTAAAAAGACCTAAGCCCAAGGGCTTTATGAATGCAAGCTACTTTCAAATGATTGACAAAATGAATAAGTTTTGTGGGCAAAGAAACCAAACAAATAAAAATAAATAAATATTCAAAAAAATGCTGAGATGATTAGAATGTATAAAAAAGCAAGAACAGCTATGTTCTGTTAAGAGATAGCCTTTAAATAAAAAAACACAGATAGGTTTAAAATAAATTGATGGAAATAAATACACCATGGAAACAGCATAGGAAGTCTAGAGTGGCTATAATAATATCAGACAAACTCAACTTTAAGACAAAAAATATTATCAGAGATAAAGAAGAAGAGTGTGTCATAATAAAGGAGTCATTAAATTAAGAAGACATAAGGATTATACATGAATATAGACTTGATAAAATTCCAAGTGAGATCACTTTATGTCTTTTCAAATCTAGAATTTTTTGACGACTGTCTCAATCATGAGTCAAAAGACGCAAGTGGCTCATCACTTTAAGCTAACAATCATTTAATAAAATCATGGAATAAAAACAACACAGGTGAAAAAATGTAATTGGAGAGTATAGAGATCTCAGTATAACTGCTGCTAAGTTTTTTATTGTAATGTTTTACAACACGTGTTTGCTTCATTTAATGCGTTGTATATGTTTAAGCACCTCCCATGATCTAGGATCAAGTTGGATGCCTTCAAAATTCTTCAAATGGAGTTCATATTTAATTAGTATGCACCAGAACAGGCATTAAGCCTATGCTGGTTGGTGCCTTTACCATACTAATGGTTAAATATTTTAAATATCATTTGTCTTAGTCCATTTTGTTTCTGCTATAACAGAATACCCGAGATTGGGCAATTTATTAAAAGAAAATAAATTTATTTGGTTCATGGTTCTGGAAGTTGGGAAGTACAACAGCAAGGTGCTGGCATCTGGTGAGGGCCTTTGTGCTTGTCATCCCATGGAGGCAAGCAGAAGGGCAGGAGAAAATGAAAATGAGCCAATGAGAGGGCCAAACTCATTTTTATAATAACTCACTCATGATAACAAACCTACTTTCTTCATAATGATGTTAATCCATTTATGAAGGTAGAGCTCTCAAGACCTAATCATCTCTCAGTGGTCCCACCTCTTGATGGTCCCTCTTCTCCATACCATGACAATGGCAGTTAAATTTTAACATAATTTTTGGAGGGGACATTTAAATCATAACATAACCCCTGCTTACAATAGTTATATAAGTTCAAAGTGTTTCCTCCATTTGCCAGTGGAAGAATCTATGGCTCTAAGAGGTTCATACTATGTTGTCCAATGTCATACAACTAATGGATAGCAGAGCCAGCCTTCAAATCTGAATCTGTCTGTTTCCAAAGCTGCTTCCACTGCACAGCATCGTTTTTCTCTGGGGAAACACCACTGACTCATTTTTGTTAGGGTATGCATATGAGGAACTACAGTGCTATTTTTGTGGACTCCCTTGAAGATAAATGAACATCTTTATGGTATGTCTGGCTACATTCTGGATATAGTCAATTTATGGGTTAGAATTCGTGTACTGTGAAGTCACCAGTGGAGTCATGGCTGTGAGACATAGGGAAACTTGGTATTTCACATAGAGGTAGACCATGATTTTGGCCCAGTTTTGTGAGTACCCTGAAGTATAAATTATTAAACCTGAAAATGTCACATGTGTGTATTCTTGATAAAGTTCTGTACTTCTGGTTGGGCACAGTGGCTCATGCCTGTAATCCCACTTTGGGAGGCCAAAGTGGGTGGATTTCTTGAGGCCAGGAGTTCGAGACCAGCTTGGGCAACACGATGAAACTCCATCTCTACTAAAAATACAAAAATTAGCCAGGCATGATGCTGCTTGGGAATCTGAGCTGCTTGGGAGGCTGAGGCAAAAGAATCACTGGACTCCAGGAAGCAGAGGTTGCAGTGAGCCAAGATGACTCCACTGAGCAACAACAGCCAGACTCTGTCTCAAAAAAAAAAAAAAAAGAGTCTGTATTTCCAATAGACATGTTTATATTAAGAATTTGGAATTTATGGACAACTTTTCCAGATCTCCATGTACTCTGTGACATGAGAGAAAGACAGCAAGTATGGATCTTCACCTAGCCTGGGGCAGAATTTTACATCAGTGCGTGAAGTTTGGAGGGATAAATGATTTCTAAATCATGTTTAAGGGTCTATGCATTTGTGTTTTACTTGTAATTAGTAGAACTACAATTATTTCTTAGAGTCAACATTTCAGACTTTTAAAATGTTACTATGTATCGAATGCCACACTGGCTGATTTTGAAAATATTCTCTCTAAATCTTTACAATGATCTTAGAAATATATATTATCCCTATTTTAGAAATAAGGACCCTGAAGCTTCCATATTTTTTCCTCGTAACTAGAAGGCTAATATGTTTGATCATCTTCATGGCATAGGACCCAAGCAATAAGCTATGGCTTCACTGTACTTGCTTCTGGGGTTTTCTATGTCATTTCCATGTTATATGTGAGGTGTCCTAGCCTGGAGTCAGGTGACATGGATTCTTGTTATGGATCTTACTAGTTAGCTAAGAAATCTCAACTTCCTTCAGGGTAGCTTATAAACTATTTTAAGTAAGGTTACTAACATATGTATAGAAAATCAGGAAACAAATCTGCTAACCGCTACTGCTAACAGAGTTGCAAACATACATTTAGCATGAGAATTCACTCGAGTTTTCTGACAAGCAGAGCAAAGAGGGAAACAGTAGTTTCATATTCTTGTAATCAGAAAAGTTAAAATGTCAGAAATTCCTCATATGACCTCTAAGAACCCTTCTTATTTCGAGATTTTATAAAAACAGGTGTAATAACACCCAAAATTCAGAATCTTAGTAGGATTAAATAAAATCCCATTTGTGAGTGAATGTTAGCTTACTGTTTTTCTTCTTATAGAACTCCAATAAAGGCTCATGGTAGAAATCTCAGGACAGTCAGACTATAGTTAGCTTTGTTAAAACCCCATACTCTGAATTTCTGTGGGTAAACTAGTCTCTATTTAAGTATGCCTGTGTTGTCAGTAACTGTGCGAAAGACTTTTACGATCTTGTTCATACAAAGCAGATGTTATTGTCCATGTTTCATAAATTAGGAAACTGAGCCCCTGAGAAATGATGTAATTTGACCAAGGCCACAGAGAAGTATTTTAGTCAGAATTCGAACCCCTATCTCTCTGTCACCAAGGCCTATGTTTTTTCCAGTACGCTGAATCATTTCTAAACTATTGAATAATTTAACAGTTTGGGCATTATTTCTAAAAACAATTCCAGTTTATAAAGTGATCTGCATGAAGAACCAGCACATACTGGGTTAGAATTCATGTACTGTGAAATCACCAGTGGATTCATGGCTCAGAAAGCTCCACCTTGCCCCTGACAACATCCAGAGAACTTTAAATATCTATATTTTGTTTTTGTGCTTTGTTTTTTAAGAAGCAATTTCTTCATCAAGACTTGAGGACTTGGAGAGTGACAGAGAGTTAAGGTTGCCTGGGGACCATTAGTGACAGCTTTGCCAATACAGTTGGAATGTTCCTCAACTGTAAAGCTTATTTAATGAAAAGAGACCCAAGAAACCTTTCTACTAATGTGTAGTGCTCTCTTGTCAGTTTGAAATGAGCAAACTGTCAGCTTGCCGATTACCATGCACACAGTATATGCTCATTAAATCATGCACTGTGGGTTTCTTCAGGTTGTCAAACTGCTTAATTGAAAAAATGTGTAGTGTCGCTCCTATGGGAAAGAGGCAAGAATCAAAGGGCTGGAGAGCTTACTCTTAATATTTCAGTTTGCTTTTAACTGCAGCCAGAAATTGTTCTGTTTTACAGTTTTGACTAAAGGACTATTCCTTCTGTATTTTTCTTGTTTTGTTTATAATTCAAACACTGTAATTATAATGGAGTTGCTTTTATAATAGAGCTACTAAATCATTCTGCCAGCTGATGAAAACTAAAGGGAAGGGCTCATTTTCTTGTGCCATAACTGTTAAGGCCAACTTGGGTGTGTTGAGGCTGACACAAACTGGGAATCAAGAGCTCCAGATGGATTTTAGTCTTGCGAAATCTCTGCTTCAGTGTTTGCATTTTGTAGGAGTGTTAGGCCTTATCATCACCGCAGTGTGTGGGTTAATCCTTTCTGACAGAAATGCCCTTAGGCTGGTAGGGTTTCTCAATTTGTTTATATGGTAGCTTTAAAAAATACCAATGCCCATACAGAAGAAATCAGAATCCTTGGGGGTAAAGTGCTTTAAAAGCCCCAGGGGATTCTAGTATGAGCCAGGGTTGAGAGAGACTAGCCTAAATGGACTTGAGTTGTTCAGTAGCTCAAGTCAAGACTAATCTTACCAGCTGTTATCATCAACCCTGCTCACATCAACTAATGTTTTCTAAAGGCTTATACAACCTTTAAGGTTTCAGAAGGTTAAAAACTCTGATTTCTGGGCTCCACTTAGATCTATTAAATAAGATTCTTTGGGGTCAGGGCCCAGGAATCTGTTTTTAATAAGAGCTCTGGGTGATTCTTATGTACTAAGGTTTGAGAATTTGCTAAAGAAGCAAGATGATATTTATAAGTGGGGTTCAGTGAAACTTCAGAGGAGAGTTTGCAAATCACAGTAAATTGAGGGCAAGGTTTTTTATGCTTTTTAAATGGTAGTGATTTTGGTACATTCATCTGGGTCTAACTGGAGTCATGCATGGTTATAATAGCATCCACTTTATTTAGGGGGAAAAGACCCCCACTATCTAGTGCCATGTAAGACCTGGGAATACACACATATTCTATTGCCTCTTTAATCTTTAGGTACCAGGAACTAATGACTAGGGCCAATGTATTTTTCAAGGGCCTATGAAAATATTCAGAACTAACAGAGAGAGAAAAACTACTTTGATTTCAGTGTATGCAGAAATTGCACAATCTGAACAATGTCATATTTAATGATATGTCAATAAATGAAATTTTATGCTCTTGTGATTAATTACTAAATGTAATAGTTATTAAAATGTCTACTCTTAGAGACATTTTATGAGTTAGCTTTTCTCAGTTCTTAAGAATTCCTGAAACTGCATGTTGATTACTGGGAAATTTTAGGCAATTTAAAAAATTAAATTAACCAAATTATACATAAGCAAATAATTTTAAATGCAAAAGTATAAAAATATTTTTCACAGATCTCACATACAAAAACTGTTTCGTGTATGTTGAATAAAATTTATAGAAGTCCATTGGTTTGGACTGAACTACTGAACCAAGCTCAACAGTCCAAACCAAAATAGAATTACTCATGCTGAAGTTTTGGCCACCAAGCCAAAACCAAGTTTTTCATCTGACCTTCTAAGAAATCAGGGGGGAGAACTAGTAGCCAAATCCTCAACTAGACCAGTTGTAGCCAATATGATAAGGATGTCCCTCTGCTTTAACCTTTACAAGGAAAGTAACTTGGAAACAACCAATTTGCTTTTGGTTCTTTGTTTCTGCTTTCTTCATCCCTTTTCCAGCTGTAAAGGAAACCTCCTCTGCTCAGCTCATTGGAACACTCATTCTTTTTTATACAGTGAGGTTTTGTCTGATTCTAGAATCACAAATAAAAGCCAGTTAAGATCTTTAAACTAAATTTGTTTCAATTTTGCCTTTTGACCTGTAAATATATCTGATATAATATGGGGTTGAGCCTCTCAAAGAAAATGAACCTAAAGCCTAGGACGGCCATGTAGGTATTTCCAGACTACACATCTCAAAATTAAAGGATATTTAATTGTCCTAGGGTTCATTCTCATAGACAAGATTATCAAAATATATGCATAATGAACCTTCAAAAGATACAGTTGAAATAAAAAAATTAGTGCTCACTTTTCCTCCTTTTAAAAAAAACAAAAGTGTAAAAGAAAAAAATCAATATTTTTAGCCACATATCACACTACCTTTGAAAGCACATACCTTACATAAAAGTTGGGACTATTAATGAGCATCAGATGAGAATGACAAGGCAAATTGCATGCTACAACTCTGGCTCAGAAAATTACCCCTCAGCAATTGCAGTCATAGTAGTGGATGCCACTGGAAATCTAGTGTCTCTGAGGTCAATAGATGACCAGAACTGAATATATAGTTTTAAAAATGTTCATGGCCTATTCACACTTTGGATTGGACTGCCTATGAGGTCCCCAGTTTCAGGATTCTCCTGATCCATGGAGGATGATTCCTGCTAGTGAGGTCTTTATCGACATCTTATTTAAGGTACACCTCCCCTTTCTTTATCTTAGCCTCTTTTTTCCTTTTTTTATTTTATTTTTTTTTTAGTAAAATTTGCTGTAGTTGTTTCATTTGTCTATTTACCTTTCTTTTTCACTGTCTCCTCTAGAATGTAAGCTCCACGAAAGCAGAAACCATGGCTGTACTTCTTTACCAAGTTAATCCTGGGGACAAACAGGGTGGTGACAATCGATCACTTTGCTTTTGCCAGCAATGATCAGTCAGGAGTGGCATGCTATTAGGAACAATATTATAAATGCTGAACTGGTCAGGAAATATTTTATTTTACTTTATTTTTGAGACAGAGTATCTCTTTGCTGCCCAGGCTGGGGTGCAGTGGCACAATCATGGCTCACTGTAGCCTCTACCTCCCGGGCTCTGGCGTCCTCCCACCTCAGCTTCATAAGTAGTTAAGGCCACAGGCACATGCCACCATACCCAGCTAATTTAATTTCTTTTTTTTTTTCTTTTTTTTTGTAGAGACAGGGTGTCCCTATGTTGCCCAGGCTAGTCTCAAACTCCTGGGTTCAAGCAATCCTCCTGCTTCAGCCTAGAAAATATTTTAGTACATTCCTTTTAAACAGGATTCTAGTTATTAATAAGTGAGTGATGGAAAGGAAACTATTTGTAGTTCATGTAGACCTCTCTTACCTCCACCAGCATCCAAAAGGGGGGAAGAAAATCCACAGAAATCAGCTTGTCTATAAATTCTACAACTTCTAGATGAATAAAATAGTTAATTGTTCACTTGAAAATGACTACTTTACACTTTTGGAGAGAGGCCTGAAAATTTCTTGGCAATACTTCAACTGATTAATAATTTAGAACAATGATTGACTGGAGAATGGAAGTGGCGCTAATAGCCTCTCATTTTCCTCTTTATTATTTCAGACAAATTGGTAAGTCATGGTGGAGGTGTGGGATGTTTCTGGGTCAACTGGCTAGAAGCTTTAAATTAAAAATGAAGGATGATATTTGATCTTAATTTTCTAAGATGTTGGCCTCACCCCTTGATGGTACGAGATACCTTTGCGATTGCATTGCTTCTGATGCTTAATCCTTCTATGCACTCCTGGCAAAGTCTATGTGAATTACAGCAAACTTTTACTGTGACTCTGCTACGTGTGCCATATCATGTTAAGCACTGGTTGGGATAAAACAATGGGTTTGATGCAATTCTAACCTTAAGTAGTTAAAAGGTCTGGCAAGAAAGACACATATGACTATAAATCATCCTCCTACCAGGTAAAAAGTGTTAAGTATCTTAAGAGAAAGATATGAACAAATACCATGGGAGCCATTAGCTTACGGTATTGATGTGAGGAATCTGCCTAATAGGAAATTAGTGATTTAAAACAATGTGAAAAAGTCAAATCAGTACAAATAGTGTATGCTGATAACAGCAATTTGAATTATGAAGTGACTAAAGAAGGGGTGCTGGCATGAGAAGCTGGTTCAGAGTTTCAGGGCTACATAAAGCTGCAGGTCCGCCTTCAAAAGAAAAGATTCAGATAAATTGATCCTAGAAGGACCAAAGTGAGCCTCCTCCTAGAAAGTGCACAGGAGTTTAGCTGGGAATTTGCATTTGTTCTTGGGAGAGGCAATGGCTTTAACAGGAGACAGGGTTGTGGCTGCTGCCTGGGGTGCTGATGTTTTCCTGCCTCTAAGAGAGAAGCAACTGAGCCCCCCAACTGAATCCCACAAATTCCAAAGAAAGCTTAATTTTTCATCTAGATAAAATAGTTGTGTATTTGAGTGCCACATTTGTTTCCATTTTCTGAACTTTTGCTAACATAATGAAGATCTGGATGCCAGGACTTAAGGAGCAAAGGCTTGTGGACTTCCTATGGTTAAGTTCCTCCTATGCACTTAAGTAATATACAGAATATTCATGCTTCTATATGTATATGTCATTGTGATGGCCTGAATTGTATTCCCCTGAATTGATACACTGAAGCCTGAATCCCTAATGTGACTGTATTTGGAGACAACTTTTAAAGGTAACCTTAATTACCCCTTTAAAGGTAGGCAGGGCACGGTGGCTCACACCTGTAATCCCAGCACTTTGGGAGGCCGAGGTGGGCAGATCACGAGGTGAGGAGATTGAGACCATCCTGGCTAACACGGTGAAACCCCATCTCTACCAAAAATACAAAAACAAAATTAGCCAGGTGTGGTGGTGGGTGCCTGTAGTCCCAGCTCCTCGGGAGGCTAAGGCAGGAGAATGGCACGAACCCAGGAGGCGGAGCTTGCAGTGAGCCGAGATTGCGCCACTGCACTCCAGCCTGGGTGACAGAGCGAGACTCCATCTCAAAAATAAATAAATAAATAAAATAAAAATAAAAATAAAGGTAATTAATGTTAAATGAGGTCATAAGGGTGGGACCTAATCCAATGCAACTGGTGCCCTTATAAGAAGAAGAAGAGGAGATACTAGGGGAGGAAGCACACAGAGGAAAGACCATGTGACATGGTGAACGAAAAGGCAGCCATACGCAAGCCAGGGAGAGAGGCCTCAGGAGAAACAGAATCTGCTGACACCATGATCTTGGACTTTCAGCCTCTAGAACTGTGAGAAATAAATTTCTGTTGTTTAAGCCACACAATCCTTGGTGTTTTGTTATGGCAGCCCAAGCTGACTAAGGTGGTAATTGACATATTTCTTTGATAGATTTTATTTATGAGCCTCAGTTGATGACAAGTTAAATACAACTCTTAATTTGGGCCAAAGCAACTATGAAAGTCCTTAAGAAACGATTCCCCCATCCTGCCTATTGAGTAATGCCCAGCATAACCATAGTATAAAGCTACTCATTTATGCAGAGCAATTCTTTCATCTGACCATCTACTTCTTTACCAAATATTCATTGAGTATCTACTATGTGCTAGTTACTCGTGGATTATGCTCAAAAGGATCTGTCAGTCTAGAAAAGGAAATATAACAGGCAAGTAAAACACAGTCATTTGTTTGCAGAAATTGCCATGGCCATGCCAAGAGTGCAGGGATTCATGGCAGCTGGGATGGCAGAGAAGTCTCCTCGGAGGAGGTGGCATTGAAGAATGGTTTTGGAGGATGATGAGATTTAGTCATACAGGGCTGTGCAATGGAGGAAGGACAGTTGAGAGGAGAAAGAATGGTAAACAAAGGCTTAGAGGTTGAATCTCTAGAAGTTTACAGGGAAGCAAGAACTTTGACTAAAATGCAGCTTATGCAAAGGGAAATTTTTTCTTCATAAGGCCGAGCTATCTCAGACTCAAAGAGCTTTCATAACAGAGTGATGATATGTCAGGCATTGTCCTATGTACATTATTACATTGACTCGTTCCTACTCGTAGTAATGTAGGTGCTAATATTCTCTCCACTTTATAGATGAAGAAACTGAGGCATAGATGGGTTAAAATACTTGCCAATTACTAATGAATGGTGGAGCTGGGATTTGAACCTAGGCATCCTGGCTCCAGAGCCCTTGCTTGTACAAAGGAAGCCTGAGAGCATCTGAACTAAAGTATAAGGGGAAGTACTGGGGGTCGATAGATTTGCAAATGGTGCAAGATGCGGAGTTTCAAGATAGTAGGCAATTTTGTGTGTTTCCTTGAGCAAAGAGAAAAGCAGAGCCCCTGCCTCCTATAACCATGAGGGGGATCGCAGTGCCCTTGATCACTTTTCAGCAAGTTAGCCGTGTTTGTAGCCCTCCGTGGAGCTAAATTGTTGGTGCAATGAAACAAAAGTGTTTTTCAGGCTCTCTGCTGCCATGGTTAGCCTAGGACAGGGTTATGAAAGGAGCTTTTCTGCCTCCGCTGCCTTCCGGGGTTACATTCTTAGTGAATCTACTGCCTCAAAATGGAGCTTGTTAGTTGCGTGTCATCCGAGGGTGGCAATTAGTTGCATGTGTTTGGTTGGATGCCAGCCCCTGGGGTGCCAGACCTCAGTACGGGAGCCACTGTTTGTCATGAATCAGTCTTTAAATAAAAGCAAGTTTTTAAAATGGACCATGCTAATTTGGATTTTGCTAACCTCTTCTGAAGAAGGCTTGGCCTGTTCGGTGCCAGCTGGCTGAGTTGGCATTCAGCGAGAAACTGGGTCCTTACCAAAAATCGCATTGCTCCCCTCTCCCTCTTTGAGGGGAAAATGGCAGGGAGGAGCTAGCTGGCACTGCAAAACAAGGTGACACCAGGGGCAGGGACAGCGTAGGAATCTGGATGATTAAAGGGAACTGAAGTGCCATGATATCCCCGCTGCTCCCCACCTTAGAAAAGAAAAGCTGCCCCTCTTTCTCCCCACTCACACCACCCTCAGCCACCCATTCAGTAACTTTCCACATAAAAGGCTTTCTCATCCAATTGCTTATACACTGCACCTTTTATACTCTTCCAAGTTGTCCTTAAGGGATTATCACTGCAGCTTTTAATTTCCCCTAGAAAGAGCTGAATGAACGTGAATGGGGCGGAAGAGTCTTTACTGAGAAAGTGTCCCCCATCCCAAAATGCTCACAAAACCTCTAATCACGATGGAAGAATGCCATCCTGTTTTTGGCGGCGGCTGGCTACCAATGCACTAATGCACAGTGACTGTCCGTATAGGCGGTAATCACGAGGAAGCATGTTGCACACACAACTCATGCTCACAGATCATGCGGTGCACACACCAGGCCCTGGTCACTTTAACATGGTGCTTTTTCCCATTAACAAAGAGCAACCCCACCGATTTCAGTTGTGATTCTTGAAACTCAGCCCTTTGCCCAGTAAGTACTAACCGGAAGACTTGTTTTCTTACACTTTCTAGGTGGATAATCTGATCACCAGAAATGGCAAGGGTGATGCCATCAACAGTTGAAAACAGAAACTCTCCTATTTATTTATTTATTTATTTATTTCGGTTTGGTTTGGCAAACATCCCATTGTCTCCAAATAGGATTGCTTGGTATTGGGAGAGCAGCCTTGTACATAGGCAAGACAGAAGAGGAATTTTAATCAGCTTTACATTTGTTTTGAAGATTCAGGAAAGATGGAGGCTTTATCTCATACCAACGTATCTATGCCATAGATTGCTGGGAAACAAGAGTTGTCCTGGTTACTAACGTAGTGTACATTAAGTTTCCTGGAATTTTTTTTTTAAGCCTGTTTATTTGATGCTGGCACCTCTGTTCTTCTGAAGGCAGCATATTAGGTTTACTAATAAATGACACCCAGTTCCTAAGAGACTCGGCCTAAAAGCTTTCCTGACAGGGCAGGAATTTGTTTCTTTTTTCTTTGCTTTTATTAAAAAACAAAAAACAAAAAAACAAATATTGAGGCAAAATCGAGGATGAAGGACATTTTGAAAACTTGAGTACTGTAAATAGTTTTAAGGAAGATTTCATTTTTCCAAAACTACACATTTTGCAGTTTCTTTAAATGCCCATTTAATATTTTGGGTCTTGCCAGGGCAACGTGTTGCTTTTACGAATAAGAGCCAATAATGAGCCCATGGAGCCTTTAATTTATGATGTATCTGACAGTATAGTGGTGGATCTGATAGGGGATGCATGTGATTATGTCTGCAAGCTGAAAATAAAGTAGCTGGTATTTGTTCTGAAAACGTTCTGAGAACACCCTCCTGTTAATGGCCCATGGCTTGATCCAGCATCTGGTAAACTAATAGATTGTCATTTTTACCATGAAAGCATAAATCATTAATGATTCCACAACCATTTGAGTTCTTCTCTGGTCTAGAATATGCCAATTACCATGAAATTAGTCCTATTAGCAACATGATTGAATGATAGTAACCTGACTGTAACTTGTTGGCAGAAATTCTCTCATAATGACAGTAATGAACTGTGCATTTGAGTCCTTGCTGGGCTCTGTTAAACAGGAAGGTTGGATATTATATGTTTCTAACCCCTTATGAATGATACTTCTTAATGATTATGTGAATTGAAGGAAATGTTCTGTTTTGCCGATTTCTTTCAATGTAGGAATTTATCATTTTTACTTAATTTGTTGGGGGAAGGAATCACTGTTTGCCATTAAAAATGTTGTTCAGGGACTACTTTGTGCTACACACATATTACGATCATCACCAGTATGTATATAGAGCCTACCGTATCAGGCTTTCATGAGAGACAACACTGGAATTTTTAAATGAAACATTCCACACATAATCATCACCAAAGAATGAGATAATACCATCAGTGTCAGGGACCCTGAGAAAAATACAGAGAGCCCAATACTGTCATAAGATTAATAAGTTAATTTTCATTTCTCTTTTGCATAACCTTGGTCTGTAAG
This sequence comes from Homo sapiens, assembly GCF_000001405.40. Classification (NCBI taxonomy): domain Eukaryota; kingdom Metazoa; phylum Chordata; class Mammalia; order Primates; family Hominidae; genus Homo; species Homo sapiens. Next base: position 60,801,615 of record NC_000003.12, on the reverse strand, counting down.
GTCACATGACGTGCCTAACTGAAAATGTGTATCAGGCAGATAGCCCAAGACACCTAAGATGAGCCAATGAGAAGGCCAGGAGCCAATGTGAAGGCCAACTAGCCCCCACTGGTAGGGCTTCTGTCATGCATAGCAGTAGGACAGGTTATTTAATTCTCCAAAGATCTAGGGCAAGTAGTTAGTGGATTGGACACTTCCTGTGACACATCTCACATCCTCTTGTCTCCCTTTCTGTATTAGGGCTGTCGCTGTGGAAACCAGGTTAGGGCAAGTGTGACCTGAAGCCTCTTGCCTAAGTGGCATTGGGCATCCCTATTTTCATCCCTATTTTCTACCACCTTGGGAGTGAGACTGGCAACCTGGAAGTATAAGAGAGTTATTAACCCACGGAATAACCCCTGACTGGTGGGGACTGGGAGTTGGTGGATAAATAATCTCTTCCATGCCTTGTTTAGACATGTCTGAAGCACATTATACATATACATCTGAAGCATGTAAGTTTTCTCGGAAGATTCCAGCAGGTTGAGCCCTAGGTGCCTGTAGTTGTTATCGACTTGAGAATGTATACTTATATTGTATTTCCCTCTGTAGAGGATGCTGTTGGTCCCCTACCAAGACCACCATTAGTGGGTCAACACACCCATGCCCCAGCTGCTTAGAGTGTTGGATACTAAGGTCTCACAGCTGAACTCATCTCAGGAGAATTAACCCTCTATTGAGGGAAATGAACTTCCCCAGAAATACCTTAGAGGATCCCCTATGCCTGGTCAAGGGCAGTCCACAGCCAAGGACTAACAGAAGCTGTCAAGGGGAATAACTCTGTGGTGCTGTTCATACTCCATACTCTTGTCCATACTCTGGGTTTGGGCCATGGCTGGACTCCAGCTGAAGCCATATCTTTCCGTGGCTTCTTCCCTGGCCCATCCTACTCCCTCATTTCCCCATAGGTTTCTCCTGAGGGCACTATTTCAATCAATTTCTTGTACAAGCGTACCCATTTCAGAGTGTACTTCTAGGGAATCTGATTTAAGATACCCTTTTCCCCTGTTTTACTCTCCCTCGTTCCTCAATTTGATTATCTAGGGTTCTTTTCCCAAAATAAACTACCTAGTTGTAAGCCTTTGTTTAGGGTCTGCTTTCCTGAGTGGGATGTAAGAGTCAGATGGGGAACACAGGCTAAGGCTGCCAATGATATCAATATGTTTTGGGGTTCCACTCCATGCTGCTGGCTGGATTAAGTGCACATGGTCTCTACTACATACACTATGGAAGGAACTTAGATTTAGAAAGAATTAGGCACCGTAAGATGATACTAAAGTGAATGATTCAGATAATAAATGTAGAAATCAAGACCTATTATTTGGGGCTGAAAAGGGTACCAAAGACTTGTTGAGAGAAGTGTGTTTGAATTAGTGAAAGAAATAAATATTTGAGAAGGCAGAGAGAAGTGGGGGAAGGAAATTCAGCTTGGAAATACAGCATGAATAAAGGATCTGAGTGGGCTTGAAAATCATTAGTTGGGGGACCCTGATATTGCTATCACTCTGGGAATAAAGGCTTCATGCTAGAATGGTTCGATAGGTCCAGAATGTGCCTATCCATTTCATATTTATTTGTTCAACAAATGAATTGATATTCATTTACTTTTTTAACAACTATCTTTTGAGTATGTATGATTTCCAGGCATTGTGGGCACTGGAAGTGATAAACAAAATAAAAATTATCCTGGCTCTCAAAGAGTTTACAGAATAGGAAATATACAAGTAAACAGATAAATATATAGAATTACAGGTTTTCTTCCTATGGCTGTGAAGGAAATTGAACAGGATGCAGTGACAGAATATAGCAAGAATCATATATATTAGACTGAATGGACTTACAAGTCTTCTTGGAGGCGAAAATGTTTAAGCAGAGATGTAAAAATGAAAAAAGTAGCCCCGAAAAAGGAGTAGGGAAAGGAGAAACACTGTAGCCAGATGATTGCATGTGCAAAGGTCCCGAGGCAAGAAATGCCTCAATATGTTAGAAGTACAATAAAAGGCCAGATAATACTGGGCAAGGAAGGAAGTGCACAAGATAAAGTTGGAAGATAGGGAAGAACAAGATTTTAGAGGGCATCATATGTTATAAAAAAAGACTTTGGGCCAGGCGCAGTGGCTCATGCCTGTAATCCCAGCACTTTGGGAGGCTGAGGCAGGTGGATTACCTGAGGGCGAGAGTTGGAGACCAGCCTGACCAACATGGAGAAACCCTGTCTCTACTAAAAATACAAAATTAGCTGGGCATGGTGGCACATGCCCGTGATCCCAGCTACGTGGGAGGCTGAGGCAGGAGAATCGCTTGAACCTGGGAGGTGGAGGTTGCAGTGAGCCGAGATTGCGCCATTGCACTCTAGCCTGGGCAACAAGAGCGAAACTCTGTCTCAAAAATAATAATACTAATCATAAAAGACTTTGGATTTAATCTGGAATGTAATGGAAAACAATTGAAGAGCTTTTAGGAAAGAGGTGATAGTTTATGTTTTTAACATATTAATTTGTTATGTGGAAAATAGGTTGGTGAGGGCAAGAATAGATATAGAGAGAGCAATAAAAAACCTATTGCAGGCTGGGTACAGTGGGTACAGTACACCTGTAATCCCAACATTTTGGGAGGCTGGGTGAAATCCCATCTATACTAAAAATACAAAAACTAGCAGGGCGTGGTGGTGCACACCTGTGATCCCAGCTACTTGGGAGGCTGATGCACAAGAATCACTTGAACCTGGGAGGAGGAGGTTGCAGTGAGCCAAGAACATGCCACTGCACTCCAGCCTGGGCAACAGAGCAAGACTCAGTCTCAAAAAAAAAAAAAAAAAAAAAAAGCTATTGCAGTAGTGCATGTGAGAATAGATAGATGATTGACTGGTCTAAATTAGAGTCAATGGATGTGCACTAGAATTTACTAGACTGTAATTCAAGACAGTAGGGCCTTTGTCTCTTGATCACTGTTGTATTCAGGCCTACATCTAAGGTTTGTGGGGCCCAGGGCAAAAAGGAGGCCATATACCATCTGTCTAAATATTTAAAAATTAACAAATCCAGCTAGTAAGCCATTAAAGAAGTGTTTTTTATCCTCTGCCATGAGATAACTTTTTTAAGGACAAAATCTAAATGTATAGGTGAAGCCCTAGTTTTTACGTGATTGAAAATGGGCCAAATATCAAAGACAACAGCTCTTGATTATTATTGTACATGTTCTGTTATTGGGCTGATGACATTTTAGTGAGTTTTTTAAAAGACTGAAATATTTCTTAAATTATTATATATTTATTCCAATTAAGTTATTTTTTCTCATCTTCATTTCAGTAAAATTGTCATGTTGTTATAATCAAGGTGGTTTTTTTTTAAGATACTTTTTGTCTATTGGCAGTTATGATCTAATACAGGGATCTGCAAACTAAGGCCCCAGGGCCAACTCTAGCCACTCCATTCACTTATGCATTGTCTGTGATTCCTTTTGTGCTAGGGCAGTGACAGAGAAGAGTCGTTGTAACAGCCCAAAATGTTTACTGTCTGGTTCTTTACAGAAAAAGTTTGCTGATCCCTGATCTAAATAATTAGAAATTAAACTGCATTTGTATTTAAAATGTATACAATTTGAATATATTTTCCTCAAGCATATAAATTAATTATACATTGAAAAAATTAAAATTAATTTTTAATGTTTTTAAGAAAGTCATATTTCTTGCACAATATTCAAAATTATACATTAGAATTTAAAAAGCAAAATGAAGAATGGGTTAGCTAATAAAAAACATTTAAATCAAACATTTCAATGTAGCTGGATTTTTATGACACTTTAATTAAATCTTATTAAATATTTTATAAAAATAAAACAATTTCTAGTTTTGTGTTCAATGCCCATCTAGTTGCCAATGTGAAGACTTGGTATCAGATTTCATGTATGTTATGTTGCAACCTAAATTTAAAGATAGCATCAATCGTTTAATAATGCAAAATATGCCTAAGTTACTATGTCCACAGCTGTGAATATTGCCTGAATTTGTGAGACCTCTGAACTATGAAATGGAACCAGCAGATTCTGATGAAAGAAAATAGATACGGTATTCAGCACTAACTACTACTACTACTACTACTACTACTACTACTACTACTACTGCAATTTCTTTATGCCAGAATCTGTCTTAATCATGAATTAATTTCTCTTTTTCTTATTTATGCCTTTCCACTGCTCAAATCCTGTCCCTACCACAAAAGCAGTGTACATCTCTATTGTCTGCAGTTTTGCAGTTGCCATATCCACAACCCACAACCCTTCCTGACATTCAGATTCAGTCACCATTTCTTCAATGAAAGTGGGCAAGAGAGGTGTAGAAACATTTTCCTAGGGCAATTACATCATTTGGCACAAGAGTAAGAGTTACTGGTTGTGTCTATGTGAGGCAAGCACCAAATCCTGAGCCACAGAAGCCCTGATGTGTTTTCTAATCACTTCACTTATGGTGATTAGAAAATGCAAAATATTTTGCAAACAACTTTGAAATATGTTTGTGATAGGAAAGCCCCTCTAAAATATGTGGTTCAAAATATATCAAATAATAAAGCAATGTAATACAAACACATGGCCTTTATAAGTTATGAAGAAATTGCAGGAAATTTCAAGAAGCTGAAGTACAAATAAAGTCCCCATTACCTGATTACAATGCAATAAATTAGAAATCAGTTTTATCAAAACCTTACAATCTGGATATTTTAAAACTCTTTGATACTCTGGGAGGCCGAGGTGGGCAGATCACCAGAGGTCAGGAGTTCGAGACCAGCCTGGCCAACATGGTGAAACGTTGTTTCTACTAAAAATACAAACATTAGTTGAGTGTGGTGGCACACACCTGTAATCTCAGCTATGAAGGAGGCTGAGGCAGGGGAATTGCTTGACCCAGGAAGCAGAGGTTGCAGTGAGCCAAGCTTGTGCCACTGCACTCCAGCCTGGGGGACAGACCAAGACTCCATCTCAAAACAAACAAACAAACAACAACCCTCTTTGATAAACAACTCTTAATTCAAAGAAACATTTTAAACCCAACTTGAAAAATATCTAGACACCATTGATAATGAAAATATAACACATATGAGCTATGGGCTACAGCTAAAGCCTCGCTTAGAAGAAAATGTATACAGCCTTTAACACCTGAATATTTAAAAAAGAATAAAAATAAAGGAATTACGCATCTGACTTAAGAAAGGAACAGCCAAAAAACTGGAAAAAATGCAGAAAGAACTAAATAATAAAGATAAAAATAAGAAATTAGGTTTTCTAATTTAAAAATAAATCCATAAGAAACATAAATAAGCTCAAATACTGTCTCCTTGTGATATGGTTTCGCTGTGTCCCCATTAAAATCTCAGCTTGAGTTGTATCTCCCCGAATTCCCACGTGTTGTGGGAGGTACCTAGGGGGAGGTAATTGAATCATGGGGGCTGGTCTTTCCCATGCTATTCTCATGATAGTGAATAAGTCTTACGTGATCTGATGGGTTTATCAGGGGTTTCTGCTTTTGCTTCCTACTCATTTTCTCTTGCTGCCACCATGTAAGAAGTGCCTTTCACCTCCCGCCATGATTCTGAGGCCTCCCCTGTCATGTGGAACTGTAAGTCTAATTAAACCTCTTTTTCTTCCCAGTCTTGGGTATGTCTTCATCAGCAGCATGAAAACAGACTAACACACCTTGAAAACAATGCCAAGCAATGAAATTCACTTACTCAAAAAGTTAGGGAGTACAAAAACAAAAAATGGAAAGCAGACAGTCCCAGTGGCTCAAGCCTATAATCTTAACACTTTGGGAGGCCGAGGCAGCTGGATGGCTTGAGCCCAGGAGTTCAAGACCAGGCTGGGTAACATGGTGAAACCCCATCTCTACAAAAAATACAAAAATTAGACAGGGGTAGTGGCGCATGCCAGTAGTCCCAACTACTCAAGAGGCTAAGGTGGGAGGATCACTTGAGCCCAGGAAGTTTAGGCTGCAGTGAGCCCTGATCGTGCCACTGCACTCCAGCCTGGGTGACAGACAGAGGACAGAGTAAGACCCTGTCTTAAAAAAAAAAAAACAAAAAACAAAGGAAAAAGGAAAAAGAACCATGGCTAAAGAAATTAAAATATTCAAAGGAGAACTTTTGCAAAAGTAACTGAAAATCTTCAAGGAATGTATTTTTTAAACAGGTAAATAAGTTACCCAAACATATTCAACAGGAAAGAGAACTTTAATAACATCGGAAAAATCTGAAGCAGTTATCAAAGATCTTAAAAAGCCACAGGTCTTTATGCTTTCAGAAGCAAATAATTTTGCATTTCAAGGAACTGATAATGTTAATTCTATTTAAAAATGAAAACTGGTAAAATTAATTTTATATCTGCATAATGGAATACTGTGAAGTCATCAGATAGGATGTGGAGGTTCTGTGTATAGTTATGGAACAATCTACAAAACACATGAAGTGAAAAAAAAGCAAGATGCAGAGCATTGTGTCTATTATACCGACATTTGAGTAAAAGTGTGTGTCCTTGTGCATATGTGTATGTGTCATACATAACTAAAGGAACGCAAAAGCAACGGATTACAATGATTGCATCTGGGGGAAGGGACTAGGCAGCTGGAAGACAGGTAGAGATACTTTTTTACTCATGCCCTTTTGTACTTTTTGAATTTGATACACAGTACATGTATTACATAGTCAAAGAATTATAAAAGTAAACAAAATTGCCCATAGCACAAATAAAGAAAAAAACTGCCAGTGTGTTTTTATGAAGCCAATGTAATATGGATTCCAAAGTCTGAGAGAGACAGCACAGAATAGAAAACTATAAATCAAACTCATTTACGGACTCATTATGAAAATTTAAAGTTAATAAACAATTTATCAGATTATTAAAATATTAGCCCCATCAAAAGAGGTCCTTATTCCTCAAGTACGAAAGTATCTCATTAATAAGCAATGTGTTAATATACTCTTAACTACTATCCTGCACTACTTCTCAAGTGGCAGAGCTATGTGTGAACTGTCAATCCATCCATAAATAGCTATATATCTATCTACTGCATTTTAGCAAATCTAAAATGCTGTCAAGTATAAGACAGCCTATTTCAGAAATGTTAAAATGTGGAAAACTGTTTTATCTTTAAATCAATGAAGTGTAGTATCCATCCATCCATCCATCCATCCATCCATCCATCCATCCATCCATTTTTCCTTCCCTTCCTTCCTCTTTGCATTTATCTGTCTAATCTATCATCTCTCTATTTAGAATATGTATATAGATCTAATATAATATCTAGAATACAAGATATATTCTTTAGTGAGAAAAAGCAAGGAGTAGAACAGTGGAACAGTTGTCCAATCTGCATATTTTTAAAAAGAATGTTTAAATAGATACATAGTATATGTGTATATTTTTCCTTAGAAGGATTTATAGAAAACTGTAAACAAAGGTTACCTTTGGAAAGAAGGACTAGGTGAAGGGTGAGTGGAAGGTGGGGGTGAGAGAAGGGGGACTTTTATTTTTTTTCTGCACTTTTTGAATTCTCCAACCTTATTCTACCCTCATTTTGATTTTTGGACCATTTGCTTCTTTGCTGTAGCAGAAGGTGTCGGAGCACTGCCCTGGTACCTTTCAACATATCTGTGAGCCCTGCCCCAGCTTCTGTGTATTTACCTTCCAATGGCTGCTTCGGCAATGGTCTTTGCAGGACCAATTGGAGCTGCTGGCTTCACTAGGTCTGCTGAGAGCTGGAAGTGCTTGGAGTTTAGGAACCCCCAGGATGGCTCTTAGCTGCAGAGTGATTGGTGAGTGAGAGTGAAAGCCCAGTTTCCTTGCCTCTGGTGGGAAAACGTCCCTCAGAGGATTCTACCCTGAATCACACCCTCGCTTGGCTTCTTGCCTTTCCCTGTTCTACTTCTTGCCACGCTGTAAGCAGTTTTTCTTGGAAGCCCTTCCTTAAGAAACCCCCGCTTGTTTGTCTGGGCGCTATGGCTCATGCCTATAATCCCAGCACTTTGGGAGGCTGAGGCAGGCAGATCACCTGAGGTCAGGAGTTCTAGACCAGCCTGGCCAGCATGGCAAAATGCTGTCTGTACTAAAAATAGAAAAATTAGCTGGGCGTGGTAGCAGGCACCTGTAATCCCAACCACTAGGGTGGCTGAGGTAGGAGAATTGCTTGAACCCAGGGGTTGGAGATTGTAGTGAGCTGAGATCTTGCCCACTGCACTCCAGCCTGGGCGACAGAGCAACACTCTGTCTCAAAAAAAAAAAGAAAAAGAAAAAGAAATCACTTGTTCATGGTCTTCTCAGCATCTTATTCTGAGACTTAAGACATTGTGACATTGTATTCCACTTTGAATTTATGGATATTTAAAAAGAAATCATGAATGTCATATGTATGTAAATAAAAGAAATAACATACTATAGAATCAAATGATACTGAGACACCAAGGAAACTGGCTTGTTCCTAAAACTCCAAGCTAGAACTGGCTTTCTTCCACTGGACATTCCTGTGTCTTATGGTCACAAGAATCTTTTTTAAAACCTGACTTCAGCCCCTGCTTTAGTAGTTTCAGTAAAAGGATACCTGCCCACCATCTTCATCACAGCCATTCATTTTCCTGTACTTACTTGAAGACCATTATTCGGCTACTCATAGCTAATGTATTACACAAGTTCTTAACAACTTCTGGGGCTCATTTTGACAAAACACAAACCATCAATTCTCAGTAAAAAAAAAAAAAAAGAAATTGTTTTCTCGAAGGGCAGTCTCAAGATGGAATTACTAATGGCTGTAAAGAACTGTGCCTACTTTAAAAGGGACTTGTATTGTGATTCCTCAGTAGCTGGCCTCAGTGGGCAAATGAATTACCAAAAAGCACTTTGCTCATAGATTGCAGTGGTGCCTCTGAGTCCAGAGTTCATTGTCAAATAAAGCATGTCATTTGGGTGCAGCATCTTTGCATTTTTAATCATGTTTGATCTTTCAGTCGCTCACTGGCAACAGGTCTGCTGGTTGTCAGTGTGAGCCAGCAAGGCTATGTTGCAAATGTTTAAGCTCCTCAGGCAGTTTATTTATGCTGGTAATATTCAAAGTATTTATTATCATCCTGTCTTTATCCTGAATGTGTGACTGCATTGAGAGCCATAAATTGCTCTAGATTTGAGTGGCTGTCGACAGCATGATTTTAACTGTAACATATTCTCTCTGTGTAAGTGTGTGTGTGTGTGTATACACAACTATATACATGGATATTTATTTTTACACCCACCAACAGGGTAATTTATAGCATAACACACATACACACTTACAAAAAAAGCCCTCTCCTGTCATCAATAGCGGAGTGTTTTCTCTTTGGTGTAGTGCTGGCTATTAGAGGAGAAAACGGTGTCTAAATCATTTATTTATGCAAGAGGAGTGTGAGGAGGTCTTGAGCAGGAAGCCATCCTCATTGGAGGCTGCTTCTGCTGCCGTCAGGGCATCTCCCAACAGCCCCTGAAAGAGGTTGCCAGATCCTCTGGACCACTGTGCCTTTGTCTGAAACCAGCCCACCATCTGCAAGATCCTGGGAACTAACTTGTTAGTAACTACTGATAGGGGGACACCAATTTTGAGAGGAGGTGTGTATACAATTGAATATGATAAAATAGTAAGCACTGCTTACCTTCCACTTCCCCTCCTTTTTACATATGTCTTTTTATGAGGACACTGTCCATTACTGATAGACTACGTTAGCATTCACTTTGCTTTTTTAAAGAGAGAAGAAGATTTAGAAAAGTGGGGCTTAACTGGGGATTGGACTGTTCTCATTCATACTGGCCCTCACATTATTCAGAGTTGACAATTTGTTAACACCTGACAGAAGACCTGAAATCTATTTTTTAGCTCATCAAGTTGGGTGCTGGGTGCCTCAGGTGTATTATATTGTTTCTGCATTTTGTTGTGTTCATGTTCTCTGTCCTGTAAGATGATAAGCTTCTGGACAGCTGGAATGATGCTTTGTATTTCACCTGTCTTTCCAAAGCATGTTGCATGTTCTAACAGAGTACTGGTTCATTGTTGATGTGAAATAAATACTTCTTAGTTGGAGTTCTTCCAAGGTAGTCATTTAGCTTATGCTTAGCCCAATCATAGGAAGTAATAATGGTCAGGCAGAAAGTTTTAGTTAAATGTTTATTAAGTAGCTGAGGGAATTAGTGTACATTATTAGCAAGGTTTTTATAATTTAACTTTTTCTTCTTTGAGTTGCTGATTTATGTAGCAAGATACTTTATTGAGCATACATTGGTGATTTTCATGTTTTTTTTTTCTCTTTAGCTGAGAAACCCTTCTTTACTGGGCTCCAATGTGGAGAAACAATATGTACAGGTGAAAAGGTTGTTGCTTTGTTTGAAACAGGGGTGAAAGATAAGGGGCCAGCTTGAGCAGTCTTTTCTTCATTGTTCCCTCTTCTCTCCTACTCTATTTTCCCAAACACTCCTAAACCAAATGGCCAGCAAAGGACCACTAGGGCTCCTCTGAATATAGTTTATAAACCATTTGTCTAAAAAGAGTCTTTGAGTGCATTATTACATTTGGTTCACTATTTTAAAAAACAGACGATTTTCTACAGCAAATTTAGTTTTACTGAAAAACTGAGCAGAAAGTACAGTACAGAGGTTTCCCACAAATCCCCTCCCTTTGCCCACAGTATTCATTATGGTTAACATCTTGCATTGGATTGACACATTTGTTATAATTGATTAACCAATATTGCTACACTATTGTTAACTGAAGTCATCCCTCGTTTACATTAGGACTCAATCTTTTGTCATAGTCCTGTGTGTTTGGACAAGTATGTAACATCATGTATCTCTCGTAGTATCATACAGAATAGTTTCACTCTCCTAAAAATGCCCCTGCTCCATATATTCATCCTATGGTTCAATATGTTTTAAGGTACATTAATGTTCAGAGGAGTGGTGGTAATGGAATGTGGTTTGATCCTATGGAAGTTTCGCTCTATCCTTTCATTACAGTTGGAAAAACTGCAGGTTTCTGTTCCCTAAAAGGGGAATCAGGATTTCAAATTACAATCATGATCCTGTTGTGATAACTCAGGAGACTACTGCAGCTTTTGTATTTTGGAAGAGTTGAAAATTTATCAGTGAGGCTAAATGCCAAGGTAAATTTAACTGGAGCGAGTGATGCCATGCTTATTTAGAATATGTTGTGACATATTTGAATCTAATGTGTATTAATATATAGGCAAAGGTTAATTTTGACTATTTTCATGTCCAAATCTAGACTTGTCCTTCCTTCACTGATTTGTAAATTCCGCTTTCCTTACTTTTGGGACCTGCCGTTGACTTTGGTGCATTGCTAATTATGCACACAATTTTAGAACAACACTGACAATGAATACAAAATATTAATAAACCAACAAGACAGCAGTTTTCAAGAATCACATTATGTACACTTACTGCCTAACTGACCTTTTCTGCAGTTACTTAAATCTTTTAAAAATCCATTTAATTTCAAAGCCAGAGTATTAGCCTATTTATATGTAAATTGTCTTTAATTCATGCATTGATTTAAAAGACTAATCCAAAAGATCTTTTACCACAAGTGACCTTTTTGACGCTACACTTCTGGGAAAACTGTGAAGTGGTTTCTTGGTGACCTCACATCCACCTGTGGTACAACACATGCCAACTCTGGTCTGTATAAATAACTCACAATTGTATAGTTTTAAACCAACATTGAATTATTAACAGTATAATTGTTTTAGTTACTATTTCCACAGGACCATTTACAGGGATGAATTTTTTTTTTCCTTCTGGTGTCTTTCTATTTTCATCCTCAACCAACAGATCTAATTAAAAGCTTTACTAAGAAATGTCTGTTATTCAAGGGACAGAGTCAGGTGTTTAATAGTTACTGTCTCCAAAGAACTTAGATGTCAGAGAAGCTTAAATTTACATTGCTGCCCACCATACAGACCTGAGAATCCAGAGAATCTTAGACTCTTAGGAAAGCAAACGGGGCAGGTTAACCTTGGTATTTTGTTTGTTTGTTTGTTTGAGATGGAGTCTCACTCTGTCGCCAGGCTGGAGTGCAGTGGCACAATCTTGGCTCACTGCAACCTCTGTCTCCTGGGTTCAAGTGATCCTCCTGCCTCAGCCTCCTGAGTAGCTGGGAGTACAGGTGTGCACCACCATGCGCAGCTAATTTTTTGTATTTTCAGTAGAGATAGGGTTTCATCATGTTGCCCAGGATGGTATCGATCTCTTGACCTCGTGATCTACCCGCCTTGGCCTCCCAAAATGCTGGGATTCAGGCTTGAGCCACAGCACCTGGCCAACCTTCGTATTCTTGTTGTGCTCTCTCTCTCCTCTGTCTCTCTCTCTCTCTCTCTCTCTCTATATATATATATATATATACACACACACACACATCTCTCTCTATATATACATATCTATATATACATATAGATATTCAACTCTCATCTCTCTCTCTATATATGTATATATTTTTTTTCAACTCTCAGTTTTCTGCCTGTGTTTAGTTTACCTTAGGGAATGTCTTTAGCCAGTGTTTCACAACAAATTATCTTTCTTCTGGGGATACATATATTTTGGAATTGTCTAGTCCCTGTTGGTGGTGGCTGAAATGCAAAGCATTTTAGTTTCAATTTTAGCCTATGTAAAACATTTGAAGTAAAATTGAATGTGCCATATATAATATATATTTATATTTGTGTATCTATTATTTCTCTGTCAGGATTTTTACCTGAGGTACACGATAGGAGGCCACAAATGCCCAGAATCTTATGCAAATGTGTATGTGTATACATGTATTTATTTGCATGAAGTGTCACCACACTGAACAATTCTATGGAGTAGGAATATTCACTTAGGCTATACTGTGAATGTCAACACCCTGTCTCCTGCCCTGGAGATGCATAGCACAGGGCTGTATATATGTACATACCTCCCTTTGTGGCAACCCTCAGCCCCTAGTATCCACGTCTTCCTTAAATTTTTACAACAGGTGTATAACACCAAAATGGTTAAAAACTACTAAACATACATATATACACATGTGCATGTATACACACAAATATGTAAAATATATATACACATATACATTCTATGTATATATATAGTTGATCCTGATTTTTCATAGGAAATTGTTGTATAAAGTCTCCACAAACGCTGAATTAGCAAATAATGAACCATTGCCCCTAGGGGAAATCCAGGGTTGAGTTCCTGAGAGCCTCTGATTACAATATTTTTTTTGTTTTTAAGAGATAGGGTCTCACTCTGTTGCCCAGGCTGGAGTGCAGTGGTGCAATCATAGTGCACTGCAGTTCGAACTCCTGGGCTCAAGTAATCCTCCCACCTTAGCTTCCCGAGAAACCAGAACTACAGGCACGTGCTACTGGCTGTTTCTTCACAACATTTTTGTTAATTGATTAATATGTAAACTTTTTAAATGTTTACTTTTATTTAAAGATGCCTTATTTAACATATAGCTAATTCATTAACACTGAAGTCATGGGACACAGCCTGAGCTGTTTAACCTGAGCCTGAATGAAGCTTCTATCACTCATGTTTCCTCTGTAAGGCACATCATATTCTTCTTGTACTCAGGAACAAGAGACAGCACTTCAGCACTGTTCTTTTGGGGCCATTATGTACAAAAATGCAAAAGAAAACCCACCCCAACAACCTGGCATTTAATAGATCAGAAAAAGACCCTTGTTTACAGTATGAGAGATGGAGCAAGAAGGTGGAGCTTTGCTTTGTTCTGCTTCACTTGGGGAATGTACATGTTGGGTGACAAATTTTTCACTTCTCTGTGATGCCCAAAAATGACCACAGAAATGTGGCAAGTATCGATGTTGAGGTTACAAATGCATTTTATTGAGTGGGCAAATTCACAAACACAGAATGCACAAAGAATGGATGCCAACCTTATACACATTTATGTTCACTTACCTGTTTCATGCAAGGCATATGCAAGTGTTGGTGATTTTGGGGTGAACAGGCAGACAGGAACACTGCCTTCATGGAGCTTGCTTGCATACTGACACTGGACACAGATGTTAAACAATTAATTACCCAAATAATTACCTAATTACAACAGTGATCCCTGTTCTAGTGGAAGGGTATCAGACACTATTAGAGCATGTGACAGAGTATCCAGCCCAGGATGAGGGGTCCAGGAGAGCTTCTCTGAGGATGTAACATTTGAGCAGTGCTCAGAAGGATGGATAAATATGCAGGAAAACATCTGTATGTGTAAAAAGCTGGAGCAGGGATTTTATGCTAATTTGTTTTCCAATCCCTTGCTCTTCTCTTCTAGGTAAAGTTGGTAGCATGTATATAAATATATTTTTTCTAATATGATAAAAATTTCTCTTTATACCCACATGGGTCATTACTTGGAAGCTGCTGCTCTCTATCCCTTCCTTGGGAATTGTAGCTAGAAGAAGCTGACAAAATAATATATCACACAATAAGGAGTAAAATATTTAAGGATGGAGACACCCTTTCTCCTGGCCAACTTCTGTTTTGTTTTTTTTTTTTTCTTTTTGTCTTATTTCCCTCTTTCCTGCTTCTTTTCCTCCCTTTCTTCTTTTAATTTGCCTTCCTCCCTTTCTTCTTTTAATTTAACTCACTAGATTGAATTGAAACACAAGTTTTATCTTCTTTTATATACTCAGATTTAGTCATATATGGATGTGGCTTTTGATCAAATAGGAAAATCAGCCCATTCATTCATTCATTCTTCATTCACAAGTATTTCTCAGATCCCTACTTTGTGACAGGCCCTGTGCAAAGCACTGGTGAAATACAAAGATGAAAAAGACATATACCTATTCATGCTTATCTTCTCTTAGATTTGTCTGAAACACCACTAAACTTTTTAGATGATAATTATAATTATATATAAAAGTTAATTAGACACTTATTCCATGCCAAGGACTGTGATAGCATTTTACATGCATTATCTTCACAAGGTTCCTGTGAGGTACGTTTTAGGATTATCTCCATTTTAGAGATGAAGTAACAGACTCAGGTAGGGTGAAATAACTTATTTGAGGACAGGTATTGCTAAGTAGCCGAGCTAGCATTTGAACCATCTCCATTCTTAAGCATATTACACTGCAGTGCTTCCTGAAATCCTTATGAGTGACTTAATAACTTTCAAAATTTTGTTTTAAGATATCAACTAAAGCAAGATTATAAAACTTAAAAGATTTTTTCATTTCCATAAGTTACTTATTGGTTATGGCCTTTTTTCTTAGTTTCTTGCCAGAAAATGCCCATTGCCTCTCCATGCCATCTTCCCAGTTTTATAAATGAGAACATTTAGGCACCAAGTAGTTAAGCAACTTGGCTAAGTTCAAGTTGTTAGGAAGAAGGACGCCTGGGACTTCAGCCCAGGGCTGTCTCATTTTTTACTATCAATTTCTAAAAATTAGGCTTTTAAAAAAATATTGCTTTTTTATTCTGATTTCAATACTAATTCACACTGAATGTAGGAAAGTTAGAAAACTTATACACATGAATAACAAAACATGCAGACATTGGATTCTTCTGTCTTTATCTCTGTAGATAATCTCTTTGTTACTAATCTTGAAAAGTACTCTCTCTGTGTGTGTGTGTGTGTGTGTGTGTGTGTGTGTGTGTGTCTTCTGTTTGTTGCATTTGAGTTAGCTTTATTTCTAGCATGAAGCTGTTTGCTCCTGGAGGGAAGGAATGATTTCATTTAATTCTCTGTCTCCTACAGCACCCATCTTCTTACTAAGAATATGGTTGGTTTTCAGCAAATACTTGTTGCTTTAAGTGGAATTGAAATCACTTACTGCCCAGGATACTCTTTTTGCCACCACAGGATGCAGCAATACAATCCCAGAGGCCCAAGTCAGACAGGGAATCTTGGTTTTATGTCAATTTCAAATTTTGCCCCCTGTGCCTGGGGAATAGCTCAATTGCTGTCTTTTTCTCTGGGATAAAACTTAGAGGACACCAAGGTCAACTTTCAGACACAGCAGAGAGCCAGGCTGCAATAGTAAATAAACCCTCTGCAAGTCCATGGCTAATATCAGTACAGTGAATGTTGGCAAAATGAATCCAGAGGCACTTCTCTTCGTGGGAGTTTAATATACTCTTTGCCTGTGGCATGGTAAATGGGCCCATGGACTTCCACCGGTCTGCAGATTCTATCACCACAACAGACCACTCCTATTGTTACATTTTCTATTGTCACCAAAGATCTTAATCACCACAGCCAAGGGCTAGTCTCAGTCATCACTTTCAGACCTACTCCTTCTTCTTAAAATTATCCTTTTGGCCTCTGGACTATAACTCTGTCTCTGCTTCTTACCTTTGCAACTGTTATTTCTTTATCCCATTTTTCTTATCAAGAATTCTAGCTTTAGTTATCTGCTCTGTGAGGAAAACACCTGAGTCCATTCCAGTTACACCTCTGGCTTCTGTTCAGATCCCCATCTTTCTGGTGGACAGGGGCTGGTAGGGGCTCTTACCTCCCTGTGTTTGTCCATTTGGGCTGCTAAAACAAGACACCTTAAACCAGGTGGCTCATAAACAACAGAAATGTCTGTCTCACAATGCTGGAGGCTGTGAAGTCCAGATCCGGTGTCTAATGAGTGCCCATTTTCTGGTTAATAGAGGATGCCTTCTTGCTGTGTCCTCACATGGTGAAGGGGTAGAATTCTGGTCTTTTCAGCCCCTTATAAGGGCACTAATCCCATTCACAAGGGTTCCACCCTCATGTCCTAATCACCTCTCAAAGGCCCTACTTCCTCATGCCATCACATTGGGATTAGATTTCAACATATAAATTTTGTGAGGGACACAAACATTCAGTCCATAACCTCCCCTAGGCTTTAAGAGATGAGGGGAAGAAACATTTATCAGAGCCTGGAAGGAGGCCAAGTACTGTGGCTCATGCCTGTAATCCCAGAATTTTGGGAGGCCGAAGCAGACAGATCATTTGAGGCCAGGCATTCAAGATCAGCCTGGCCAACATGGCAAAACCCCATCTCTACTAAAAGGACAAAAATTAGCTGAGTGTGGTGGGGCACGCCTGTAGTCCCAGCTACTCAGCAGGCTGAGGCAGGGGATCACTTGAGCTTGGGAGGCAGAGGCTGCAGTCAGCTGAGATTGTGCCACTGCACCCCAGCCTGGGTGACAGAGTGAGACTCCATCTCAAAAAAAAAAAAAAAGAACCTGGAAGGAAAAAGATCTGGGTAGAGCAGGTCACCTGAGAACAGCCTTCATTTTCAGAGGATGGACACAGCTGTCCGGGGCCTCTTACAGGTTGCTCCCAATCCTGGAATGATGTAACTCTCACCAGGGCTTCCCGTGGACAGAATGCAATTAGAAGCTAGAGGGTGCAGGAGCCTATTGGCAGGTCTATATTGATCACCCTCCCAGGAAGAGTCAGGATGAAGAAAGATGGGGAGGGGATCTGGATGGATGAGCAGAGGACATTCATAACAACCACTGGGACTGATGGGCAGTTCACGACCTGCCAAAGAGTCACTGAATATTAAACTCCTGAGGCCAGGGGTGATATGTCTGTTTGAAGAAAAGTCCATAGTGCTTTTATTCTTTTGTAAAATATTAAGGAAATCACTGTACTTTGGGGTCATTAAGTAATTTGACTATGATTAAATATCCGGGAGAAAGGGGCATTGGGATTAGAACCTAGTCTTCTGAGCCCTTGCCTTGTTTGCTCTCCCCAGAGCCTGTGTGCTCCCCTGTGGGTTCTGTTAAAGAGCCACACCTGCATCATCATCTCCATTTTCTTTGTTTTCAAACCTTATGAAAGAGACAACTGTTGATGAAATTTTATTTTAAAACCATTAGTCCCCCTTTTTACACAGATGAATCATTAAATAACCAATTAGTTATAGAAGTGATTTATCAGGAAATATAGGGCTTTTTCCTTAAAATTCATTTCCCCACACTCAGGTATAAACAGAGAATTACACACTGGGACAATTTTTACAAAATTAAAAAATCACAAGTACACTGTTACAGTAAACCAGGGCCTCATCAATCACTATTTAAGAAAACCTTGGCCTTGTTCTTTATCCACTGACAAACAAATTTCTATTTCTTCTGGCTTCCTCTTATCTCCTTTGTGGGCATCTGTAGCATGTAAGGCCTTACTCCTCTGACCTCTGACTACAGACTGTGGGCTATGTTAAACTTCCATTAACTTATCGTTGTTCAATGCAAAAAGCCACACTGGTGTTCCTTGGCTCTCTCTCTAATGACCTATTGAAGGCCCTGCTATGGTTTGAATGTATGTGTCACCCATCCCCCAGACAAATTCGTATGTTGGAACATAAGACCCAGTGAGAGCCTGGGCAACATGGCGAAACTGTTTCTACAAAAAAAAAAATGCAAAAATTAGCTGGTGGCGCACTCCTGTAGTTCCAGCTACTTAGGAGGCTGAGACAGGAAAATCACTTGAGTCTGGGGAAGTTGAGGCTGCAGTGAGCTGACATTGTGCCACTACACATCAGCCTGGGCAACAGGGGGAGACCTTGTCAAAACAACAACAACAAAAAACAACCCAGTGTGATAATATTAGGAGGTGGAGCCTTTGAGGTG
The DNA here is from genome assembly GCF_000001405.40 of Homo sapiens. NCBI lineage: Eukaryota > Metazoa > Chordata > Mammalia > Primates > Hominidae > Homo > Homo sapiens. The sequence goes on along the minus strand of NC_000003.12, from coordinate 60,782,940 downwards.
ATTAGGTCATGAGGACAGAGCCGTCATGAATGGGATTGGTGCCCTTTTAAAAGGGCTTGGGGGAACTAGCTAGGCCCTTTATGCCTGTTTACCCTTCTGCCTTCGTCCACGTGAGGATACAGAAACAATGTACTGTCTTGGAAGCAGAGAGCAAGACTTCACCAGACACTTAATCTACTGGCACCTTGACCTTGGACTTCCCAGCCTCCAGAGCTGTGAGAATTAAATTTCTATTATTTATAAAATACACAGTTTGTGGTATTTTTTATAGCAGCATGAATGGAATAAGACAGGCCCACAGGGGAAAAGTGTGGCCAGTGCTTTGGTATTCATCTCCTTGCTGTTTTGTTCTGTTCTTCTTATAGCCTTACTTAAGGGCCGAAAGAAAAGGAACTTGTTGCTAGAGAGAGTGTGTCAGGGATAGCATCAAGCATTGTAACTGGCTTCTCTCAAAAAAGATAGGGTTAATTTTTCCACTGTAATGATAGTCCCTTAATACCCTCATCTGGTCCTTGCCTCACAGCCATGTTCTTGGATTTCCCTTGAACCAGCTCTGTACAAATTTACATTCCCATCAGTAGTGAACAAGGGTTCCCCTTTCTCCATATCCTTGCCAAGACTTGTCTTTCATCTTTTTATTATTGCCATTTTAATAGGTGTGAGATGAAATGGATAAAGAAAATGTGATATATATATATATATACACACACACACACACACAATGAAATATTCTTCAGCCTTAAAAATGAGGAAATTTTGCCATTTTTGACCACATGGGTGGACCAAGCAGACATTATGCTAAGTCAGCTAAGCTAGCAAAGAAAAACAAATACCATATGTTCTCACTTACAAGTGGAATCTAAAACAATCAAACTCATAGAAGCAGAGAGTAGAATGGTGGTTCCCAGAGGCTGGGAGTAGGGGAAATGGGGAGATATTGGTCAAAGGGTACAATGATTCAGTTAGGAGAATCGATGGTAGGTATTTGAGGTGATGGCTATGTTAATTAGCTTGATTTAATCATTCCAGACTGTATACATATATCATAGTATCACTTTGTACTTCATAAAGATATACAACTATAATTTGTCTATATTCAATAAAATGAAAAAAATGAAATAATTTCTGAACAAAGTGATACAAGTGATTTACTACCATTGGTGTCCTACCTCTTTCATTTTTCAGCCAAGTGGTACTTCTTGTTATTTTATTTGTAGAAGACCTTAAGCTTCCCTAAAAGGCTTCAAAGTATTTTATATTGTGATATTTTCACAATAGACTTAGCAAAGTAGAGAGAGCTAGCAATAGGATATGTACTTTGAACATGGGGAGATTGGGACCTAGAGAGGTCAAGTGACTATAAATGTATCCAATTTTAAGTTGAAAAATAGTGAAGAACTGCAGGTTGATGGGACCATTTCCAGTGATTCATTATTTCTCCCTTTTCTATTTTTTTTAAAATATTAACCTCCTTACTAATCTCTTTCCTCAGGACTTGATATGCCATTTGTCCTATATTGTCAATGGTTTTCTTTGGGTCTATAGTTTCTTCATGAGTGTCCATTTGTGTGCTTCTTGACTGGTGCAGAAATAGTCTTCTAGTTTTTCTGTGTGCCTTTGGGTTCCCAGTATAGCATAGTTTTTGGCATATGGTAAGCTCATTGGTAAAAGAATAGTTTAATGAGTCAATAAGTGAATCTAGCACGTGTAGATGCTAAAGCTTGAAAGTCAGCAACACTACTATTTTTTAAAGTATTAAACTATTGAAAATGGGCTAACGTGTGCATTCTCCACTTATGTGCTTTGGCCTTCTCCCTCCTGGAGAATGGAGGTGCACTGGAAACAATTGTTAGTTGTTGGAGGTGTTGCAGGACTTTTCCTTAGTTCAGCTAAAGAGAGGGTCCTTGTCTGTCCCATGGCCAAGAAAATTTAGGCTCGCAGACTGTTGGAGAGGGTGAGCAAGGTTTTATTGGGTGAAAAAGAAGACAAAGGGGGAACCGGGAGCCTCTGCAAGGCTAGAGTCCCTGATAGAGCACTTCCTGCCCACAGCTTGAATTCCAGGTTCCACACAGGAAAAGGAGGGACCAGGCTCCTCCCCAGTGCAAACATGGTGAACTTTCTGAGGCTCTACTCTAGTGCACAGGCTGACTGGAGGTTTTTCGGGGACCCCCTCCCACCTAGCTGTCTCATTCCTCCCTCTAAAGAGGTACATCCAGCTGCCGTTTAGATTAAGGATAAGGATGAAGACTGACCTTAACTGCTTCCTGCTGAGAGGGGGCGCTGTTTTGGGGAAACGGCAGAGGCCCATCTAAGGGTTCACAGCAGAAAGGGCCATTGTCAGAGGCTCTGCTTGCATGATTGTTTAGAGTTTAATGGCCTGAAGGCAAGAACAGACAAACCAGGTTATTAGAAACTATGTATCAAAACGAAATGAAGGGAGGGTAAGGACAGCTCAAAGATCCTGAGGCCTTTTGCCAGTTTGCACACGTAGAGGGAGGCCAAAAGCCTGACTGGCAAAAAAAACTTTACCCTTTTGCTGGCACGTTGGGCTTCTGGGTCCCCTTCCCCTGAGCCCAATCCTAAGCTAACCAGTTTAAGGTTTGGGAAACCAACTCTTTCTAGTTTGGAGGATGCATCTGAGGAGAGTGCCTTGTAGTATGGAGACACAATTACCTATTAGTGAAGAGAGAACAGAGGAGAAGAAAGGCAAAAAGAAGGTGCCTTTTAAAGGAGTCCCAGAGGTTCAGGATGCATTTGAAAGGGATACAGACTGAAGATGAATGGCTACCCATCTAGAAAGAGGGGAGCAGGCATACCTGGTTCCCTTTTCTTCCAGCAGATACCTTAGGTATGTGAGGTAGAGAGGGAAGAGCATCCTCTTTCCATCTTCTATCCTTGCATCCCCAAGTTCCAGTGACCTTGGTAGGTGCCACCATGGGTGTTAAAGCAACTTGCACCCATGAAGCAGGGGGGCCTAGGGGTGGGAATCATCCGCTCTTACCCACGTATGCCCTATCTCCCCTGCTGTCAGTAGCCTTGGAGTTCCGTAGACCTCATTTATGCCATGGATATTAACGTGGCCTTTATCCATGAAACAGGAAGTTTGGGGTTGGCTTAATCAGCAGGAATCAGTCACGCTCACCTGTGCTGTGCCTTTTAACTTCTGTTGTCATTTGCCTCTGGATCCCTAAGATCCGATTTTCCTTCCTAAGGCTTTGATGTGAAGCTTGGAATTCAGTCTGGGACAAAAATGTATCTCGGATGGGGCATTGCATGGCCTCCTTATCATAAGACAAATGCTAAAGTGAAGCTGTGGAACCCAGTTCTCCTCCAACAAGAGAGAGAAAAGGATGTCTTGTGACACACCCAGATAACTGGTAGCTATAGTTATGCTTGCCAGGATTTGGATACGTGATGCTTGGCTTTGGTTAGTTCACTTGGTCTTACTTTCCCAAAAAGGAAACCTCCTGGTAATGGGCACCCTATTTATTCCATCACCTGGCAGGGTTTGCAGGATAATTGTTCAGAGCTAGAATATTGATCCATATTTCTACATTACCCATCCCTCCTGTTCTTTCTGAGCTGCAGCTGGAGATTGCTGCTTGGTTCACAGGAGCAAGCAGGGTTGGTCTAAAAGGTAGATGAAAACTTAAAAACAACTAATGAGTTTAGCATTTAATGACAAATGTATGGCAAATTTTGGAACATAATTTCTGTCTCTCCAGTCCTCATTTTTGTTAAAAAAATTATGGTAGGACTGAGTGCTTTGCAAAATAGACTTTAGTCTTACACTTGGCCTGATTATTTGCATAAAGTGCAGCAAGAATAACTATTTCTACATAGGCTTTTTGGATTGGCACTGATGGAAATGTTTTCCACAAGGAATCACAGATAAGACCTTTTAAAGCTGAGCCTAGCCATGGGTTTGCATCCTCAAATACCTGTGAGTTGGGTGATCCTCTCCTCTTAAGGTCCCACAATAAACTTGGAGCTCTTGGACCTGCTAGAAAGTGACATTCTTTACTGACCACAGGTCAGGAACCCTGTACAGGGACTGCATAGACAACAGTATGAGGCCAGTTTCCCCATGGGGCTTTTATTGGCTCTGCAAGTTGAGCTTGACTCCTTAAAGGGAAGCATACCATTCCAGTCAAAACCTTGGTAAAATAACTACTTTCTCCAAATGTGTCCTGCTGCAAAAGAAAAATGGATTCTTATTGGCACTGATGCAAACAACTATATTGCCATAACAATATTCACAGATAGTTTCCAAATTCTAGAGGAACCAGGCAGAGAGAAACAAACACGCTTCAAACTTTGTTCATAGGAGTATACCTTACTCAATTGTTAAAGGCTGTAAATAGTTCAAAATAAGTTTCCTTGACTCTGAAAAATGAAACATGGATTAGCAATATTCCAAGCAAAAGTCAAAAAGGTTGCTTCAGCTTCCTGAGTTCAGTCCATTTGGCTAACTCTTGTTTTGCTTGATAATCATGAGCATTTCAGCTTTTGAGTCCTGTACATTTTCCTGTATTTCAGTGTCACAATATCCAAAGTTATCAGAAGCCTGTATTTGAAAGCACCTGTCAAAGTCCTATAGCTTATTATAAACCATCTTCTGAAAAAGAATTAAAGCAACAATTGTCTGTGAATAGCAAAATTTCCAGGGTAGTTACAATTAGAAACACGACTGACAAAGAAGTTTAGTTATCTCCGTGGTTTACTATAACTTAACATAAAAACCTTAATTATGGTTGATAGCATATACTCAGACATTAGAATTTTAGAAATCCCATACAATTTTGGAACATATATTGGCATTATTCACCCAGCTATAACCTAAAGAAGATTGAGCATCATTTTGGCAATCCCATGTACCTAAACATGTCAAATAATTCTGTTTACCTCTCTTAGTTCTGGACACATCGGGGGCCCTCTGAAGTATTTGAAAAGCCATGTACCAGGGAAGACGATTTTGAAACTGAAGTTTGACTTTGGGAAGGCTGTTAAATGTTCAAGGTTTAAAACACTTGATGTTATGAAACGGAATTCCAGATTACTGAGGACTAAGCTCTGATTTTTTTTTAATATTGCCCAAATTCCTATCTAAGGAGCCTGGGGAGTCATGGCTTACAAACCATAAATTTTCATCAGATGGGTTTTATTTAACCCTGTATATCGTGACTTACTTTCCAATCTGACTGTGGCATAACAAGGAAAAAAATCAAAATGTTTTACCTCAAAATATATTTCCTTGCCATACCTTGAAGTTGCCCTGCAACGTCTCTTGTGGGAAAAATCCACATTTTATAGAGAATCCCCTTCCCCCTTTGTTTTCATTCCTTTCTCTCCAGATCCAGGAGATAATCAACTAAGAGCCAGGCACCCTTTTAGGTCTGATAAGAAGCATTTTATAACCTGCTCTCTCTTAAGTCTGCTATCTGAGAGCTTCCTCTGCACAATAAAATTTGGTCTCCACAATCCTTTATCTTAACCTGAACATTTCCTTTCTATTGATCCCAGGTCTTCAGATAAACTCAACCGTCATCCAGAAAAATGTTTAAATTTACCTATAGCCTGGAAGGCTCCGCTTTGAGTTGTCCTGCCTTTCTGAACCAAACCAATGCATTTCTTAAATATATTTGAAGTCTCATGCTTTCCTAAAATATATCAAACCAAGCTATACCCTGACCACCTTGGGCACATGTTCTCAGGACCTTCTGAGGGCTGTGTCACGGGCCATGGTCACTCATATGTGGCTCACAATAAGTCTGTAAAAATATTTTACAGAATTTGACTCCTTTTGTCAACATTACCAAAAGTTATTTATTTTGTCAAAATGATGACTCAGAAATTTTGAAGAAGCGAAAACCTTTTATAACCCTTTACAAATTTTGCCAAAGAGCAGATTAAGATTAGCACCTTAGGAAAACCTCGTTATGCTTTTACTTCAACGCTCAATTTACAGAAAAACCATATAATACCCTTGGTTGAATGTAGTCAGTATGTTCACACAGAGAACCTCTTCTGCAAGATTAATTTCCACAATTCTTCCACCACTTCTTGGAACCTTCAGCTTTTTCCTAATGTAACTCAAAACAATCCTTAACCCTAGGCAAAAGTTTACATTTCCATGACTTCTTATAACCTTTTACTGAAAAACACATTTTACTGTTCTCATACACCTTGCATGTAAATCTATTTCTAGTGGATTCAATTAACTCCTAGCAATTTTTAACTGTAAACTAAAACTTGTTAAGTTGCTTTAATTGTGTGCTAACTGCAGCCAAGGTTTGCCTTCTTAGTTAAGGGTGCGGTTAGTTCCGTGTGTCCCCAGGCCTTACCAGTTGTGAAGCTGGCAAGTCAATATAGTTCTGAAAACCCAAAAAGCAGTTTGTAACCTCAAAACACTTAGCAAACCTTGCATCTGACCTGCATTATTTAGCCTACCTATTTACATTTTGATAATACCTGCATTTGACCAATAGTTTTTAAGACTGTTTCTATTTCTTAAAGATTAAAGTCATGTGAACTGAAAGGTACCAGACTTTATCTTCCCTTTAAAAAATATTAGATTCAAGCACTTGTCTTTCTTTAGGCTGTATTAATTAGAGTTCTCTTGACAAACATTACGTACAGTACACACACAGGCAGGCAGAAGAAAACCCAGTTGCTGGGTGGGGCCCTTTAAGAGAAAGGGCTAGGAAAACATGCAGACATTGAATCTTACAGGGTTCATCCTCTCAAGGCTTTGCTAAACAAATCCTTGCCACAATTACCAGCCATGCCCTCAGGATATAAAACAAGATGGAGGCTTGATTTCACAACCGAAACTTTGCAGAGAATACACTGACAGTTGTTGGGGGTGGGTGGAGGCTAGCCTAGTACAACATCTTCTAAAAGAAAAAAAAATTTAAGTTAACTTGCTGATGGGGTAGAGAAGGGGAAAGAAAAGAAACAGTTTAAAAGTGCCTGAGGAAGAACCTCATATTTCTTTGCAAGTGGTTCCTCCACCAGGGAGACAAATTTAAGCTTAATTACTGTCTGATAGAGTTACATCCCTTGGCCAGGGAAGGGGAAGGCTGGGACAGCCAGGAGTGACGGGGAACCAGCCAGCAGGCTGTGCAGGACACTTAGGCCATGTGTCCCAGCCCCGGCATGGAGTGAGGAGCAGTGGGCAGCTGCTGCTCGCCGGTCCATCCCAAAAAAGGAAGGAAAAGGCCACGGGGATGAGAAGACTCAGAAGGGAGAGGGAAAAAGAATTATTGGTTTGCATCTCACTTACCCCTTCTCGAGTCCCCACGTTGGGCGCCAAAAATATTGCAGGACTTTTCCATAGTTCAGTTAAAGACAGGGTACTTGTCCGTCCCACAGCCACGAAAATTTAGGTTCACAGACCGATGGAGAGGGTGAGCAGGGTTTTATTGGGTGAAAAAGAAGTAAAGGGGAAAGAGGGAGTCTCCCAAGGCTTGAGTCCCTGATAGAGCACTTCCCGCCCACAGCTTGAATCCCAGGTTCCACACAGGAAAAGGAAGGGCCAGGCTCCTCCCCGCTGCAAACATGATGAAATTCCCGAGGCTCCACCCCGGTGCACAGGCCAGTTGGAGGTCTTCTGGGGACCCCTCCTCACCTGGCTGTCTCACAGGCTGGAGACTTGGGTGGTTGTCCCTGCTCCTTCAATTTTTACCTGGTGTTTACAGGTGGAGATGTGAGTTTACCATTTGTACTGAGCTTTGGTTTCTTCCTCTATCAGGGGCATTTAAACATTCCTTATTTAAAAGCCAACATACACTCTATTCATTTCAAATGGTGATCTTACTTAGATGTGTTTTTTTAAAAAACTAATATGAAAGGAGCTGCACTGGTTGAAACAATGTCATGAATTTGGTCTGCATTAACACAGTTTGGAAACCACTGCTTTATAAAGATGGGCATAGTAATACAGTAGTTCCCCATTATCTGCTGTTTCAAAGTTTTAGTTACCTGTGGTCAACTCGATCTAAAAATGTTAAATGGAAAATTCCAGAAATAAGCAATTTGTAAGTTTTAAAATGCATGCCATTTTGAGCAGCACAGTGAAATCTGAGCTGCCCTGCTCTGCCCTTCCCAGTGTATGAATCATCCCATGTATCTGTGATGTCTGTGCTGCTTGCCCGTTAGTGACATTATAGCTAGCTCTGTGATCAGATCCACTGTTGCAGTATCACAGTGCTTATATTCAAGGAACCCTTATTTTACTTACTAATGATTCCAAAGCACAAAAGTAGTGATGCTGGCATCTACTTTATTATTAGTTATTGTTGTTCATCTCTAACTGTGCCTAATTTATAAATTAAATTTTGGCCAAGCACAGTGGCTCATGCCTGTAATCCCACTCTTTGGGAGGTCAAGGTGGGCAGATCACTTGAGGTCAGGAGTTCGAGACCAGCCTGGTCAACATGGTGAAACCCCATCTCTACTAAAAATACAAAAATTAGCCAGGCGTGGTGGCAGGTGCCTGTAATCCCAACTACTCGGGAGGCTGAGGCAGGACAATTGCATGAACGCGAGAGGCAGAGGTTGCAGTGAGCTGAGATCACACCATTGCACCCCAGCCTGGGCAACAAGAATGGAACTCCATCTCAAAAAGAATAAATTAATTAAATTTTATCATAAATATGTATATATAGGGAAAAAACAGTATGTATAGGGTTTAGGACTATACAGGATTTCAGGCATCCACTGGGATTCTTGGAACATATTCCCTGTGCACAAGAGGGAACTACTATATCTACTCTGTCCAGTTCTCAAGTCTGTTAAGTATCAAATGGAATAAGGCATGTGAAACCATTTTATAAAATTTACTTTGTTCTATCCATTATGATGTCATCATGAAGATAATTTTGCCATTTTCGTATCTTCCTTAAGCTCATCCATCAAAGGTGTAACCCCAAATCCAGACTGAAAATTTTAAATCCTTAAAATGAGTAGCCCATCCAGTAGGAATGTTTTAATTCTATAGAAGAAATGAGTTGAGAAACACTTGGAAAAATACTAATCAAGAAGATGATTAAAGGCAAAATGATGGTCCAGCTTTATGAAAGAAGGTGGTATTAAGCCAGAAATCAGACTGGTATTGTTTGGCATGAATTAAACTTATAATAAGTCACAATAATTTCTCTGTAGCTATATAGTCTGGGAAACTGTAATCTAGTTCCCAAGTGAATAAACTATAAGGCCAAAGGGCAAATAGTTTAACAAAAGGGAATCAGATGATTATCTTGTAAGCTAGAAGAGCAAAGATACTGTGGCTTAATTACATAGCTTGGTAGGAAGCTCTAGTTACAACCAAAGTCTTAAAGTAGTTGTCTGGTCATTTGCAAGATACTGGAATGGTTTAACTTATGAGAAGAGAGAAGACATAGAAAAAAAACAGAAATTCTGTAATGGCTCATAAATTGTTGCTAGGGGAAAACACCAGGGAAAATGATTTAATATTGTGATTATAAAGACTAATGCAATGAACAAGGAATGTTTCATTAGTGATCAAGAAAATTGCATTGACGGGTATCAGATACCCATATGATTATGGAGATGAAGTCTAGGGAGATGTTTGGGCTTAATTGGGTACAGAGCTACAGGGTACACTAATAAATAAATATTCTTGGTTTTGACCTTGGGATAACTGTTGCGTTTTAACTGTTTCGATGTGTCTTTGATTTTGACCATGATTGTGCAGATCGTAACCCTTAAATTCTATTTTTTTTGCCTAGAATATTTGAGTAAAGTCTGACTCTTTGCAGCCTTGAAATTCTGTGACCACCCAGTGGGTTCTTCCTGCCTGCTACACAAACAGAGACCATGGAATTGCAGTAAAGAAAGAGTTTAGTTGACAGAAGGCTAGCCACACCATGCCGGAGATGGAGTTATTATTCAAATCAATCTCATAGAAGGCTTGTAGGTTAGGGGCTTTTCAAAGGTAGTTTGGGCGAAGGCGTAGGGATGGCTATGCAATGGGTGTTTGCTGCCGATTGGCTGGGTTGGAGATTTAATCATAGGGAGTTGAAGCTGTCCTCTTACACTGAGTTGCTTCTGGCCAGAGGAACCATCAGTTGGTGGGTCCAAGTAGAGCCATGGGTGCCAGACATGCAAAAAACCTGAAACAGTATCTCAAAAGGCCAATCTACAATAGTGATGTTGCCTGCAGGAGTAATTAGGGAAGTTGCAAATCTTGTGATCTCTGGAATAATGGCTGGCAATTGTTCATGTCTGTACCTTAGCAGCATCCAGGCATCTCTCCTTCCCTCAGTTGGTCCCTCATTAGCTTTACAAAGGCAGTTGAGTTGGGGGGAAGGGTTATTATCATTTAAACTGTAAAGTAAATGTCTCCCAAAGCTAGCTTGGCAGCTTGAATGCTAAAGACAGGAGGCAGATGGGCTAGATCAGATCTCCCCGACTGTCATAATTTTCTCATTGATACAACATTTATAAAGATGATGTCAATTCCCCTATTATTTTTCCATGAAACCACACAGGTAACTTGGTATTCGTATTCTGGTTAGTGACTTTACCTACTCAGATTTTGATTATGCCTCTATGATGTCAAATATATATATATATATATATATATATATATATATATATATAGATGAGAAGTGAACAATCTACTTAATCTATCATCTGGATGTTTCATTTCTATCTCAGTGATAATCTGGATGCTTCTGCATATCAGACTACTCATCAAAGTCCTGTGTGCACATCATGGGGGCAAAACCATTCCAAATTCCAACTGCAACTTTTTTTTTTTCTTCTGAAGAATGCAGCTTCCAGGCCACAGATAGTCATGGCAGAGTCTAGACATATTTATTGGTTCAACTTTAGTTTATAGCAGAAATCTTTGTCAATCATTGTACACCACCTTTGTTCTTCTCTTTCCAACACTTTTAAGAACCTGTCAGCAGTGCCAGTGCTAATCTGCTGTTGCCTGGATTGGGCACTCCTCTGAGTTTCCTGCAGAAGAGAGCCAAAATTGTGTCTGAGATTTTCAGCTTGATGACATCTTGGCTTAATAAAAATTCTTGAAGAAGAGAATGTGAATTTTTTTAAAGTTCCAGGCTGGTGAAAATGAACAATTTTGCATAAGAAATAAATCCTTAGCATTAAGATAAATGAGAAGCACTGCTGATGTGAAACTAAGTTTGCTTTGACATAGATAAGGGGGCTAAGTGGGATTCTATGGGAATTGACACACTGGATCTAAATCTTTTTTTAATTACTGCATCAATAAATGTGCTTTTTCACCCCCTTCTATAAGATGACTATTTAAATACTTTCCTGTAGCACTTTTTAAATGACTGTATTCAGTGGTCTCACTTGCCCTGTGCTCTTAAACTGGAATCCTGACAAGGCAGTGAGACCCCCCTCTCAGGAAGTAGGCCATGTAGGCCTCTGCAACGTGTCTGAGTTACACAGTCACTGATCAACATGGGAAATGGGACAATTTCTGGCATTCTTGCCTTCTTTAACATGCAGACCACTCCGTTCCTGTTTTGAAATGACTATGCCAGATATTTAACACTTTGGAGGAGTTTTCAGAAAGAGTATTGATATGCAAAGTGTAACTCAAAAAAAGCAGACAAAATGATTGTTGAACAGTGGGATAGAGAGAGAGAGAGATAAATATTACTTTCAAAGCATAGGTGTGTCCAGGGATGTGCTTCCAAGTTGAAAGCTAGATGAAGAGTTAGGCTTTTGACTTAGCCAAAGATGTTGCCATGTTCACTGACAGAAAAGAATATTTCATACAATAAATAGGCTAGCCTTAGGCTAAGAAAGAAGATTGAGTTGGAAAAGGAATGCAGGTGGGATTCTGGAAATAGGAGTCAGTTTCATTCACTGCTTATGGCTTAAAGGTAAAGGAGTAGGTTGCAGATTCCACAGAAAAAAATATTGCTAGATTAGACTTTCCTGAGAGAGAACTGTTAGGTTGTGAATGATTAAAACAATCTTTGCCTGGGTATTGAAAGTGGGAGAAGGAAAATATGGTCAGGAGCATTAGTTGCAAACAATAGAATGGGCTCTAATTTAAATAGAGAAGGAATTTATTAAAGGATATGGGGCATTTGGAAGAATCATTGTAGACCCAGAGAAATAAGCTTGAGGCTAAGCTTTTGGGAACAATGTCCAAAACTATGTTGCAGAACTGGTCTGGTCAGAAAACAGCCATTGACATGCTGTTGACTGCAGAACATTTTCTTAGAACTGGGCTTATGAGGCAATTGTCACCATCTACTTACTGGATACCACAATGTTTTCCTGACTGTAACATCTAGGATACGAAGGATTTAATTTTATTGCAATTTATCCTAACATCCCCAAATCTGGATACCTTTCTCACTGCCTATACTGGAAAAATGAATGTCCACACATAGCCTGTTTTTCCTCATTGCTCACTTCCACAGTGAAGTCTTGTGTGGCCTGAGAAGAGGAGGGCAGACCGCATGCCTGCTCCTTAGCTGCAAAGGATATGAGTTTTCTGAAATTCCCTTTGAAAAGGAAGAATTCATGATGTGGAGCAAACATTATTATGAGCAAGAATATCCAGAGGATATTGGGCAGCCACGCGAGACAAATTTCGCTCTGATCCCTTTCTTGGTACCAAATATCAATAATACTCCTTTTTTTTTTTCTCCATGTTTCAACTTTCAAGTTATAATACCTTGCTCTGACTTAACATACTCTAACTTACCCTTGAACAAACAGTCCATCAGTAATTCTATCCAGGAAACCCTCAATGCTTCTGCTCATTTGGGGTTGCTGGAGTCTAACCCTTTACCATGGCACACGGCAGTAGCAGGAATACTCCAGAGGATTTACCTGCATGGTAGGTATTCTCTTCATGGCCTCCATTGCTGAGCAGGAACTTCATTTCCCAACTGATAATCAAGACTAATGACCCCTCCCAACACAATAACTCCCTTTTTACTCAGTTTGAGTGGGGTGTGAGGTGTCCAAAATGTCCACTGGACAGTTTCAGCTTCCAATTTCATAGAAACACTCTTGCATCTGCTAAAGCAAACTAAATATGGCCTGAAAAGGCCATACTTCTATATTTGAGTCTTTGTGGATGAACTGTAACCTAGCTTAACAGACAAAATTGAAAACCTAAGTTAATAGTATGCACCTGTAACAATAGCTGAGTGTTGGCCAATCCCAGCGGCCATACTTCAACCACACATAGACTGCTGAATGTTCAAACTGCGTTCACACAAGGCAAACACTGAGCTGTAACCAATCTCACTGTTTCTATACCCGACTTCTGATTCCTGTACGTCACTTTACCTTTTTTGTCTATAAATTTGTTCTGACCATGAGGCACCCCTGGAGTCTGTGAATCTGCTGTGATTCTGGGGGCTGCCCGATTCGTGAATCATTCATTGCTCAATTAAAGTCCTTTAAATTTAACTCGGCTGAAGTTTTTCTTTTATCATATCTATTGTTGGAAGCATTTTTCACTTGAGTTGTAAGACCTCTACAACAGCAGACCTCAAATTTCCTGGTAAGGAAAGCAAAATGAGTGATTTGTTCTGTGTAATGGTGAAAGGCACTGCTCTCCCCTCTCCCCTTTGACCCCTGGACATATATATTCTTGGTATGGGAAAATAGCACTATAATTAATCACTAGTTAAGAGAACATTCTGCAGCCTGTAGGATAGTCCTTTAGCTTTTCAGGGTGTTGTCTTTTAACTGGAACCACAGCCAAGTTATTAACTGGCCATTCCACTGTTGAGGATGGGGTACTAGGTGAGACTATGGAATCCCATGAGCACCAACTAAATTGCTTTACTTTTTAATATATGTACATATAAATATATGTACATATAAAATGAGTTTCTTAGTCAAGAAGGTTCTGTGGGAGACCATCAAGGTGAATAAAACATTTGAGGTTGTTCACAGAAGCCTGGCAAACAGGGAAATAATTCTTATTGAGTATATGTCTTTTCCAAGAAGTATACATTTTCATCTCCTCTATGATAGATGGGGTCCATACAAACAGCATGCCCCCAGGTGGCTGGAGGGTCCAGTCAGGGTATTTTTCTGTATCTTTGATTCAGGATTGGTATATTAATCAGGCAGTTTGCGGGGCAATTTTCCTCTATACAGAGAATGCAGAGCAATCTGGCATTCTCTGACCTCATCACTTGGTGTGCAGGTCAGGCGGTATGCCTTGCCAGGGCCCCTCACAGGCATGACAGGTTTCTGTTTCCTCGTAGCCCGTTGGCCTGCACTAGTCACATGGCCCCACCTTACCACAAAAGGTAGAGGAAATGTGGGAGAGCACATTGGTATTCACTGAATCAAAAAACTAACTCTCCAACAGATTTCCTTATTGATGTTTCTAGCAAGTGGTACATTTGGGAGTGGCAGTGGCCAGAACTGGTGAAGTCCTTATTGGTCAGCCCATGCAAACCTCTGTATTTGGCCACCGTAGATACTAAATAGCTTTTATGAATATGCTGATTAAGCTCTGAGTTGGCAGGGAAAGAGGCCTTGCCTACCTAGCTACTGAGTGCCTTCTCCACAGTGGGGACCTTCTAGTCTACATTCACATAGACAGATATTTTCACACTCTGGTAAAAGTTTGAGAAGCCTTACTGTGTATTTGTTCCCTTCCCTTTCAGTCTTCCCCTCTTTTTCTTCCTAATGCCTCATTCATGAGCCCATGAATTAACGTGGAACAATACCTCAGGCCAACTATTTTTCCAGGCAGTGTTGACCACAAGAGGTAATTATTTGAAGTTTTGCCCACTGATGGGATTTTTCTTCTTCAATGTCCTTTAGGGCTACTCACCTTGAGTGGGGTTATAATATTCAGGGTCCACTTCAGGCTGGAGCTAGCTTATCGTGCAATGTTGTCTGTAAAGTAGGCTTTATTTTTTTCCTTCTTCAGGTAACTACATAAAAAATGCCCCATGAAGTCTTAGGTTTGGGTTAAAACAGGGATAGCCAGAGTAAGCCTAATAGTACAATCCCGTGTAATCTACTTTCATTTGATACAGACAGCTGCTGCTGAGTGCACCCAATGTAATAGACAGTGGATAAAACAACACCCAATTCAGGTTGGGCAGCTCAGGCCACACAGTCACCTGGTGTCCTATCTTGAAACATTCTGTCTCTTGTTGGGGCGCAATAGAACAAGAGTTGCTTAACAAGAGGGAAAGCCTTTCTTTGATTCTAATCTAGAGCTTGCCAAAGCCTCTTTCTTATTTCTGTTCAGAAGCCACAGATAGTCTGATAGCCATCTGATCATCTATCATGTGAAGACACCGAATTTTGTTAATCTGTTTCTCTGCTAATGGACATTTTAAATCAGTTAACAGTAGATTCTCTGGGATATATAACTAGAATTGGGAGCCACTAGGTTTTCAGAGTAAATAGTCTGGATTAGAATCTCACTTCCATCACTTACCAGGCACATGATCGTAGCAGACAAATTAACAAATTCTCTGAACCTTGATTTCTTTATGGAGGAAAATGGGAAATATAAGTTCCTACTTCATAGAAGGGATGTAAGAATTAAATAAAATATTGTGAGTAAAGACCCACAATATAGGCTTGCTGATAGAAACACTCTGTGCATGGTCATCATTGTGGTGTCTTTATCATCCTCTCTGTTCTTATAAACTGTAGTGAGCAAACAAATATAATCTCCATTAAGACAACATACAGATTCACTTGCCTTTTGGTTGAAATACTATTTACTTTATATTAAAATGCTATCATTATTTCTTATTTTATCTTTAAAATGCCTGTTATTTGTCTGTTTTTTAAGCTAATGGTAGAATTTCTGTTAACATTTGTAGGCTCAATTCAAGACGTAAGTTTTGCAAGCCAAATGGGTCAGCGATGAGTTAAATGTGGGAAATGCTGGAGTAAAGAACTGAAGTTTATATAATCATTTCGCATTAGGATGAGCATGAAAAATGTCCAAAAGGAGATTGAGCATGCCACATTCCAAAAGGTATTTGGTCCATGGATTATTTTTACAAGGGTCACTTTCATTCTAAGGAATGCAATTTTAGAAATACTACACTGAACTGTGACTTCTTCAGGGATAAGGATCTTGTCTTGCTTATCTCTGTGTTCCTACTACCTAGCCCAGTACCTGGCATATACTAACATTTATTGACTTGATCAAGGTGATGTGGGGAGAAAGATCTGTTTTCAACTGTAGTTCCTATCATCATCTCAGTGTTGTAGGAACACCATGATCTCTGGAGTCAGATGTGGCCTTGAGACTCTACCATTTGAAAAGGCTCCCATGTTAAAGTGCTAACTTCTGGGTTTATTTGAGACAATAGAATTCTTAGAGACAAAATCTGTTGAGATGTTATAGGATAAAATTATTCGAGTATGGATAGTCACAATCTTCACTATTTTCCTAGCTTCTATACAGGAAGAATTTGAGCTTCCTGGTAAACTCCCAGGTCCTCCCTAAAGTAAAGAAAACAGAAATAAAAGTAAAGAAATAAAGAGTCTGTGTTGAAGTACATAAGCAAGAGTGGAGAGATGGAGACAGTAAGCCGGACAGGCTGCCCAGATTGGGTGTTAGAGCCATTGGATAAGTGCCAGGAAAGAGAGTGCTCCTGAGTCAGCTGCCAACCACATGAAGAATTTTCAGAAAGGCAGCAATGAGGAGAGAATAATTTTACAGTATTCTTAATGCATTAAGAATAGACATCTCTTCTTAATAATTTTTCATGTGTCCAAGTATATTAGTCAGGGTTCTCCAGAGGGACAGAACAAGTAGGATATATGTATGTATATATATAAGGGAATATATTAGGAAGAGTTGGCTCACACCATTACAAGGCAAAGTCCCAGGATAGGCTGTCTGCAAATTGAGAGAGAGAGAAGCTGGTAGTGGCTCAGTCTGAAAGGCTCAAACCAGAAAAGCTGACAGTGCAGGCTTCAGACTGTGGCCAAAGTCTGAGCCACTGTTGCAAGTTCCTGAGTTCCAAAGGCTGAAGAACCTGGAATCTGATGTCCAAGGGCAGGAGGGATGGGAGGAGGCATCCAGCATGGGAGAAAGAAGGCAGCCAGAAGACACAGCAAGCCAGCTTATCGCACCTTCTTCCACCTGCATTTGGTCTAGCTGCACTGGCAGCCGATCGGATGGTACCCACCCACACTGAAGGTGGATCTTTCTCTCCAGTCCACTGACTCAAATGTCAGTCTCTTCTGGCAACACCCTCACAGACACACCCAGAAACAATACTCCACCAGCCATCTAGGCATCCTTCAATCCAATCTAGTCGACACCTAATATTAAGCATCACACCAAGTAAACCTGTAAAGAACTTCCTGGATCCCTGATTACATTTCTCTCTGTGACAAGGTACCGTGACTGGATCACATGGAGCCCCAGGATTTTTAGTGTAAGTATATTTGATTCACCTTTTTTTCTGGCTTTCCCCCTAACCTTACCCACTATTCTCATTCCCCAGTCAACACTCGTGGGCCCCTAATCATTTTTGATGAAATGTGTCTTTCTGTTTTAAGCCCTGATATTCACTTTTATTTGAAAGAAAGCTTGGTTCACATTTTGAACATCTATGATTCTGTGGCAAATTCCCTTTTGAGAAGGTCCAGTCTCTTGGTGTCTAAACTCCCTAAACTTCCTTTTGCTAATGTAGTAGAAAGACACTTGAGATTTCCTCATGATTTTCAAGGTAACATCATTCTAGAAGGTATAGCTTTTAGTGCTGCCCCTCACTTGATGAGAGGTCACTGGTGCTGGTTTTGACAGCATATTTAGAAGCCTTCTTGTTTCAATCTCCCGGTAACTGCCATTCCCAGTGCCAGTCTTTTTTCTATGAGCTTCAAATCTTGCAGTTCCTCTTTTTACCTTATGACATCCATTCATCTAACCAACTGAGAGAAGAGACATTAAGATGTTTCACTGAGACCAGTGCCACTGAGGTAAATATCTGATGGCTTGCGTAGCTTAGGAAAGGCAAATGTTTCTATCTGAAAATCCTGGTTTCAATGCTAAATAGACAATGCAATATGTTACCTCTATTTGTACTTTTTTTGGTTTCAGGTTAAGAATATGATCTTGAAATATATATATTCATATATTGACATGTCATTTATATAACATTATATATTTGTACATTTATTATATATTAATTATATGTAATTATATGTTGTATATTAACACATATTAATATATCTATAATCTCATCCTAGTTTTTTCTTAATCAATACCCCCTTGCTCTTTATTTCTTATAAATATCTTACAGAGTGAGTCAAAATATGCATTTGTTATTTCTAAAGAATGAGACTTAATACCCTGAGACTTATAAATAGAAAGTTACAGAAGGGTTAAGTTGAAACTTTTCTTCGTATTTTTTCCTGGGTATTGCTCTTTGCTACCCCAGGTTTACATTGCCACTGCTTAATAGCAGTGAATGTCAAATGAGCTTTTACCCTGCAGTCCACTGTTCCATTGTTAATGCAGTTCATCCACCTCCCCACCTACCCATCCACCTACAGCTGAGGAAATCCTATTTCATGATGAAATTGATCCTTTGGGCTTTGTTTCTGAAAGGCAGCCTGGGAGTTTTCTGTATCCTTGACTGGATTGTTATAAAACCATTTTGGCAGATGCAATTACAGTGTGTCTAGTATATGTGTGTGTGTGTGTGTGTGCATTTTCCTACCCAGATAGGACAGTTTTACCCTGAGAAATTGATAGCATGCCCCATCAACTCCAAGCCCCTCAGGAATGGTGGGAGTGACAGGTGATGGAGCACTACATGATGGAAAACATACCACGCTGGATGTCAGGCGTTAGGCTTTCCAATCCCCGTCGTACCACTAATTTGCTGTGTGACCTTAAGCAACTTAGTTAACCTCTCTAGGGCTCAGTTCTTTCACCTGTGAAATGGAGTTAATAATACCTGCCCCTCTTAACTCAGCGGGCTATAGGGAAAATGAAATGAGACCATGGATGTATGGGCAGTTTGAAACAAATGAACACAACTTTTTACAGAAAAACTTCAGGGTGCCTGACAGAAGGGATATCTTTATCTGAAGTAAAAAGCAGTGTTAACCGGAGTAGCTGATATGAAACATTCTTCCACTTCATTTCAAATTAAAATGTTATCCCTGACAAGAGAGCTAGCAGCCTTGTAATATGAGTCTTGATTTGTGTATATGCTGAGCAATGTGCATACCCCATTTTTCCTGATGTAAGGGTTACCTGATCACACTCCAATTTTGTAGTAGCCAATACATTATTAAAGAACACAGCTCATCGCCATGTGTTGCTGGATACATACATGGGCTTTAGAATAATTCAGACCTGGGTTTGAATCCTGGATTTGCCACTTACTAGCTATATGTCCGGTGACAAGTTTTCACCCATATGCCAAATGGGCACCAAAATAGTACCTACCTTCACAGGGTAGAGATAATGCATTGAATTGCTTCACACATTGCCTGCTATATAATAACTCAATAAATGCTAGGTATTGGTAGATGACAGTAGCTATGGAATGATGGAGGTGGTTGAGTGTTTTCTTCCTCATGCGTTTTTGAACTTTCAAATGTTCTATAATGACTTTTTATGGTCAGATTTGAAGAATATTATTATTTTAAGTGAATACAATCATAACAGACTTACAGTCGTGAATTGACAGTGAGCCCACCATGATAATGATCCCTATCATTTCGATTGGGCTTTGTAACTTAACACAGCACAGCACTTTTACACATTCTGTCTCGTGTGTAAGCCAACAAGCCTGTGGAGTCAGGAGTACTCATATTCCCATTTTGTAGATCTGGAAGCTGAGGGTCACAGACACCTACACAGTTACACAGTGTATGAAGTGGTGATCTCAGATGTGTCAGAGAGAATTGCATTCAGTTTCAGTGAACAGAAACCCAGTTAGAATGGTGTAATGGTGTAGCAGTCAGGGTTCTCCAGAGAGAGACAGAGATGATCGATTTTAAGCCGTTCACTCACATGATTATGAAGGCTGAGATCTCAGTCCAAAATCTGCAGGTTAGGCCAACACAATAAATACCCAAGGAACAGTTGATATTGCCACTCAAGTCCAAAAGCAGACTGCTGGCAAAATTCCCTCTTCCCTGGGGGATGCTACTCTTTTTCTAAGACTGTCAACTAATTGTCAACTAATTGAATGAGGCCCACTCACATTATGGAGGGTAATCTGTTTTACTCAAAGTCTACTGATTTAATGATGAATCTCATCTAAAAATTACCTTCACAGTGACATCCAGATATGTTTGAACAAGTATCTGGATACCATGGCCTAGCCAAATTGACACCTGAAATTAACTGTCACATACTGCTAGACCAAGGAGGGGCTTATTTTCCCCAAGATGCCTCAAGAAGTTCAAAGTGCCAGCGGGACACAGTTCCTTCTATCTTTCTGCATGGTTATGCCTTGCCATGGGACTTTTGTCCTCATAGGCTACAAACTGACTACTCCATCCCTGGGCATCACAGGCAGAAGAAAGAGGGAAGGATCTTGGGCAAAAGGCAAACACTAACAAACTGTGTTATCTGAGTCTTCCCTTTTCAACAGACTTTTTTGGAAGCCCTGCCTATCAAATTCTTATTGATCTTATTGATCAACCGATATCTTTTTGATGACTCCTAGATGCAAGGGAGGTTAAGAAGCTGATTATTTTTTATCTAAGTTAAAAAAGAGAGAGAGAGAAAGAAAAACTCAGGGCAAGAAGTGGAGAATAACTGGGTAGGCAAGTGGTGGCATCATCCACACCAGGTGTTCTGATGCTACATCATTTATGTTTTACATCCCACCAAATTGCTCACCATACACACATGGAGGTGTCTATCCTTGATTGGACTGCCCTTTATGTTAATCACTGAGGTCTCTTTGGATATGTGAATTGAACCCAGGATCAATGTGAAGTCACCTTCAATTTAATGGAAGCCGGTAGCAAAGGAAGGATAAATTTGCTGGGCATTACTTTTTCTTTTCTGACTCCTGATGGGCTAAGTAGAGAAACTTTTCATTTTAAGCTGATGGAAGCAGCAAAAAATGAAAATAAGGATGAGGTGTGAGGGGAGGGGGCGGGCATTGGTAAATGTTCGGATAGCTGGTATATTATATGGGCCAAATGATTTTTCAAAACTTGTTTGAATTATTTATTATGTCCTAGCTACAGGGCCTGAAGCAGTCTGTCTCACTATCATTGTCACAGTTGAAGTATTTAAAGCCGAAAGAGAGACATCTGTAGCATTGGTCTTTTGTGGTGTCTAGGAATGAAAAAAAAAAAAAAAAAAGACATGGAAGAAAATAGTGTCAGTTTGTATTAGAACATCTATGTTGATAATTGCTTGATTTTGTTCTTTTTTCAAATCAGACATTCAAAGGGTCTCCTTTATACTTGCAAGTAAATATTTCGAAAGTCATTTAGTGAAAACTCATTTGGAATGTAAATAGAAACCATGTGTCACATTATTGAAATGTGACCAGAACAGTGTCTGTCTTAAAATTTTGCTCATGAAGAGCAACATAAAAAAAGAAATAATTTTTTATCTGTTGCTCTCTCTGAGACATGCATGTGCTCATACGCACGTTCACTCATACATCTGTAACACCCCATTCTGTCTCTATGTTATCTTGTATTCATTTCATATTCCTTTCTCAATATCACTGTGAAACCACTTTGTTGTATAATTTCCATGTAGCTCTTTTGGAATTTTTGCAATTCTAATTCTTGCTGGTTATTGCATTACAAAAGAGTGGCAGGAAAGTGTATTTGCATGCAGGACATTTTAAATTTTAATGTCAAAGGTCATTAGTCTTTCCCCCCTCCCCCTTCTTCTGGTTATATCTAGGAGCTGGGCTTTTACATACTGGGGATAATTTATAAGAAAGCTATTAAAAGTAAGGCTTCAGATTTATTTTTCACATTCTCGGAGCCCAACAGGCTAAATGAGAAAGAGTCTAAAATAAAGATCATTTCCATATATTTGAATGTTGTTTTGTTGGTTGTGCCACTCAGGTCTATTGGGGACAGTGGGGTACCACATGGGAAGGATCACGGGCAAAGGATCATTCCTAGCAACTGCCACGTACATTCTCCCTACCCAGAATAGAATGAAGATCTCTTATGGTAGCTTAAGAACACTACCAAATGCAACATTTGGAATTTCTTCATAATTTCAAGTTGCCATGTCTTCTTTATTTTCCTTACATGAATATCTTATTTTTTCCTTTCTAGCTTAGGAAGGAGAAATTTGCTGGGCATTACTTTTTCTTTTCTGACTCCTCATGGGCTAAGTAGAGAAACTTTTCGTTTTAAGCTGACGGGAGCAGGAAAAATGAAAATTAATATCTTTCATTAATATTAGTAGGATTTGTGGATTCATATGAAAGGCAGTTTAAAGCCCAACACACTGCTCAGCAATCCTACTGCAGGACCCTACTCCACCCACTTGCCCTGGATGACTATTTCCCACCCTTTTCTCAGATCTCCAATAGCTTCTCTCTGCTGGTCCTGCTATGTGTATGCCCTTACTTCCTGTTTTACTGAGCAAAGCTCAGTCAGGAGGAAACCTCCACATGCTCTCACTAGCCTACCTGCTCCTAGACCATGTGCTCTCTGAACTGTTCTGCTTCCACCCTCGGCCTTCATGGTGCCGTGAACCTCAACACATGCCTACAAAAACACTTGGCTTCCGCAATTATCTGTTCTCTCCTGCATCATTTGGGTTCCTCTCCCTACTAGACAATTCTGAGAGGATATGAAGATGCTGTAGTGTCTCTAAACTAAAGAGATGAAAGAACGAAAGGAGAGAGAAAAAGAACAAAGGAAGGAAAGAGAGAAATGGAAAGAAAGAGAAAGAGATAAAGAAAAGAAATAAAGAGAGTAAGAGAGGGAGAAAAGAAAGAAAGATAAAGGAAGGAAGAAAGAAAAGAAGGGAGAAAGGCAAGCAGGAAGGAAGGAAAAAAGGAAAGCAGGAAGGAAGGAAGGGAAAAGAAAAAAAGAAAGAAGCCTGCATAATTCATTCCAGCTCCCACGTTTCTCTGCTTCCCATTTACAGCAAAGAACATCAGAGGAGTTGCCTGCACATGTTCTCTCCATCCCACTTTCATCCCCACCGCTTCTCAGAATGCACTTGTCTGGGTCATCCATGGCCCCTTGGTTGCCAAATCCATTTTTCTACTCAGTTCTATTCTTACTTGATCTATCAGCAGTACATGATACAGTTGATCACTTCCTCCTTCGTGACATACTTTTTTTTCAGTTGGCTTTGGGGACACCACACCCTCTTGGTTTCCCACTTAACCACACTGGCCTTTTTGGTCTCCTTGCTGGTCATCATCCTCTTTCTGATCTGTCAATCTGTAATGACTCAGGGCTCCATCCTTAAAAACTTGTCTCTTAATGCTCTCCTCACTTCCTAGAAAATCTCATCCACTGTCAAGGTTAAATACTGATGTTTTCGAAATCTCTATCTCTAGCTTAGACCTCTTCTTTCAACTCTAGACTTCGGTTACACATCCCATGCCTACTCATGTTCCCTTGGATATTTAAATGGCATATCAAATATAAATGCTACAACCCTGGTCTAAGTCACCATCTTTGCTCTAGACTTTTGCGTAAGTGTTCTCTATTTCTATCCTTGCCACCTTATTTGCAACACAGTAGCCAGAATGAGCCCCTTGAACCTAAATCAATTCCTATCACTGTTCTACTCAAAACCATAAAAACTTATTGTCTCAAAATAGAAGCCAAAGTTCTTGAGGCTATTCATCTTGTCCCTGCCGTCTCCCTGATTGCATAGG
Source organism: Homo sapiens (assembly GCF_000001405.40). Lineage (NCBI taxonomy): Eukaryota > Metazoa > Chordata > Mammalia > Primates > Hominidae > Homo > Homo sapiens. The sequence continues at coordinate 60,759,106 of NC_000003.12, read as the reverse complement.
CTGCCAATGTCCTCCTTACTTCCTCTGCTACAGTGGCACTGGCCTTCTACTGGTACTCAAAAGTGCCACCCACACCTCGTCATCTCATGATTTCCGCCCCCAGAACACACTTGCCCTGGACATCGCCGTAGCTTGCTTCATCTTTTCCTTTAGATCTCTGCTCAGATTATCACCTTTTAAGAAAGGCCTACTCTGTCTTTTATAAATCAGCAGTCCTCTTGCTGATCTCCCACTCTCTATTCCTGTTAACCATTTCTTATAAGCACATAAGATATCATTGAGTTGTTTATTTTCTGATTCTCCCCCAGAATGTAAGCTCCAAGAGAGTAGGCATTTTGTTTTGGTCTCTGCTCTATGTCTAGTTCATAAAATAGTGCCTTGCAAGTAGTAGGCACTCAATAAACATTGATTGAATAAATGAAACATGGAATGAGAAATGTACATCTAAATTTTTAAGCGACAGCTCTAACAATTGGCCTGAAATCAAATACTGATGACCACTAATGCTTATTTTATTTTCTGAATCCGCACGCCCATGATTTTGGCATTTTACCTCTTTGGTGAATTTGTTGCTTCTCCTAAAAAGGTAAAAGGGTGTAAGATTTCCTTGATAACCTTTTGAGTTATATGAACTCAAGCTAAACAGAATGTTACTCAAGGATCACAGTAACTGAACGTGTCAAAATAGTATCTTGCTTCTCTCTTCCTGTATCAGTCAGCCCCACAGGAAACAGATGGCATCCATACATTGGGTAATTTGACTAGAGTTTAACAAAGGTAGCATTTTCAAACTACAAGACAGAGTGCAGTACCTTGGGGCTAGCTGCAGCGTTTTCTGATGCTACTCAACTCCTGAAGGGTAAAGGGGAGGAAAGAGGCATAGGAGAGGGAAGGTTATTGGGACCTGAGGGAGAGCTGTGTGACAGGCCCCTTGGCAGAGGCCACCTGAAGGACCAGCAGCCCTGGGTGGTGGGATACAACCAACCTGTGAGAAACTCTGCTTGGAGGTGACAGGGTGCTGAGGGACTAATATCCTAAGTTCTTTCTCCTCCCTTCTGATCTCTGGCTGGGGTTTCCCATTGACCAAACTAACTGGAAGCTAGAGAGCCCTGGGCCGTAGTCCATGTAAGCCAGCCTCTGAGGCAGGCAACAGGCGAGGAAAGGGTGGAGGGCAGATCCAGAGGGTAATGGCAGGCATCCAGCAGGACGTCCAAGTGCTATCTTCCAAACTCTAGACTAGTCTTCCACTTCTATGCGAGTGTCGTGTCATCCATTCTTCACATGGCAGCCAAAATAAAACCACCAATCTGTTCATGTTGTTCCCTTGTTGAAGACTGAATCATTCAACAGCTTTCTCTTGTGCTTACAATTAATTCCAAACGCACTCTAGTGGTATACCAGACCCATGAGGGGCTGGCTGGTTTCTACTCACCTCTTCCCTGAAGCTTATACTACACATGTCCACCCTGGTCACTGCACCAACTCAAGGGGCTGCCACTTCCCAGGAAGAGCTAAGTTCAGTGTCCTCACCGGCTCTTAGCATACTCTTATCTCTCTGCCTGCAGCACCCTTTCTTCAACCCTCGACATGCTTGACTCATTTAGACACAATCACCTAAGGAGGCCCTTCCTGTCCTCTTTGCCTAAAGGAAGTTTTCCATTCATTCTCTATCAGAAAATATTTCCTTCACAGCATTTATCACAAACCATAAATGGCTTCTCTTTCTTTCTCTGTTGCCATTGCTTTGTTCAATCTGAACTGTAAACAAAACAAAGTCAGTTGCTTCTTGTTCACTCTCTGATCTTCAGAATTCAGAACAATGTCTGGCCCAGGTGGTTTCTCAATAAATATTGGGTGATTGAGTAAAGGAACATTATTTTCAATGAAAATATCTTCCCATTTATGCAATAGTGAAAAAATAGCTTACTTGAAGTTTATCTCCAATGTATCTAAATTTCTATCTCTTTAGTATTTGGGAGATCTCAAATATATTAATAACACATACTTGAATAAAATATACTTACTAATGACAGAGTTGATTTTCTACAGCTCTGGCTGATTTTTTTTTGCTGTTGTTTGTTTGTTTTGTTTTTGTTTTTCTTTTTTTGTGGTTGGTCTTGTATGCCTTTAACAAAAATTAAGCTAACAAATGAACAATGCCCTTTCCCCAGTCCATAGTTTCACAGCAGAGCTAATTACATGCAGCTGACTTTTTGGGTGACTTATTGGAAGTTAGTGCTGTGTGGTCACAAGGTTTGTGCTATACAGACAAAAAGACCTGGCCAAACTCCAGTTAAGCCACTAATTGGCTGGGTAAGACTGTGACAAGTTATTCAGCTTTTCTGTTCCACATTTTCTTCCTCTATAAAAGCAAGGATAATGCGGCCTAATTCCTAGAGTTGTTTTAGGATCACAGGTGATAACATAGATCTTCTCTTTCCTCTGTGTCTTTCACTTTCTTTAGTGACAGACATCTGCTCAAATCCTCCTTTTTTCCTCTCCGGCTGCTTCTTCATCAATACCGTCTCCCCAACCCATTTTATTAGTCTTTGAATCTCATGTCCATATTCTGAGAATCTTGCTGGAAGGCTTTCCTGTCCACACTTCCTTTATAATGTTGAATTTGCTCTCTGGTGGAAGCAGCCTGGAGCTTGATCATGCCCATGACGAATTGCAGACTCATCAGGCTTTTCGTTTGGCATCGTATTTGCCAGACAAATGTAGACAGCACTTTTGTGTGGTGAAGCACTTTGTTAGTACTTCGAGCTTCTAAGGGACAATGTGAGTTGGAAAAAAAAGGCATTGAAACCTTGTACAATACTCACCCCATTACACAAGAAAAACCAAATGAGTTTATCTGACAAAAAGGTGTGGGTATGTGTTTGATAGAAGAAGCCCAAGCCACAAGGTGCTCTCTCTACAGAGAATCAAGATGCATTGAAGTTTTTTGTCTTTTGTTTACTTCTTTTTAGTGAAATTTAACTAATACACTTTGAATGCATTCTCTGTGCCAGGTATTTTCTTTATTCTTTTAGATGAACTTGGAACGGTGAAGGTTACAAAGTAAAAATATTTAGGAGTAAGTGGCTTTTACAAGATTTGACCAAAGAACAGAATGCTTTGCTGACACTTTGGAAATGTAAGGGTGGTGTATGTTTAATCGGGAAATACTCAGTTTCTAATGCATGCAATGTTTGTCTGGAACCTTTTTCCTTAAATGATTCAAATCAGTTCCATTCAAACCTGTGTACTTAGCACTCTTGATAGGTACTGAATAAAACAAAGATACAGTCCCTCCTTGCTGGGACTTCAGAGTCTGGCTCATTGTTCCTTAACTTATTTAACCAATGTCTCTAAATTTCTAAATATAAATATCTCAGGCCCTCTTTACATGTTATTTGAAACTTTAAATAAGCTAAATTAAAGATAATTAAGTTAAAGCCCTGCTTTATTTTTGTTACCTATAACTTATACATTTATTTATGGCTCTCTGAAATACTGATGTGACTGATGATGTGAAATAGCAAACACTTGCTGATAAATGGCACAAGCTTGTCATTTATCAGTCAGCTTCATGTTTTGTAGAAACCAGAGGTTGCAAATTAGTGGTTCCATGGGTCCAATGCAGATCACAGAGTCATTGTCATCCTAAGTGAGCCAACATTTGAAGTTGAGATATTATCCATAGAATGCAGATTTTCGACTTATCTTAAAACATTGGAAGATCGGGTAGCTATGGGCCTGCATTCCCACCTGACAGCAATGGGATGGGACTGACTGGCTGCTGCCCCCTTCAGGGAGGACGTGTTCTCTTCTGTTGTCATGTCCTCATCACTCATCCAGTAAACACACATGCCTGAAAATTGGCCTGCAGCATGCAACTAACTTTCCTGACTGCTGGAAAACACTTGAGTTTGAGAGTCCTGGTAGATTCCAGGGAGAGGAGATTGGAGTATTTTCAGAATACAGAGTAGATGGACCTTGAGGTATTGGTAGGATTTATATACTTGAAGAAGTGCTGAGAGGAGGTCATGCCAGAAAGGAGAATAACTTTGATGCTGAATCCCACCAGGTTTTTCTCTAATAATATTTAAATTGCTGAAGGATGCAGATGATTTCCTTTTTTCTAATAAATGAAAGCATATTTAAGGTTAAGACTCTTACTCTCTTGCAACCTTGCAATCTAATATACTTTCTTGAGAGGAAGGAAAAATGGAGAAGTTATAGTTAGCAAGAGCTAGGAATGGGTATGACTAAGGTTCCAGCAATGGGACACTGTCAGGTTTATGAATTCTATGAATTCATCAGTTAAAATTGTGTGTGTGCCTATGAGTGTAGAAAGGGTAAATGTTGAAAACAACTGTGTTACGGCAGCAAAGATTCAGATTTGCCACAGAAAATAAGGCTGACATTACCACTGAGTATCTCCCAAAAGCTTCTCATCATAGTAGTTGAGCCAGTACTTTTTTTTTTTTGAGACAGAGTTTCACTCTTCTCACCCAGGCTGGAGTGCAGTGGCGCGATCTTAGCTCACCGCAACCTCTGCCTCCTGTGTTCAAGCCATTCTCCTGCTTCAGCCTCCCAAATAGCTGGGATTACAGGCATGTGCCACCACGCCCGGCTAATATAAAAAGAGTAAGAGATGATGAGTTTGACCAAGATACCTTTAAGAGTATGACTTCTGTCACCAAAGACACTCCATATCCTGCAGGATTTTTCTAAACCAGCCTCTACTCGTATGTGAGATTCCCCCTGTTGATATCACGCTTAAGATGATATCTCTGAAAAGCCACTATCAGGATAACATTGCATCAATGAGTAGTATCATCTTTACATTTAAGAGCTGGTTTTCATTTTTCAGGTTAACTGGCCTTTCACTAACAGGCAGGGGGCCGAGAAAGAGTGCAAAGTGGGTACAGTTTACTTTGTTTTGATATTATTGGAGAATATCAAATGAAGAAGTTTTCTTATCCTGGTAAGGCCAGATCCCTTGTATAGCTTGATGTTTCCTTGGTCTTCAGAAGACTACACCATAAGGATTTATTTTTGTTAAATTGAAAACAGATCTCCTCCCAAAGGAAAGGCCCTTTTATTGATCCTGACCTTTTCCTTTTGCTGGGAAAGGCTTGTTGAGTTGCCTTTTAAACAACCAGAAATCACTGCTTTTTTTTTTCCTTGTAATCTTTTATTTATCCTGTTCACAGGCCTTACATACTTAAAAATAAATTTCCTATGGAAATTGTAAAGCAGCCCTACTTAGTGAAGAGTTAAGGATAGAAAATCGTCTTAACAAATCACATGTATCATGTGTCAGAGGCAGGGCAGGCAGTTCAATACCTAATTGTCCCTGGCCTCACCCTCTTCAATTTTACTTTCTTCTTTTGTTTTCATCTGTATCTTGTGAGTTCCCACAAGAGGTACTTCAGAGTTTATTTTGTCTAGTAGTGTCATGAGAAAACTTAAAGCACTGACTTGGGATTATATTAGATTATTAGATGGAAGAATCAAGAAATTAATTTCCTTCAAGAGAAGAATGGCATGTCTGGCCAAACAGAATATTGCTTAATGTAATAGAACTCCCAAATGAAATTGGAGAGTGGATCGCTCCCTTACCTGGGGGATGTGAGATTATTGAATTCCAGATTTCTGTATAAATTAACATCCAAATGAGTGGATCCGCCCTCTGCTCTGCCAGCCATTTCTCTCCCTTTTTGTGATTGTTCTGGACATGAATGTTTCTGTTACCCGCCAGAGGGCTGCACATCTTCAGCCAGCTCTGCCAGAGAATAAAAGAATTAATGGATTGGAACCTAATCCATAACTCCCTAACTCCACAGCTTTATTTTTTTAATAGTTCATAAACTTCTTATTTTCCCCTTTAGCCTAGATTTCCTTTATGGTGAAGGAAAGGTTTGCCAGCCTTTGGATCTGCTTTATAAAAATGCTTTAAAAGACAATGCTGTGTTGTGTGAATGCCTGCAACTCACCTTCATGCAATATTCAAGAACTGTCCCAGAGTTTATGTCTGAATTTGTTCTGATGTAAGGAACCCTGGAGCCAACAACACAACTAGTTCCAGATGGGTTAAGTTTTGCATTCTTAAAGACTTAGTAGGCCAATAAATATTGCTTCTCTTAGGGCTGTCGAAAGTAATGTAATTGGGAGCACGACAGATGCCTAACGGGATACCTAGAGATCTCTATTTTGAAATTTCTAAAGTGACATAATACAGTTTGTATTTTTTTCAGAATAACTACATTAAATGTCTGTTTTTCAGAATGAAACTCTCTGTGGGATCTGTTTTGGCATCTTTCTCTTCTTCTGGGTGATAGAATTGGGAGATAAACCAGTGACTGATTTCTTAAAAAGTTAAGTTTTGAGAAACATATTTTATAGGACACACATGCCTTACACCAAGCGCTCCAACAGCAAACACTCATGATTGGATTTGGAAACAGCAGCATTTGCTGTCTGAAGGGGAAACCTACACAAGTGGAATGTATCCAGGGTTGTGGGTTCGAATTGTTCACAAAATAAAACGCAAAAAAGTAGCCATTGTTGAGAACTTGGAGAGGAGGTCTCACTTGGCACCCTTCACATGTCCTTTTCAATCAGAGAGGGACTGGCCAGCACCTACTGACCCCAGTCGCCTTCCAGTTTCCACTCCATGGCCCTGCTGCTGCACAGAAGCCTTAGTTTCATGAGCTCCCTGTGAAAAATCGAATGCACAATTGATTCTCCCCTTTCTGGAATTTCACGTGTTATCTGTTGGGAAATAAAAAATAAGTGCAAAAGCAAAGTATGTTGTGTAATTTGTGTAAGTTCTTCCTGAAGTATGCTTTCTTTTTGAGGTGACCTATTCATTCCTCTCCATGTGTTCCCCCACCCCCAGTGAAAACAACCTTTTATTTCCTGATTACTGATATGTGCCTTTGGGATAAACTAAAGAAGAGAGTAAGACTCACCTGAAATTTGAAGACTATGGAATACTAAAACTTTGCAAATTTCCCAACAAATGTCTCATTATGCGTGTACGTAGAAAAACACAAAATTTTATAAACATTTTACATAATATGTGTACTCTTCCACCTGCAGCTTTATAACCTAGTTTTTAAAACCAAATATCATCTTCCTATGTTGATAAATATACATCTACATCTTCCACTTAAAAGACTGCATAGTATTCTATTTTATAGGTGTACCACAACTTACTTAGCCTATCCCCTTTTGATGGGCATTTAGATTGTTTCTGGTTTTTTTATATTATAAAAAAACAATGAATAAGCATTCTCATCCATATACATTTATGAATTTCACAAGTTGTTTCCTTTGGATATAATCCTACGAATGAATTTTTTTTTCATAAAATACTACCATTAAAGATTTTGAGAAAGTTGCTACCCTGCCTTTCAGAGAGATACTGATTTCTACTTATCCCATCTGTGTATGAGCATCTCCAATTCCTTAAAATCTCACCAACAGTGGGTAGTATAAAGCTTTCTCAACCAAAAAGGGACAAAAATATTTGTTGTAATTTTTGTTTGAATTTCTTTGATTCATAGTGAGGTTGGACATTATGCCATCATTGGCATTCCTATTTCTTCTTTTGGAAATTATCTGTTCCTATCCTTTGCCCATATTTTGCTTTTTGGATTTTCCTTATTGCTTGCAATGGCTTTCTGTAAATACTGGATATATGTGATTCTCATAGAAGCATCTGGAAAGGATCTTGTAAAAAAAATATTTGAGAACAATGCAACATTAAAGTGAGAAAAATAATTTGGTGCTGTCTCACTCTAAGTATCCATTGAACACCTCTCTGTTCCTCAGTTTCCTCCTATATAAAATTAGAAAAGAGTAATCATCCATTTCTCAGATTTCTTCAGTTGTAATAAAGCCAGTAGTTATTAAAGTGAAGCATTTCACCCATGTTACTTCCACAGTAAACACTCTGGTGTCTTCTGTTGTTCTAACCACTCTCGACTTACCTGGTTGGTGAGAAAGGGTCCCACCCTAGGGTTAGAAAGATGACTGAACAACACTGGACCAGTGAGACAGCAGTTTGTTAGTCACATATACTCACAGCCCAGGGAGGAAGGACCCTGAGTGCCACACAGGTCCACGTGGGAGTTGCACTTGGGAACACAGTGAGCAATCAGGGGATGTGGGAAGAAGGCTTTAGTATTAAGAGGGGTGGGATTATCCCTGTTTCTATGGGAGGATGAAGTCGGCTTGTCTGAATAATTCTGCAGGCTGGCAGGAAACTGAAATCCACTACTCCGGAATAAGAGGAATAAGCAGGAACCATGCCTGGTTCACATGACAGGGAGGGTTGTTTGGCTGGGGGACTTTATTTGCAGGAGCAGAGCTGGGAGGTGTATTAGTCTGTTTTCACACTGCTGATAAAGATATATCGGAGACTGGGTGATTTACAAAAGAAAGAGGTTTATTGGACTTACTGTTCCACATGGCTGGAGAGACCTCATGATCATGGCTAAAGGCAAGGAGGAGCAAGTCACATCTTACATGGAGGGCAGCAGGCAAAGAGAGACCTTGTGCAGGGAAACTCCCATTTTAAAAACCATCAGATCTTGTGAGACTGATTCATGATCATGTGAACAGTGCAGGAAAGACTTGCTCCCATAATTCAATCACCTCCTGCTGGGTTCCTCCCACAACATGTGGGAATTGTGGGAGTTACAATTCAAGATAAGATTTGGGTGGAGGCACAGCCAAACCATGTCAGGAGGGGAACTTGTCATTAGGTCATTTGAGGCCCTCCTGAATTTCTCCATATGTCAAAGCAGCACAAAATATGGGGGCCTTGATTTTAGACCTTATACTGCAACTATTTCTGAGAGGTGAGTCCTCTCAGAGGACTCAGAATTCAGTGGCCTCTTCTCGGTCCCCATTGCCTTTGACTACGTTCATCCTATGCACTCCTGAAAACTCTTCCTCCATTGCCCTCCATCCCACAGTCCTGTCCATGAAGGCATGAGTCAGATGGTCCCTGAGTGAGGCAACATGCCTTTGATCCCATCTCTGTTGTCTACTAGTTATATGGCTTTGACAAGATACATTACTCTCAGCCTTGGTTTTAATGAAATAGAGGTAGTGCCTACGTCATAAAATGACATAGAAAAAGTTCCCAGTTTAGTGTCAGACTTATACTGGGCACTTTAATCTTAATTCTTTGTATCTTTCACTTGTTAATGTCACATGCAGACCATCTAAATTTGAGTATTAACTAAGATTTGTTGCTTACCTTCTAGTCTTCTTTCTCTATTCCTTAATCCTTGGAGATATACCCACATTTACTATGGCTTCAAGTTATGGCTTTAGGCAAATGACTCCCAAGTTGCATTTCCTGCACTGATCACTTTCTGGTTTTCTGGTTCCACGTTTCCAATTGTCTCCTAGAGATTTTTCCTGCTGTGTCTTATTCAGCATGTTTAAAATTTCCCCCTTCAAACTAGTACTTTCTCCTGACTGGCTTCCTTATTTGTGTTAGTGGTGACAATGATCTCTCTGTCATCTTGGCTTAATGCTTTTAAGTCACCATTAGTTCCTTCTCTTTCAGACGCACAATAACTCAGCTGTTAGGGGCTGTTGGTGTCTTCTCTCACAGTAGGGCTTGAATCCACCCTTTCCCTCCATCCCAGACATCAGTGCCTTTGGAGCTGGAGAGTTGTGCTAGGCTCCTAGGTGGTAATGTCGGGTACCCACTCAGAAGCCCAGAGTTGGTCTGAAGATTATTTTAAGCTGAAGACATTTGGGATTCAACAGATGCGGAAAAAAAACCGTCTCAGAGCTTCTCTTATTTGACTAATAGCAGAAACTTCTGGGAAATGAGGCTTTCATAAATTCCTTCTTCAGGGTGGCTTTTACTCCTAGGAAGGAGACTCAATATATCATAAATATCCTCTCTGGGGGAGTTTTATAGCCTTGAAGAAGACAGAGAGACCACTCGTACCTGGATGAACAAACATTATTACAAACTTTCTTATCTCTCATTGTTTTTCCTGTAGAAACCTGCTTATTCTTTCCAAAGAGGTCTTTTCTCCCACTCCTTTTTCCCTACTAAGGTAGTTATACATTTGCCCCTCCATATCTGAGGTTCAATTAACAGTGGATCAAAACTATTTGAAAAAAAGAAAATTGCATCTGTGCTGAACATGTATAGACTTTTTTCTCTTGTCATTATTGCTTAAACAATACAATGTAATAATTATGTAGCACTTAGATTGTATTAGGTGTTATAAGTAATCTAGATATGATTTTTGTTGTTGTTGTTTTGAGATGGAGTTCACTCTGTTGCCCAGGCTGGAGTCCAGTGGCTCAATCTAGGCTCACTGCAACCTCTGCCTCTCGGGTTCAAGCATTTCTCCTGCCTCAGCCTCCCAAGTAGCTAGGATTACAGGCGTGTGCCACCACACCTGGCTAATTTTTGTGTTTTTAGTAGAGATGTGCTTTCCCTGTGTTGGCCAGGCTGGTCTTGAACTCCTGACCTCAAGTGATCCGCCCACCTCGGCCTCCCAAAGTGCTGGGATTACAGGTGTGAGCCACCGCACTTGGCCTAGATATGATTTAAATTATACGGGAGGATGTGTACAGGTTATATTTGCTATTTTATATAAGGAATGTGAACCTGGATTCTGGTATCCGATGGAGGGCGAGAGAGGGTCCTGGAACCAATTCCCCATGGATACCCAGGCAAGACTGTATAAGCCTCTAACTTTAACCATTTATTGAGTTACTTCTTTTGTAAGCTTCCATATGCACATAAATAAACTTTTCTCCTGTTAATCTGTGGTTTGTCAGTTTAATTTGCAGGCCCCCAAATACCTAACATAAGAAGATAAAGGAAAAGTTTTTTTGTCCCCAACAGAATTACCTTGCCTGCAAACTTCCTTCTTATCTTTCCAGTTCATCCTATCTCCCACTCTCTAATAAGGCTTTCAGAGTTTCAGCTCTGATCACATTTTCTCTACTCCAAAGCTTCTAATGGCTCCTCAGCACCCAAGTTCCTCAGCATGACACTCAAGGCCCCCAGCAGTCTAGTCACAGCTTACTTGCTAGGATCAGCATCCTTAGCATTCCTATAATAGATTATATCAAGTTGATTTGTTTTTAATCCCCAGGACATACATTACACTGAGATGCACTTGCACATTTTTTTCTGTTTCTGTTTTTACTCTACCTGGGATACCCACCTTTCCATTCTCAGTGTTTTGAAATCTTAGATTCATCATTCAAATCCTGGCATTGCTGATTATATAACCTTGAAAAATCACTTACCTCTCTGAACCTTGGGTTCCACATTTGTTAATGGGGATAATATTATCAAGTTACAGGGTTGTTGTTGAAAACAACTAACACAGGACTTGTGTCATGAACACACATTGAATTGTCGTTGATTCTGTTGCTCCTGTCACCCCAGCTAAAAGTAATCTTTGCCTTCTCTAAATACCTGCTTTGTTGCTTATAACAGATTTATTTAATTTTTTATTTTCTTTCATATTGCCCTGTGCTGTGTTATGTTTCAAAATGTTCTATCTTTACTAACTACACTGAAAGTGCCTTGGAGTTGGGTATCAAGTATTGTATTTTTTTATTTATTCAGCAAAAATTTATTGGGCATTTTGTGTTTCATGGTGTGCTAGGGGCTGGGGATACAAACATGATAACGTCTTAGCCTCTGCCATCAGAAAGCTTGCACACTATCTAATTATGATTGAATGCTACCTAGACTACTGTTGAGATAAGCTCAGTGAGAGCCCTGAGAAGGGATACCTGACTCAGCTCAGAATTCAGGATGGCATCCTGAGGAAGTTATGTCTAAACAGATCCGAGGAATGGCAGGAATTAGACAATTCCAGGCAGAGAGGAGCAGTGCTGCTAGATGAAGGAGGAAGGGCATTCAGTGCAGAGAGAATACTCACATACACAGAGGGGAAGTAGAGCATTTTTTTTTTTTTTTGTGAATTCCAAGAACCACAGAACTGTGATCTTAGTTTTAAAGGAGAATTCACAGGAGATAAAACCAGTAAGGTAAACTAAGGCTGAATCATGAAGGGTTTTTCAGTTCTTTCTACTGTTAATCATGCCTGGTTACAGTACCTACATCTGGTAGGTTCAATAAATGCATGTCTAGCTTTTATAAATAGTGAATGTACATGGTTCAGTCTTGGAGCATTACAGTCAAGGAAACTCCATTTGGCAAGAGAATGAAGTTTCACAATAGCTGAACTCTTTTACTTGTATTTCTTATATACTAAAACGGAGAGCCATATATCTAATTCAAGCCACGTTTATTAACAAACAAACATACAAACAACCCTCAGCCCCTACCCAGTGGCATATCTTCACACTGATGTCTCTTTCTTATACCCTACAAGTAAAACAGAAACAGAAAACATTTTATCTCCTCCACCAGCTGACACCTTCTGGCCCCTCCTTGTGCTTTCCTCACATTCCCTCCATACCCTTGCTCCATCCCTCCCTTCTTACTCTCTCTTCCTTTTTCCATTTCCACAAAAGTCCAGTGTGACTGATTGGCAGACACTGAGCTTTTCTCAGGTGACTGTAGGTTAATAATGATCGTCCGAACCCATGTAAGGAATGAATGAAGCATTGTGTGGCGGAACCATAGGCCGCTGCTGTCGCTCCTGAAGCCCTGTGTGTGGTAATTGGGTCTACCTCAGAAACTCATCCTTTCATTTTCAAAATAAATGTGTTCATCCAGTGTTACGTTTCCCACCCCACCTCCTTCAATTATCTCTCCCAAATCTTGAATCATAAACTTCTGGAAAGCCATGTGAATAATTTAGATGCTTTTATGACTCATTGCTTAACTCCCTTTGGGGGAAATGAAGAGAAACCTTTGTCTTTTGCTGCTTACTCTCCTGTGGACCGAGACCATGTCAGCTTCAAGCGATAACAAAGATTGATGACCACAGGAGCTGTCACTGTGGAACAGTTGATTGACCCAGAGTTTTGATTAACCAAAATATTGTTTTAAAAAATCAGGTGCAGTGCTAATGACACTAGAGTAGAAATTCAACATTTTACCCACTTTGACTGAAAACTTGCTTGTTATCATCTTTCTTGTCAATGCTGAATGGTGAGCATTTTCTTCCCTGCCTATTTAATGGGTTTCCTGTGGAGTCTTATGCAGAATTTGTCAATTCAAGTATAAAGCTATGATCACTCAGAGTACGTGGTGGTACCTTGCTGCTGGGGATGAGGGAGTACAGATGCGTTCAGATCCTTTTTAGTTTGGTCTTTCTAAATGTTTTTACTCAGCTTCACAGAATCAGGAATTACAGTTAGTACCACTCTTGGGCCATTGGATGACTCTGGTATATTGGGTTGGTACCAGAGTAACTATTGTTAGAATATGTCAATGTGGCTACATCACCTCTAGCGCCATACCATCCAAGTCCAAATTACCATCCCCTCCTAGACACCTGTGACCTAGGAGGTCTAGACTACTTGGTCTACCTGGATCTACCTGGATCTACTCTGTGTCCCCCCAAAATGCCAACTCTAATCTATATTTTTTCAAAGCGTAAATCTGATCACATCAACTACCACCATTATACCCTGCTTAAACATCTTTAAATAGCTTTATGTTGCTGGAAATCTTTGAAGTGCTCCACAAGGCCTTGCACGGTCCCTACCAACTCTCCATCTTCATCACTCTATTCCTTGCATTCTCCACACCAATCTCACTGGTCTTTATTCAGTCCTTATGTTTACTGCTCAGCCTCACGGCAAGGCCTTTGAGTGTTTGATTCCCGCTGCCTATGATGCTTTTCCCCTGGCTTTAAATGTCAGCTCAAGTACTGTTTCTTCTGAGACAAATTATCTGCCACCCCATATCTAGACGAACTCTTTGTAATAGAGCCTCCTAGTACCAAAATACTTCTTATACACCTTTCAGAGGGTCAGTTTTATATTTGTGAGATCTTTTGATTAGTAGCTTCCTTTTCTCTGGACTTGCTTTTTTCCCCCTTTTTGTGGAGAATGGGGTCTTCCTATATTGCCCTGGCAGGTCTCAAACTCCTGGGCTCATGCTATCCTCCCGCCTCTGCCTCCCTAAAAGCTGGGATTACAGGTGTGAGCCACTGCACCCAGCCCCTCTGGACTTCTAAGGACAGGGACTATGGTTGTTTTGACTCACCTTGATATCCCCGTCACTCAGCACAATGCTTGGTGCTTAAAAGGTACCTAATAAATATGGATTACATGATTGGCCAAATAAATAAATTCAATACAAGTTTAATCAGAAGATGGGCCTTACCTTGTCATTGAGGGATTTATCTAGTTAAGAATTCCAGATGAATCTCTATCAGAACAGCCAACAGAGAAAATGTATTCAGATGCAGGAAGGCTAGAAGGCAGCCTGTAGCAGCAACTACACCCATTTCACTCTGTATTGGGTCAGGCAAGACTTCATTAACAACTGTTCAAAATGCAGGACACCATTGATGGTAATGGTTTTGGTTAGATGTGGGGACAATCTCTCTGGGACTGCAGGAAGGTTGTTCTACTGTTACAGGGCTCACAACTATAAAGTGTAAATTATTCTCTCCTGTTTCTCTGTTTTTGAGGGACTTGTCATGGATCCCCTATTAGAACAAAGTTGTGGACACTTAGCAAGTTGTGTATAAATGAGCTTTCGTTGTTTTCACTGATCCATCCCAATTAGTTCCCCTACTTGTCTGCATGCTATCTGCCTAAGGAAATGTGAAATATCTTATTTGCAAGGAGAGATGGAATTCTTGTGCATATAGGTTTTTTTCTTTTCTTTTCTTTCTGTTTTTTTTTTTTTTTGTTTTGTTTTGTTTTTTTTTTTACATTACTTCCAATTTGCAAAGGAGAGAAGTAAACAGTTTGCATAGGGAAAACGCGTTTTTCGTCAGTAGACTGCTGTGGACGGCAAGAGAGAGGAGCTTTACCAGGCATTGAAATAGTAGCTTTTGTGGTCTCAGGTCAGAGCATCGCTCTGTGTCTCTAGGCAGATTTGGTTTAAGGCCAAAACAAATAGCCCCCCTTCCTTGGGTTCTGACCCCTGGGGGCAGAAAAGGGAACTAAGCTAGTCCAGCTGCCACTGCAGGGGAAGTCATTGTTCTCTCCAACCTTCTGGGAGCTCCAAATAATTAACTGTGCAAAGAGCAAGTTGGAATCAGAATTCTCCTCCAGGGTTTTCTGTGTCCAGCCAAACAGAGCGAGCTGAGCTGAGAGACAAAAAAACCCCGTGAAAGAGAACCAGCGCTGAGTCTCCTTTCTCCTTCCTTGCTTCAGTTCTGGTCCCCTGGACCTGTGTCCTCAGCTACCTCATCTCTCTTAATTCCTCCAGGCCCCTCATCATGTGTAGCCAGAGGGAGATTTTTCTTAATGAGAAGAGCCAGCAGGCCACTCTCCAGTGGAAGGTTGGTGCTTTGGGACTTAGAAGGCTTGGCATGTGGACAGAAATCTCCCTTACTCTCAGAATTTCTGATGTTTTCAAAGAGAAGCCAGAAATCTGGACTGTGGTGTGAAGTCATCCAAGTTTAAAATGTTTGCTCTATGTTTTGTGTTTATACACAAGGTGCAGGCCAAACAAAACACATTTTTCCTACCTCTGAACTAGACCATAAGCTTCCTGGAGGTGCAGATTGTGTTGATCTTGTTTGCTCTGGTATTACCCAGGACCTAGCACAGTACCTGCTGCATAATAGCAGTTCAACATCTATTGACCTGCATCCCTAGGAGACTCACTATGCTGTCATTCCCTTGATATTAATGACAATAAAGTACAACAATAATTAGATCAATGACTTTTTACTGAGCACATGTTAAGTGCTTTATATATAATTTGATCTGCATTATGACCTTAGAAGCTGTGTATTCTCACTTTGCAAATAGAGAAAGCAGCTCAGAGCCTAAAAATGTGACCTCAGCCAGTTGCCCAGCTGCAGTGTAGATTCTGATTCAAGCAGCACTGTGTCCGAAGCCAGGGTTTGCAATCCTAATGCCACAGTGCCTCCCGCTCTGTTCTGCTGATTCCCGCCAGAGGGAGCAAGGGTGAACTCTCCTAGCGTTAGCTCTTCCAAAAGGGAGAACCAAGCCTGGGTGTTGTCAACTTGCCTTCAGGGCAGACCTTTGAAAGGATGAATATGGTCAGTAGGTATTATTTTCCTTCTGCATAGCATTGAAAAACGTTCCTACTTTTCCATCTCCATCTCTTTATGAGGAACTACTCTGCAGGGGACTTCGATTAGTTGTGATTGTCATGGTATACTGTCATTTGATATCCTTAAGCGCTACAGAACAGTCCATATTTAGGCATCTTCTGAGGACTCAGGGGCAGTCTGAGCTGAGGTTCACAGAGTCATTGTTTGGTGTCCTTAACTAAATGCAAAAGTGGTGACTCATTACCAACTTAGGATACAATCAAACGCATGGGTTCCTAAAAGCAGAATGCTGGTTGTAGCCTGCTGGTCATGAAATACATTTTTTTCTTGTGGTGCAAATACTTTATTACAGGTAGTGAAGTGTTAGAACATTATTCTATGAGAGACACAAAAGCCTAATTTTACAAAGTGGGGTAGCTACCATTTGATGGGCTTATATTTGTTAATGGTCTCAGCTATTGGGAGAGACTTTTAATCAGGAGAAATGGACAGTAGGAATGAAGAATATAGACCTTCAGAAAAACTGAACATGCTCTTCCCCTGCTTTCTATGTGGGCAATGTCTCAATGTCTCTTTTGATTTTTCCAGGCTATCATCCTGGTGTGAAGCCCATTTACTCTTTCACTAAATTTTTCTCTGATAGAGGAAGGTTTTGCAAGCTGGACTATTGGAAGTGAAAAGTAGCTTTTTAAGGACATTCGTTGTAATTAGCATCATAATTTCACTTACTGAGGCATCATTTAAGAATTTTGCACTCATTCCCTCATGTGGTCCTTTCTAAGACCTTGTGACACTCCCCTACTTCCCCGCTATTTTACAGATGAGGAAACAAGCTCAGAGTGCCCCAAATCACACAGCTGATAAGTAGCAATGTCTGACTATTGTTTCAAGTACGGTTCATGCATCAGAATATCCTGGGAAACTTCTAGACATTAAGTAAAGCTTCCTGAGTTGCAACCTTCTGACCTGCTGTCTTAATTGGAGGGGAGCCTGGGAATCTATTTTTCAAAAGTCCCCCAGGTCACTGTGATGTACAGTCAGACTTGGAAAACATTGCCATATATTATACCATACATTATACCACACTGAAATAAATCAAAGTACAGATTCAGTTTGGAAATTTCAATGGTTGCTTTTTCTGGTCCAACACAGCCATCCCCACTTGTGCCTGAGGGCTACAGAAAGTGCTTTTCAAAGGAGGTACATTTTGCTAGATCCTAATGAATGGATAAGAAGGAGAAGGAGAAAGGGCATTTCAGGCAAAGTGACCACAGGCAAAAGTCACAGAGTCGAAACTGGACTTGAAGTGCCTGGGGGGAATGTTACAAAGTCAATATGCCTGGGCAGATAGTGACAGATGTAAAGTGTGTATTATCAGTTGAGTCCGAGTGGAGTCTGTCTTGGGATGTCCCAGCAGAATTGGCTTCAGCTGTGGAGCACAAAACACCTTTCTCATTGGTCAGTTTTCTTGACAGCCTGCTTCAGGGCATCCTTACCTGCATGCTTCTGCCAGACCACTTGCTGAAGATGATCAGGCAACGTGCTGACAGCTCAGATAGGGTTCCTGTCTACAAACTCCTTAAACTCGATTGCAATAGGGTCAGATCCACTGTCAAAAATGATAGTGGATGAGAAATAACTTGGCACAACACAGTAGGTGCTGAAACAGAGGTTTGAGGTGAAATTAGGAACTCTTTAGCTATTTTGAGGAGCTGGCTAGAAATCAGAAGGTTTTCCTCCCACCCCAGAATGCTCTTGCAAAAACAGGTGGATTCTTGAAGGGAGGAGGTTTGTTCATTCTCTGTTAAAAAGTACGTGACTTTGATAGTTTAGACCCAGCAACTTGTCTTTTCCCATTAATTCTAGGCTACCAAAATATATATGTCCCTGGACTTTTTTTCTGGGTTAATATTGATTAGAGGAGTAGAGTGAATGCTTCTGTGATGGTAAGATGGGAAGGCCACAGAGCCAGGAACCATTTGCCTCAAAACAAAAAACAAAACAAAACAAAAACCCACTTAGAATGTTACTCCTAGGAGTTGGTTCATGGTGACTAAACTCATCAACATAACCCCAAGTGGCCCAAATGGCCATTTTAAGCACTACCTCTATTCAGTTTCCAGGGTACCTGAGTTTGAATTGCCTTTAGTCTCATTTACAAAAGCTTTGTCCTCATTTCCTTAGAAGGTATTTTGCTGGGTAAGGACTGGTTTAAGAGAACAACCCTGGTGGAGGGAGGAATGGGAAATTTCAACTGGGGAAAATAAAAGATGTTCTAGAGATGGATGATGGTAATGGTTGCAAAATAATATGAATGTACCTAATGCCACTGAACTGTAGACTTAAAGATGATTGAAATGGCACATTTTATATTACATGTATTTTACTACAATAAAAAAGATCATAATAAAATGGAGAGGCAGCAATATCAATATAACAATGCTAACAGCTATTGTTCTTACAATTTTTGCTTTGTGGGAGGCATTGTGTTCAGCACTTTACATAAGTTATTTAACCCTTTTAACAAATCCGTGAGGTAGGTACATTGATTATCTCCTTTTCATAGAGAAGGATTTGAGGATTGAAGGGGTTAATGAATTGCCAGGGGTCACGTAACAAGCAAATGGCAGAATCTAGATTTAAAACCAGGCAGTTTCATTCCAGAGCTCTCTCTTTTGGCTTATGCTCTTAGGCTAAACCACCTCATAAGATTGTCCTTTGAGTCTGAGACTCCCTGCACCCAGCAATAAACAACTGCAGCAAACATCTAAAATGAGTCAAAATTACCAAAAATTCACCTTATCAAATGTCAGCAACTTTGATACATGTAGTATTCTTTTAATAGCAAAGAGATATGCTCTGATTCTTGCCTGTCTTTACAGTTCACCTCTCTAATCAGATAGAAGGATATTCTATTATTTATTGGAAAGATGGTTACCTGAACATTTCTCTTTTCTTTGATGTGAAGTTGTAAAATGCCACTTTCCACTTAAACTTGTGAGCTTCTCAGGAGCAGGAACAGTATCTTTCTACATGGCAGATAATAGGTGCTCAGTAAAATTTTTGTCTTGATGAATTTCCAGTGATAATGAAGGTATCTATGTAAGTTTTCCTAATAATTAGGGGGCACTATCTGGGTGTATGGCTCATTAATTTAGATCCTGGAATGTACATTCTGAAGGATAAATTAGAGATTCTCAACTGGGAATAATTTTGGCTCTTGAGAGACATATGGCAATGTCTGGAGACTTTTTGGTTGTTATAATTGAGGGAGTATGTGTGCTACTACCATCTTGTAGGTAGAGGCCAGGGATGAACATCCTGCAATGCACAGGACAGCCTCCCCAGTAAAGAATCATCCCACCTCAAATGTCAATAGTGTTGATGAAACAGAAGAGTTCCCTGGCCCCACTCATGGGGCATGCGACAGGGGTGCGGCTCTCTGTTCAACCACCATGAACTCAAACCCCTTGTGGGAGAGGGAGCACACAGATGGCCAGGTGCAGGAGCAAGAGTGAGTGCTTTGGGCTCCAGTCCCATGGTAGTGTCTAGGGGTGGGTGCCTGTGGCCCCAGTGTTACAATGCTCTTTTAGCTCTGCCATTCACAGATAGCTTAAGTGTTAACCAGCTCAGTGCTCCCTCTGCCTTTCTGCAAGGGCAGAGGGCCAGTGTGACAGCTTTCTGTATCCCAAGCTCTTGTCCAGCATCCTAGAAGAATTGGGTCACACACAGGCTTGAAGGATGCATGCAGGGGTTTTATTCAGTGGTGGAGGTGGCTCTCAATGGGATGGATGGGGAGCTGGCTGGGGGATGGAATGGGAAGATGATCTTCCCCTGGAGTTTTGGCTGTTCAGCGGCCAAACTCTTCTCCGACTGCCCCCAGCTGAGTTCCTCTCGGCGTTCAGACATTCCTTCTCCTCTCTCTTTCTCTGTTGTGTCATTTGTCTGCTTTTCTCCTCTTCTCCTTGTCTGCTCCTGGAGCCTGGGGTCCGGGATTTATATGGGTACAGGATAAGGGAGTGTGGCATGCCAAAAGGCAACCGTTTGGGTACAAAAACAGAAATGCCCCACTTAGGGGCCGCAGGTCTCCAGGCTTGAGGTTGGGGCCTTTGCCAGGGAACCTCCCTCTTCTACCCAGTATTTCCTTGTCTTCTGTCTGTATCACTGGGGAGAGAAATTCTGCTTCAGAGGTCTTATTCTCTCATTCATTCATTTCACATGTGTTTATTATCTGCATCCACTTGGTCAGATGAGCAAGACTGCTTGTCCGTGACCACACAGCTAGGTGGTACAGATCGAGAACTTGAACCAATGTCTCAGGGATAGCTCTTCTTCAAATGCATCAAGGTGGCCTCTGACAGCCTATTACTGATTCAAATGCCATCCTTGCGGTCACGGTAAAGCAGGTCCTTCTGAGACAGATAGGACTCTGAGCCTGTGCTTGGTACCTGGAGCTGATGGAAAGGGCAGTGATCTAAGACGGCTTGTTTAGGCTGCAGAAAGTCCCTCGGCTTGGACTCTCTGAGCTCTTGCTCATTCTGCTGAGGCAGGGACCATTTTGGGGCCTCCTGTGTATGCTACATTCCATTGCTGGGCCAGTTACTCTTCACTGAACTGTAATACTATCTCATCCACCTTGTTTTCACAGGGCCCTATAAGCCATATTATGGACTTTGCTGAAAGAATTATCATGTTCGCACAGCTCTGTGTTTGCAGTAGGCTTAGGACTCTTTTCAGATTTGAGCACTGGCGGTCTTTCATGCGATCTGCTTTTCAACACACATCACATGTTCTCCTCCTCCCTTTCCTCTCCCGGTCGGATTCCTTGCTGCCTTCTGATTATGGTCTGCCTCAGTATGCAGAGTCCCACAGCCGAGCTTAACAGGTACTCTACAATTCTCAAGGTGCTAGAGTTGATGGATTTTAATCAGGTGAGTGCAGTTTAATGCAAATGCTCCTTTAGCCGAGGTTCATAAAATGGGCTGCTTAATATTATGGTCCCAAATATTAGTTCAATGCTCATGACTTATGTAAATGGCCTTGCTTTGGGGTTAGGTTAGGGGAAAATCAATAAAAACCAGCTGGAAATGGAGAAAGCAACTGTGTACTTACATTCCATTGTGATGTAACCCTGCTCCCACCCCACAATACCTCGTACTTATCCTTTTTGTTTTTTTGCCAGCTCACTTTTCTCCCCCACATTTAAGGTTTCACAGAGATATGAAAAGCCACCCTGGTTCCTCCATCTATTAAATGGGAAATGCATATGAACAAATAGAAGAATTGCACCATACGATGCAGCTGAAATACAATGTTATCATCCTTCCACTCTGAACATTTCTCAGGATGGTTTATGTCCCAGCAGTTAATGGCTTGCTATTGTTGGTGTACCAACACAATGCTATTAGCAACACAGAATTCTCAGGCTTTCTGTTTAGACTATCTTCATGTAGGCTAGCCAGAATTTAGATATTTGTAAACGGAATTTGAACAGTGGCCTTTCTTCACAATATAAAATTCAGATAAGTGTAACTGGTCATGGCCCAACTCTTGTTTATTAATTAAGGCTTTATAATATGGCACCATTTTTGGAAGCTGCAGTTTATGCAAAGAAGAATACTAATTACATTCTGCATTTTCTGTAATAATGGGGCAGTGTTTTGGACAATGCAGTTTATCCAGACAATGCATCCGGCTCATAATGTAGTTTATTAACAAGGAGGCTCTGAATGTTTCATGGGAGATTGATACAGCTGTGAAAGGGTGGCATAAATAATATTCCTGGCCAGGCTGGGGGCAGTGGCAATATGTTGCATGCTGTTAACCTCAAGAGATCTCCGAATAGCTTTTATGTATGCCTGCTATATATTTGTTGACCATTGCTGGATACAAAGGAAGCTAAGTGATCTGGGAAAATCTATTTGGTAATTTTCTTTTCCCATTCTCTTAGCACTTGCTGAGGCCTTAAAAACAATAGGCCTTTGCATTTGTATGGATTGTTTTTCCTTAGGCTCCAACAAGAACGTCACTTTAATATTGTTATCATCATGGATTTCTTATAATGGTCATTTGTGAGAATCAGAATAGGCTACCATTTTTTTTCTATAAGATATTTTTCTTATTGAAATAATTCACATAGCACAATGTTTATCCGTTTATAATGTGAAACTTGGTGGTTTTAGTATAAATACAAAGTTGAGTAGCCATTACCACTATCTAATTCTAGAACATTTTCATCACTCTGAAAAGAAACCCCTAGCCATTAACAGTCACTGTCCTTCCTCTCCTCCTATGTCCTGGTGACTGCCAATCTACTTGCTATCTCTGTGAATTTACCTATTCTGGACATTTCACATAAATGGAATCATATGATATGTGGTCTTTGTGACTAGCTTTTCTCACATAGCATAATGTTTTCAAGGCTCATCCATGTTGTGAGATGTAACAGAACTTCATTTCTTTTTATTGCCAAATAATGCCCATTGTGTGGATATGACACATTTTGTTTATCCATTCATTAGTAAATGGAAATTTAAGGTTTTTTTTCCCACATTTTGGCTGTTAAGAATAATGTGGTTATGGACTTTTTAATTTGTATGTGTGTGTGTACTTGTATATTTATTTCCTCAGAGGTATATACCTAGGAGTAGACTTGCTGGGTCACACGGTAACTCTATGTTTAACTTTTTAAGGAACTGCCAGATGCTTTTTGAAGCACCATTTTATAATCCCACTTGCCAATATGAGACTTCAAATTTCTCCACAGCCTAGAAAACACTTGTTATTGTCTATCTTTTTGATCATAGCCATTCTAGTGAGTGTGAAGTGGTATCATTGTAGAGCTGATTTGCATTTCCTTCTTGACTAATGATGTTCAACAGTTTTTTCATGTGATTATAGGCCATTTGTATTTCTTCTTTGTGAGCTACCATTTTAATCTCCATTTTAGAAATGAGGAAACAATGGCACTGAGAGGAAACAAGATTTATTAGGGTACCTGCATGAGGTAATAGCCCATCAGTATTGGAATTTAAGTTCTCTCACTTAGCTATGCAAAAGCATAGACATTGAGTACCTAGTAATAAAATAAGCTATAAGTGATTTGCATTTAGTCTTAACTTCTTTATTTACAAATGACAGAAACCTAGCTCTAACTGTGGCTTAATGAAAGTAAGAAGATTTTGGCTTGCCTATCTATAAAGTTAAGAGCTTTTTGCCTCCAGAATGATTGGATGCAGCTTCTCAAAGATGGCATCAGAAATATGTCTCTATCATCTCTTAGTTTTCTTTCCATTGGGTTGGTCTCACGCATAGGCATGGTCTCACTTTGTAGTGGTTAGATGGCCGCTAGACGCTCAAAGTTTTTATCTTACCAGCTCAGAATGCCAGCAAGATTTTTTTTAAATTCTTCCCTTTCACAATAGTTCCTTCAGTAGTTCTCAAATCTTAGCATTGAGTAGTACTGGACTGACTCGAATTAATGATTGGCTCCCTGAATCATTCATCGGTGAAATACATTGATTGGTCATTTGCTCATTCTCAGTGGGGAGTGAAGTTAGCTCCATCTACACCATCTGGAGTCAGAACTGGAGAAGGGGATTCCCCAGAGGAAAGTGAGGATGATGGTACCAGCACAATGAGGAATGCATGCTAGCACAAGTGAAACTCATAGATGTCCATTGTGCTATGCAGTTTTTTCCTTGGGCCTTGATCATTTATCATTTACTGGTTTCCTGTCTGTAAATTTAGAAAAGATACAGGCTCTCTGAAAAGTAATTTCTGGTCTCTTACAAGTGAAGGGTTAATCAACCAATCCACATAATTTTCTCCAGTACTGAGAGATCATTTGTTTTAATAAATGCAAATAAGGTTTCTTATAGTTAAAGGTAATTGGCTTTTCATTGTAATTCTTGATGCTGGTCATTTTGTGTCTGAGTTGTTCCTAATTGCTTTGGTTCAGAGTCTGAGAAATGAAATAGCCCCTTGACTATAACTGTAACTACAATTATAACAATTTATTTATTTAAATCAGCAATCCCTGCAAAGTCATTTACAGTTTGTTTATTTCAGTATGTTTTACAAGGTGCAACAAAAGCAGCCTCATCACATAGCAAATCTTTCTTACAGGATTAAAAGTTAATGGGTAAGGTAAGTCTGGCATAGGCATTAAAGTGGAAGCATTGTTTCTTCTTGACTGGTCAACTTTAGAGACAACTTTTCCCATTCGAAGTTATCTATCCTCTAAAATATACAGAGATTGAGGCCAGGTGGGATGGCTCACCCCTGTAATCCCAGGACTTTGGGAGGCCAAGATGAGTGGATTGCTTGAGCTCAGAAGTTTGAGACCTTGGTAACATGGCGGGATGCCGGTGGTGCCATGCCTGTGGTCCCAGCTTCTTGGGGGCTGAGGTGGGAGGACCTTCTGAGCCTGGGTGGCAAAGGTTGCAGTAAGCTGTGTTGGTATCACTGCACTCCAGCCTGCACTCCTGCACAAAGCAAGACCCTGTCTCAAAACAATAAATAAATTAAAATATAGAGAGACTGAGATGCAGCAGCAGTTGTATGTTGTTCTCTGGCTTTTGAATAATAAATTGTATGTGTACCTTCATATGATAGGATCTTCAGCTCTCATGCCAACTCTATTTCTTAATAGAAATAAACAAGATGGACACGATACATCTAGGATACCATGTTAAAATGGTTTCTAAGACTGCATTCAGCCTTAGAAGAAAAGAACGTTGTGATCACTTAATGATGTCTGTCACAGGCCCAGGAGAGTGAAACAATGGCGCTTGCATTGTATATTTTCCATCCCTGCTTACATCTTGAAAGGAAGTCCCAATGCTGAAAGTTTGTAGGATTGGGACAGTTGCTTTGATACTTCAGACCAACAGACGGATTCTTCTTTCATTATTCAGATAAAGTGTTTTATGTTGCCTGTCCACCTAAGTGTTTTAATCCTCAAGATTACCTTAACTATGGAGACTTGACTTAGACTTAATATTTTGATCCAGAAATGCATCAAGTATAGAATAAAAACTTCTATCCTAGCAAGACTAGGAATACAAAATATTTACTCACAGTATACATGTACTGTCTGCTGGGTGTGCAACATTCTGCTAAGGGAATGTGAATGTGGCAGGAGACCAAGGGTCCTCGGCATTAGAAATCTATAGTCCAGGTGTAATTAGAGAAAGATAAAGGGCTCACCAATGGACCACAGAGCATACATACTAAAGGCTAAAAGAGTAAAACAGTTTGGTAATGAGGAATGAAGGATAGAGTGATCTAGGGAAAATTATATGGAGAAATAGTTTCTTCAGCAACATCTGAAAGGAAGTGATGGGCATCGGTTGGTGGAAAGGATGGTTGGTTGAGGTGGGTGTAGTGGTGAAAAAGACTGAAAGCTACTGACCAAGGAATGACATAACCCAGAGGTCTCGATCTGTCAGCTCACTGGCCTAAAAACAAAACAAAACAAAACAAAACAAAAACCACACAAATAAAAAACCAGATGTGTGCTACACAGGAATATAGAAATAAAATATATTGGAACAATAAAAGATTTCAAGCAAAAATTAGAAAATACTAGAAAATCTGGAAGTTTCACATAAAATGCAGGTTTTCTTACTTTTCTGTAATAACTGAAAGATCTGACAACATTCTGCCTGAATTCCTAGTTGGCAAGAAATGGCTGAGAGGGAGTAGCGATTGCCATGATACACGAGTGGTTTGTCGCAGTCTTCACCTCTCCCTGCAGTCTCCCAACACTGAAGTCAAAGGTTAATTGCTCTCTAGCATCATGCTTGCACTGTTGAGACTATTCATAAAAACTTGTCCAGCAAAGTTTGAAAGATGAAAAATACATTTTCAGAAGTCTTTGTTAAAAAAAGATGGGGGTGAGATAGGATGGGGAAATAGTGCATTTCATATGCAATCAGGCCAGGCGTGGTGGCTCACGCCTGTAATCCCAGCACTTTGGGATGCCGAGGTGGGCCGATCACCTGAGGTCAGGAGTTTGAGACCTGGCCAACATGGCAAAACCCCGCCTCTACTAAAAATACAAAAGAAATTAGCCAGGTGTGGTAGCTCGCATCTGTAGTCCCAGCTACTCCGGAGACTGAGGCAGGAGAATCACTTGAACCCGGAAGGTGGAGATTGCAGTGAGCCGAGATTGTGCCGCTGCACTCCAGCCTGGGTGACAGAGCGAGACTTTGTCAAAAAAAAAAAAAAAAAAAAAAGCAGTCTTTGCAGACGCTGCCACTGCCGGGAGCACCCTACTATCAGCCATGGTCAACCCCACCGTGTACTTCCACATTGCCATTGACACGGAGCCCTTGGGCCGCGTCTCCTTCGAGCTGTTTGCAGACGAGGTTCCAAAGACAGCAGAAAACTTTCGTGCTCTGAGCGCTGGAAAGAAAGGATTTGGGTGTGAGGGTTCCTGCTTTCACAGAATTATTACAGGGTTTATATGTCAGGGTGGTGACTTCACATGCCATATGGCACTGGTGGCAAGTCCATCTACAGGTAGAAATTTGATGAGGAGAACTTCATCCTGAAGCATAGAGGTACTGGCATCTTGCCCATGGCAAATGCTGGACCCAACACAAATGGTTCCCAGTTTTTCATGTGCCCTGCCAAGACTCAGTGGTTGGATGGCAAGCATGTGGTCTTTGGCATGGTGAAGGCATGAATATCATGGAGGCCATGGAACACTTTGGGTCCAGGAATGATAAGGCCAGCAAGAAGATCACCATTGCTGACTGTGGACAGCTCTACTAAGTTTGACTTGTGTTTTCTCTTAACCACCAGACCATTCCTTCTGTAGCTCAGGAGACTACCCCTCCACCCCATTTGCTCGCAGTATCCTAGAATCTTTGTATTGTCGCTGCAATTCCCTTTGGGTTCCATGTTTTCCTTGTTCCCTAGCTGGATTGCAGAGTTAAGTTTATGATTATGAAATAAAAATTAAATAACAACAAAAAAATGCAATCAAGTGTAATTGTTACAGTAGGTAGCTAGTCAGCTAGTCAGATATGAGTTGGGGCAGTAAAGGGACACCCCACATCCCACCAGGAATGTCAGGCGACCATCAGGTGATGGTCAGGCAGTTGTTAAGATGGTTCTCTCAAATAATAATTGGTTGCAGCTGGCACCAGGGAACAATAGTCTCCCAACAGACAGAAGAAACCTAAAACCGGTGATCAGCAGCTTCCTAATAAGATCTCAGGAGGTGGGTGCGTGGGATCAAGTATGTGCACTAAGAGGCAAAATGGTGGAGTTTAACTGGTGTATGACCTTATAGGGACGCTTGATAGGTAAGGGAAGCATGCCTCAAGTGGGTATGCATACCACTGCAGTAAACACACTGTGCATGCAGGCCACCCAGCACGTGAACAGCCCACTCCATGGGAAGACTCAGGGGAGAAGGGAGGCAAGACCCTGGAAGTATGCCAATATATGAAACCCCAAGTCAAAAGGTCAAACCATGCACTCGATCTCTCAAGTCACTCACTTGGCCCTCCTCCAAGTGTACTTTACTTCCTTTCATTCCAGCTCTAAAGCTTTCTAATAAACTTTCACTCCTGCTCTAAAACTTGCTTTGGTGTCTCCTTCTGCCTTATGCCCCTTGGTTGAACTCTTTCTTCTGAAGAGGTAAGAACTGAGGTTGCTGCAGACCCATACAGATTCACTGCTGGTAACATTCTTTGATGACGCATGACTCAGATATGTTCGGCCAGTAACGTACTGCTGTCTTATTTTTATTTTTTATTTTTATTTATTTATTTATTTTTGAGACAGAGTCTCGCTCTATCACCCAGGCTGGAGTGTAGTGGCGAGACCCTGGCTCACTGCAACCTTCGCCTGCCAAGTTCAAGCAATTCTCCTGCCTCAGCCTCGCAAGTAGCTGGGATTACGGGCGCGTGCCACCACGCTGGGCTAATTTTTTTTTTTTTTTTTTTTTGTATTTTTATTAGAGACTGGGTTTCACTGTGTTAGCCTGGATGGTCTCTATCTCCTGACCTCGTGATCCACCTGCCTCAGCCTCCCAAAGTGCTAGGATTACAGGCGTGAGCCACTGCACTTGGCCTGTCTTATTTTTCTTAACACTAGACTTCTCTGTTCATTTATTTACAGTACCTCCCAGCACAAAAGGCATTTGAGTTTGCGTTTTTCCTAGGATTAGCAAAAAGTGCCAGGTAGGCGAAGGCAGTAGGGTGGTGATGGCGGCAGTGGCTCTGGAGGCCGCAGTGCGAGTCCTGGCCTCTGCTCCAGCCCCACTGTGGTGACGCTCGCTGAGCTGCTGTTGCTCCAGAACACTCTCCTGACCATGGTCTTGGGCTATTTCATCAGCATCCACGCACATGCTGAAGAATGCTTAAGTGAGTCACCTCAGGCACCAAGATGGGCCTCATCTTCGAAGGTGGCTTCCTGGGCATCAACATGGAGATTACAGGACCTAAGAATAAAAGGATTTATAAAGGAGACAAAGAATCCAGTGGGAAATACACATTTTCTGCTCACATGGATGGAACAAATACATTTTGTTTTAGTGACCGAGTGTCCACCATGACTCCAAAGATAGTGATATTCACCATTGATATTGGGGAGGCTACAAAAAGAGAAGACATGGAAACAGAAGCTCACCAGAACAAACTAGAAGAAATGATCAGTGAGCTGGCTGTGGCCATGACAGCTGTACAGCACAAAGAGGAATACACGAAAATCTGGGAGAGGATACACAGAGCCATTAGTGACAACACAAACAGCCCAGTGGTCCTTCGGTGCTTCTTTGAAGCTCTTGTTCTAATTGCCATGACATTGGGACACATCTACTACCTGAAGAGATTTTTTGAAGTCCAGAGGGTTGTTTCAAAAGCCTCTTCCTGATGATTCCAAACTCATAGTTTACTGTTTACCAAACACCTTGGTGATAACGTCATAGGCCATTAATTTCTATGTTTTAATTTTCTGAACTATACAGTCACAGCTTATGTTTCTTTGTGATTAATAGAAATTGGAAGAAAACACCTTTTTAGGAAAGTCATAGTGAAAATTTGACAATTGATTGGCATAATTTCCTAATTAAATGCTGCCTCCATTATATAGGTCCTTCCAGAAATTAAACACTGGAATTGAAATATAGGAATATATATATATATATATTTTTAAAATCTTCTTTTCCTTTTGTTTTGATAATAAAATGCAGTTAGTTCAGGAAATCAGCACAAAGCCTGATAGTACTTTACTGAAATGACTGCATTCTGTGTATTCCCTCATTCTGTGGTTTAAGCTATTAAGGATTCATTTTGTTGAGTCCTTATGAGAAACAATAGTATGAATCCTGACATTTTCTATGCATGCTCATGGCAGAGCTCTCTGGCTTGGGTGTATGCTGCCAGGCTGGGCACTTTTATACTTTGTTTTCAAGTTTTGCTTTTAAAGGTAAGACTTGCCCCAGCACCTATTTTCCCCCATACATTTTACATTGTACCTTAGGACTCAGTCACCTCCACTTAAAATTGATGACACAAGCCGCATACAACCATTTTTTGTCTTTATTTTTTGCGTAACTTTCTAAGGAGTCTCTGTTAAAGCCAGTTCTGTGGTTGTCCCAGTGAATGGTGGCTCTTTTCATTTCCACACTGGCGCATCCACTTTCTCCACTCTTGGAATGTAGGAAGTATGCATTCATGTAATTGGAAAAATCTGGATTTCTGAAGCCAGAAGGTTAAAGCCTGTTAAACTTCATTGCAGTGATATACAGCCGCTATTTTATTTTTGATCCGTGGCCTTCGGGCCACTGTTTAACCAGGGCACTGAACATCAGTGTCAGCACTAGGGTTTTTGTTTTTGTTTCTCTTGGGTCTTTCTTTTTTGGCATATGTGAATTTTGTTTTGTGTAAAACGAAATGACTTTCTCTTGCTCTCTGATAATGAGTTTAAAATTAAAGGAGCATCTGGTTTTGATGTGGGGATGATCCAGGATTATGTTGTGACTGATGTATATTAGTTATTTGTACATTTCTGGAGATCTTTGCAAGGGGAAAACTACAAGTAATGAGTTTTATATAAGTAATTTAAATTTGTTACAGGTTTTCAGGTTTAGGATAAGCAACCTTGGGTGAGAACACCTATGACACTTTGTTGATGAGGTGATTGTTTCACCTTAGGACAACTGTTGCATGCCAATTGTGTGTGTGTGTGTGTGTGTGTGTGTATGTGTGTGTGAAAACACTTCAAAATTGATTTAAAAGATGTAAATTTTAAATTGGTCAAGTATCTAATATGCCCCAGATTTAGTAAATAAACAATAAACAATTTTTTTTAAAAAAACGACGCAAAACAAAATAAAACAAAAACAAACAAACTGCGAGGTAGAATTTAATGGGAAGAGCAAAGAGGGTAGTAGAAAATTTCAATCTGGCTGGAATACAAACGTCTGTTTTTATCTCATTTTACCTGCAAAAACTTGAAGGAAAGGCTTAAATGGTAAACTGAAGAATTTAGTTTTGACCTGTCTGAAAGGGTGGGTATTGAGGGTCAGAAGTATTGTTAACAGAAAGATTAATGAGCATTAAAAGAAAGGAGTTAATGTGGATCTGCCAGAAATGAAGTAACCAGACTAGTTTTCCTTTTGACAGGGTTATTGGAGTAGAAGATAAAGTTGAGTTTGAGAAATAGTGTATTTCAGCAATGTGTATGTATCTCATGGTATTTTTGTGGTCAACACTGAGAAATGTGACATAGTTGATAGCACAACCACGAATTTAGAGCTGGTAGAAGAATTTTTACATTATGTCCTGCATTTTAAAGTTTTGCCACAATGTTTAAGCTCTGTTATGAAAATCAAAATAGGCATTTTCCTTCCTATTTGGTTATGGACATACTATGCTCCTTTTATTTTATTTATTTATTTTTGAGACGGAGTCTCGCCCTGTCGCCCAGGCTGGAGTGCGGTGGCGTGATCTCGGCTCACTGCAAGCTCTGCCTCCCGGGTTCACGCCATTCTCCTGCCTCAGCCTCCCGATTAGCTGGGACCGCAGGCACCCGCCACCATGCCCAGCTAATTTTTTGTATTTTTTAGTAGAGATGGGGTTTCACCATGTTAGCCAGGATGGTCTCTATCTCCTGACCTTGTGATCCGCCCGCCTCGGCCTCCGAAAGTGCTGGGATCACAGGCGTGAGCCACAGTGCCCAGCCTATGCTCCTTTTAAATTACTGTTCAATGAAGCAAATGATTTTATCCAAGTTTTAATTGATAAAATACATTTGGATAATATTTTAGTAATAGGACAAATGCTCTTTGATCTTTTGGATGAACTTTACTTTATAGAGTCACATAGTAAGTTATCTTTGCTTTCCTATAATGGGGCTCCTGCGTCATTAACATTGTATACTGATATAGTTTTCTGACCATACAAACTCTACCACAGCATCACAGTGGAGTCACTATCTGCTTCTATTGCTGTTAGCTGGATTAGTCTTATCATAATTATGTCTTTGCCATAGCTGCTCTGGCTTCCCTATCTCTTTCTTGTTTATCTCAGTTAAAATATATAAAAGTGTATTAACATTTCGATACACTGAATTCTCTGGAGCGTTGTGCCCTATATTAAATTTTAGTTTCCTAACTATAGAGAAAGAGTGGAGGGACTTGGAACATTTCTGATACTGAGCTTTTATTATATTGTGAGCTTTTATTACATTCTGAGCTTTAAGGATCCGTCTTTCTCGGTATGGGTAGAAGTGGGCAAACTGAAAGGGAAATTGTTTTCTGCATTCTCTATAATGGTTTTTATTTAAGAATGATAAAGCAATACTCACTAAGCCCAGATCAGTTCCACAACAGACAGTACTGAAAATCCCAGTGGAAATGCAGTGATGTTTCTGTATTGGGAGGAAATAAACTTCAAAATGTTATTTGGTGTATAAAGTTATTATAAATATATTGAAGACAGCATTGCCTAGTGTAAAAAGACTCAACTTGGAGTTAGGTTAGCCATGCTTAACCCTTATGTGTCTATTTGCTTCTATTCTGAAACCATATAGAGACACTATTAGGAGGACAAACATAGACTACAGGGTTCAAGGTCTCACTCTACCTCTTAAGCAGGTCAATTAGCACTTTACACATCCTTTTCCTCTTATATAAAATGGGAATAATAATAGTACTTACTTCATATGCCTTGGTTTAAATAAATTAGTTGTCATCTTTTAGGTACCTAGAGAGCTATATAATGTAAGACTCAATACATGTCAGCTATTATTATTGTATTTATCATTAAGGACACAGCTAGTATAGGGAAAGAGAATTAAACTTGACTGACTTTTCTGCCATAAAGTTATTTGAATTTGGGAACATCAACTGCTTATCTCGTCTACATTTTCTCCACTGAAAACTGACCAGACTCAGCCCACTACCCATCTGGGAAAACACTCCCAAGATCAAGTTGCTCTATAGTTTTAGTCTTTTCAAAGTTATTTTTTACTTGAATTTTGCCCTATAGACAAACACACGAAGGGTAGTTTTGAAAATTGATGCCATCTATTATATTATTGTTTAATGATTCCTAATTTTCAGATTGGAAGTAATTGACTTCATATCTCGATTTCTAATCTGGTTCTAATTGACTTATTCCATCAATCATCTAGTCACTAATACAATTTTTGGAGTGTTGACAAAACCCTTTCAGCGATCAAATAAATCTTGATTGATATCTTGAGTGATAAGATTTCCTACCCTTTGTTGAGTTAGAAGGGGAGACCAATCCTTTGTTGTCAGCAACTTGATCAGAACTGGGAATGTCATCTACCAGTGCTAGATTTTGGCTTGTTTATTTTTGTATATTTCGCATACGTGCTTAGCTACTGTTTGTTAGAATTTGCTATCCGACATTACTTGACCTCCACTTTCCAGTGCCATTCCTTCCCTCAATTTTTTTAAATCGGTTTTCCTGCTTGTTCTATGACCTAAGGAAAATTTTTTTACATCAGTGAGCCTTAATATCATCATCTGTAAAATGAAGATAATGATTCTACCTATCTCGTGGTGTTGGCAGGAAGATCATGTAAGTTAAAGCATGTGTAGTGCTTAAAAGTTAATGAATGTTAAATGCAAGTGTAGTGTCTGGCACATACTAAGTACAAAATATCTGCTAGTTACTATTATTATTAGCAGCAGTAGCACCAGTGGTAATAATGGTGGTACTGCTTCCTGATATAGCAAAATACTGAGCATATTCTGAAAATAGAAAAAAAGAACACCAATTGCAAAAGTTTTTATAAAGGCTTTCAGGCAGTTTGTCACATACATAGGTTCTGTGTTTTGGTACCTGTTACCTTAATTTGTATAGACAAAAATTACCTGAAACTATGTCTTGGAGTGATGCAAAAGATGCCATAGACAACTGGATATCCACACACAAAAGAATAAAGTTGGACCCCCTACCTCACACTGTATACAAAAATTACCTTAAAGTATCAAAGTCCTAAATGGAAAAGCTAAAACTATAACATTATTAGACAAAACCATAGGGATAAATCTTCATGACCTTGTGTTAGGCAATGGTTTCTTAGCTACGGTGCCAAAAGCACAGTAATGCAAGAAAAAAATGGATAAATTGGACATCCTAAAAATTAAAACTTTTATGCTTTAAAGGACATGATTGAAATAATAAAACTAACCCACAAAATGGAAGAAGTGTTTTGCAAATCATATATCTGATAAGAAACTTGGAGATAGAATATGAATATAAAAAGAATTCTTACAAATCAATAATAAAAAGACAAATAGCCCAGTTAAAATGGGGCAAATAGGTCTGAATAGACATTTCTCCAAAGAAGATATGCAAATGGCTAATAAGCCCATGAAAAGATGCTCAACATCATTAGCCATCAGGGAAGTGCAAATCAAAACCATTACGAGATACCACATCACACCCACTAAGACGGTTATTAGCAAAAAGACAGATAAGTTTGGGCGCGTTGGCTCATGCCTGTAATCCCAGCACTTTGGGAGGCTGAGGCGGGAAGATCACTTGAGGCCAGGAGTTTGAGACCAGCCTGGCCAACATGGTGAAACCCCATCTCAACTAAAATGACAAAAATTAGCCAGGCATGGTGGGGCGTGCCTGTAATCCCAGCTACTCATGAGGCTAAGGCAGCAGAACTGCTTGAACCTGGGAGGTGGTGGTTGCAGTGAGTCAAGATTGCATCACTGCACTCCAGCCTGGGTGACAGGCTGTCTCAAAAAAAAAAAAAACAAAAAAAAAAAACAGACAGTTAATAGTAACTATTAGCAAGGATGTGGAGAAATTAGAACTCTGTTACACTGCCATTGGTAAGTAAATGGTGCAGCTACTTTGGAAAACAGTTTGAAAATGTCCTAAAAGTTAAACATATGTATGACCCAGAAATTCCACACTTAGGTAGCTATTCAAGGGGAATGAAATCATATGTGCATAAAAAAATTGTATGCAAATGTTCATAGTAGCACTATTCATAGTAGCCAAAAAGTAGAAACAATACAAAGTTCCATTTACTGATGAATGGATAAATGAAATGTGGTATATCCATGCAATGAAATATTATTCAGCAATAAAAATAAATGTAGTGCTGATACATGTTACATCATGGAGGAACCTTGAAAACATTTTGGTAAGTGAAAGAAGCCACTCACAAAAGACCACATATCATATGACCAATTGTGAAGTGTCAAAAATAGGTAAATCCATAGCGGCAGAAACTCTAGTGGTTGCCTAGCTGGGTGGTTGGGAGAAAATGGGTAGTGACTGTAAATGGATATAGGGTTTCTTTGTGGGGTGATGAAAATGTCCTAAAATTGATTGTGGTCGTGGTTGCACGACTCTATGAATATAAATCTTGAATTGTACACATTAGATTGATTAACAGTATGATATGTGAATTATATCTCTAAAAAGCTGTTATAAAAACAAAAAAGAGATGCCACAGGGCTTGTTTTCTATGAAAGAAGCTTGAAATATGCTAGAATTAATGCTTTGCTCGCTGCTACCACATAAATTCTGTGAGGACTTGGAGTTTAAGTCTTTGCTGTATCTAGAAATAGAGGCACACAAATAGAATGCTGAATGAGTCCCTGCATTGGTGGTCCCCAAGACCACTTGCAAGGTTCTGTAAATCTCTAGGAGGACTCCTAGGACTCAGCATTGTTATCTTCTGGTTCTGATTTGCTACAGTGAAAGAACACAAAGTAAAATCAACATAGGGAAAAGGTGCATGGTGTGCAGTCTGGAGAAATCAGGAGTAAGCGTCCAAGAGTCCTCTTCCAATGCAGTCACACAGGATGCTCTTAGTTCCTTAAGCAACAAGCTGCGACAACAAGTTTGAAGTGTTGCCTACTAGGGCACTCATTAGAGACTCAGTGCCCAAGGCTACTGCTGGGAGCTGATCTGCCTAGCACATACCCAAATTCCAGACTCCCAGAAGGAAAGCAGGTGTTCAGCATAAACCACACTGTTTGTACAAACAGGTGAGGCATAGTGGCCACTCTATAATTTAGGAAAAATGTCATATTAGTGTAGGGAACTGTTTACCAGCTCCAATTCCCAGCTGCTAACCAAAGGCCAACATTGCAAACAGGCCTTCTAAGGATAGGCCTTCTCGAGCCTGCTCTGTGTTAACTCTTTTCTGCACAATGAATAGAAGACTGCCAGGTTCCAAATTTCTGTATTATATGCAACAAGCCTATATGTGCAAAAGGTGTTAGGAGGAGGATTCAGCATGCCGTGGGAAGAGTGCTGCCTTGCACACAGCTGGCAATACAATCCATGCTCATCTCTGAGGAAGAAGAGTCTAGAGGGGAGTCTGCCCTCTGGATTTTCCTCCCGATGCCCAGAAACAAGTGAATTAAGACTTAAAGTAGGCCAGGAACGGTGGTTCATGCCTGTAATCCCAGCACTTTGGGAGGCCGAGGCGGGCAAATCACTTGAGGTCAGGAGTTCGAGACCAGCGCCAATGTGGTGAAACCCAGTCTCTACTAAAACTACAAAAAATTCGCTGGATGTGGCGGCTCCTGCCTGTAATCTCAGTTACTTGGGAGGCTGAGGCAGGAGAATCATTTGAATCCTGGAAGCAGAGGTGGCAATGAGCCGAGATCGCGCCACTGCATTCCACTGCATTCCAGCCTGGTCAACAGAGCAAGACTCCATCTAAAAAAAAAAAAAAAAAAAAAAAAGATTTAAGGTAACAGTTTTCAACCAGTATGATTTTTCCCCCAAGAGGACATACGGCCATGTCTGAAGACATTTTGTTGTCACAACTGGGGGTGGGGGATGCTACTAGCATCTACAAGGTGGAGACTAGGGATGTTTCTAAACATCCTACAGTGCACAGGATAGCACTTCACAGCAAAGAATGACCTAGGCCAAAGTGTCTACAGTGCCAAGGTTGAGAAATCCTGCCTTAGAGAATATTTATAGTGCAGCTTAAGACAGTTATCTAGTGAATCTTCAAGGAGGAGTGAGACAAATAAGGTAATCAGGCAATAACTACCTCACCTTTTATGCCTGCCCCAACTCCTGCTCTCTTTTCTTATTACTTGAAGTCTATAACCTGAAAATGAGAAATTCTCCATGCATTCTGCAATATAAATGGGCTACTAGTAAAGGATGCTGTAAGCAGAATGAAGAAGGCCCCCTCTTCTTTGAATATAATTGCCCTGATTTTAGGGTTTCAGTTCTGTCGCTCAGATGGGTGGCTCAGTCATTGACTCTGGAGGAATGTGCAAGGATAGAAATATCAGCCTTCATATTTTCATCACTGAATTCCTAATAGCTGAGAGTTATTCCTGACCATATCATCTCTGAGCCTTTCGTATTTACCACTGCTGTTTATAGCCTCATTTCCTTCCTTCTCTTTTCATAATATCTTTTGAAGTGGAAGCTAATGTGAATTTTGGTGCTCTCCAGCTCCTAACTGGTATGTCTAACACCATCAGATTGAATTAATTTGAACTATTAAGCATGAAGTACATATTACCATGGAGCTGATTCCAGATGTACTATTGTTAGTTTAATTGTTATGGCTAATCATTGATTGTGGTTTTTCTGGGTGCTTGAAATAATAATAATAATAATACTCTTTTTTATAGTGCCTTTCATTTGTGGATCTTGAAAAGCCTGTGTCCTGGAACCACTTATTGTAAAATTGTCATTATCTGTGTATTCTCATTTGGCTGAAGTTCGGGGAGGACTATGCCAGTGTATGATTTTAAAAGCCAAGAAAAATTTATATTCATGAATCATGCTTTTTTGTTGTTGTTGCAATTTACCACCTTGGAGGAACAGGGGGAGGGGGAATTTAGCCCACTGGGATATTATTTCCAGAGAGCAATTCTGTTCCTTTTATAACAATTCTGAGGCCTTTGTGTTGGCTTGGTATCAGCTCTGACTTGGTAGGTTATAATTGTAAATGGTTCTCAAATTGTATGAGGCCTGCATTCTATGTTGTTTTTCAAACCAAGGCAGTGTATGTGTGTGTGTGTGAAACCCTTAAAAGAGATAAAGCTTCTTTGGCAATATCACATTTTGAAAAGTTCAAAATGAGTGAGACATACAGTACAAATATGTGTGTTCTTAATCATGTTTTTACATAGCAGAAGGTTGGTTATTTGGAAGAGGAGGCCTTTGAAGTACAGTGTGGTCTCTTGACACTCCAAATACTTGAGTAGTGAAGAAGACAGAAGGTAAGGGCAAATGCTTCCCGGCTCACCTATTTCTTGGTGCCTGATGGAACACTCAGGAGTTCTCACCTTTTTTTTTAGCAGTAGGAATTAATTGCTCCCACAAAGCAATTGCTTCAACAAAACAATTATGACAGATTTATAATGGAATCCTGATGAATTTTGTTAAGTCATCACTTAACCCAAAGGACCAGAGTCATCTTCACGTGTTACCATACTTCCTCCCAACAGTAGTTCAGGCAACTTGGATTTTCCCAGAAAGGTTTTCTTCTGGCTTGGGTAATAGATGGAGAGTTTCCACCATCTGGCTGCTGTCAAGGAGCCAGGGGAAATGAATTGCTAGATTTTTACTACATGTATTCATATTACTGCCCCTTTCTGTGGGCCACAGACTCATGCCATGATTAATGAGGACTCTTCTTGACGCCCAGTATGCTATTCTCTGGAAGGCTGGGAGACCACAGTGAGACAACGAGTAAAGCAGTCACACTTTGGCTGTACGTTAGAATCTCCTGTAGAGTTTTAAAATCCTCAGGTGCATGGGTCCCACCACCTAGAGATTCTGACTTAATTGGTCTGCAGCAGAGCCTGGACATTGAGAAGTGTAACATTTCCCAGGTGATTCTAATTGTTAGCCCCTGTTAAGTACTGCTTGGGGTCTAGTTTTTAGCAAGACTAATATTCAAAATATATTACCATTGGTACTGCATTAAGTAAGCTCTTGCTCTCTACCAGGCACTGTGCTAAATGATTTACAGGTTTCAATCCATTTGATTGTCACAATAACCATATGAATGAACATTCATTAATTCCTTCATTTATTCAACAAATATTTATGGGGCACAGGCAACAGGTCAGGCAGTGTGTTTGGCTGCTGGGTAGGAGGTTCAGGGAAAGCTTTCAGGGGAGATGACATTTGAGCTGACATCTAAAGATTGAGAAGGAGTTAACCAGGTAAAGAGTTGAGGGGAAGGCACTGATGACCAGGAGGATGGTTTTGCAAATATTCTGTATCGGGAAGGAGGATGGCTAGTTCAAGGAGTGGAAAAAAGAATTTACCAGTGCTTCTGGAGCAGAGGAAACCAGGTGGAGCATCATGCAAGATAAGATATAGAGGTGGGAAGCGACCCCCTCAACAGAGGTTGTAGTTCTGTGAAAGGCTTTTGGCCTTTATTTTGAGAGCTCATGGAAGCTCTGATCACATTTGCTTTTCCTGGGAGATCTCTCTGGTTGCAGTAAGTGAAACAGAATAGAAGGAAGCAAGAGGAGATGCATTGTAATGAGTTGAGTGGCCATTGCAGGAGATCTGGAGAGAAATGAGAACAGCTTGGACTAAGGTAATGAAGGGAAAGAGACAGGTAAGGATATTTGCGTGGACCTTAGGACTTGAGGATGGATTCAAAGGAGTAGACGATGAATGCCATCTCCAAGTTTACTATTATTACCTCCAATTTGCAGAGGAGCTGGTCAAAGCGTATGAGAATTTGTGTAGTTCTTCTCAAACTACAGTGTGAGGCTCTTGTTGAAATGTAGATTCTGATTCAGTAGGTTTTCAATGGAGCCTGAATTTCTGCCCTTCTAGGAAGCCCCAAATGCTGCTGACGCTGCCAGTTCATGGACCATACTTTGATAATCTAGGGCTTAGAGAAGAGAAATAACTTCAGATGTAGTAGAGTGGAGCCTGCATGTGAACCTTGTCTGTCTCCCTACAAAGACCATGATCTTAATCATAAACTCTACAGCTCCTGAAAGATGGAGAGTTATACAGCAGGCTAAGAAATTTGCATTTACCTGTAGGTGATTGGCAGTCATTGAGAATGTGCAAACAGACAGAGGTCCGATAAGAAAGTTTATGGTATGGTTTTGGGATATTTCCTATAAGTTATTTTTAGCATAGATTTTTAAGGTCAAATTGGAGTGTAGTTAAAAGGAAAAAAATAGCAGGCCTCCAAACTTTGTAAGTAATAGAGATGGTTTATTAGATCATCTACCCTGTAATGAGGGTAATAATTTGTTCTTATTTAGTGTTTCTTGCCCAACCATCCCAAGGCACTTTACTAATAAGCATCATCTTTCTTTCAGAGCTAAGGCCAATGGAGAGAGGCTAAGGGACTTGATATAGTGGGGCTGGCTGTTGGGCATGCCTTCACCATTTCTGTGGCATCTAGATTGTTCTACCACAGTTCAGGTATATGCCTGAGCATTTGCCTTAATTGTTTGACCTGTCTGTATCAATATTTCCCTGGGTGTGTCCCAGAGAACTCTAGCCCAGTCAGAAGCTAAATAAAAAAGCATCAAAGTATCAAAAGTTTGAAAAATGCTGCATGCTTTTTTCTTCTTGGAGAGGTGTAATGCACATTAGTACAGAAGGGCTCTGAGAAGTTCCACAGTCAAAAAAATTTGTTTAATTCTATATAACTCATGAGTTTTCAAATTAATTGGACCTTAGAATGACCAACTTTTCTCTCTCTCCCAACTCTTAACATTCCATTAAAGAGTTGTTCTGTCTGATAGAGTTTATGAAATGCTATTCTGTAATCATACATAACTATAATCTTTGAATGTATCAATATCAGTTGCCTGGGGCTGTGTTCTTTTCATGAGTGACTGGCAGATTTGGCATTTTCGCATCTAGAAGAACATTATAACCTAGTTTTTACTTTGCCTTTCCTTAAGCCCAGTGCCCTTACAATTGTTAAAATACATGTCTCTACTTCATTGGTTAGCTGGAAGGAAAATCACTGATTTATCTACATGTTTTCCTGTTGTCTGGAAGGGGTGAGTTGTGCTTTTGTTTCTTTGTTTCCATGTGTTTAATTCCATTTTGGCAGCCATAGAATGTTCCTGCCCACTCTGTTTCATGTGAAAGATCCCAGGAATAGGATCATTACGAGACATGACATTTACATTGAGTCATTTTTTTATGTTAAGTGCATAACATGAAACTTCGAATGGTTTTTAAAAATCTGAGTCAGTTTGGTAATTTGACAGTAAACTAAGTTTGTCTTTTCTCTTGAAGAATCTTGCATAAGATAAAACCTTTTAAAAAATCAGACTATGTTTAGTAAGCATTCATATAAAACCATGAAAATATGGCTAAATAAATTTCAAGATGTTGGTGAAATAACATACAAGGTTGAGATCCAATACCATACTGACAGAATGAAAACAAATATAACAACAGAAAACTATGGAAAGTTGCATTTTAAAAAACATTGGCTATTTTAAACAACAAATTTATAGCTGTTGAATAGACTCTGTCCAAATGATGCCTGAGTATCCTAAGCCGTGTGTGTGTTGTCTTCAGCTTTTGTTGAGTTGATTTCTTGTAGACAGCTATACCATTTTTAGTCTAGAAAAATGGCTGTCACATTTTGGTAGGTGGCAGAGTTGGCTAAGTAGTTCCTTGAAAATACAGATGCTCAGGTTTCTAATTAGGTAGTTCAAGCATGGCACAAAGAAATTTGTGTTTTCAACCCCAAGACAGGTAATTCTGATGCACATAAAGTTGAAGAACAACTGCTCTAGAACACTTAAAGTTCTACTATAACCAAGATTCACATATGCAATTTCTTTAAAAGGCAAACTTCAAGCTCAAATCTT
This sequence comes from Homo sapiens, assembly GCF_000001405.40. Classification (NCBI taxonomy): domain Eukaryota; kingdom Metazoa; phylum Chordata; class Mammalia; order Primates; family Hominidae; genus Homo; species Homo sapiens. The sequence continues at coordinate 60,717,598 of NC_000003.12, read as the reverse complement.
CGCTAACTGTATACCTTTGTGCAAGGTGTGCAGTGTACAACCTGCGCTGCTGCTCGGGTAGCCCTGCCTCCTCCTCAGATACTCTGTTTGAGTAGGCCCATGATGGGTTTCAGGAATATGCATTTTCACCCCACCTTTATTAAGGTATAGTTGACAAATAAAACTTGTGTATATTTACAGGGTAAAAAGTGATGTTTTGATATATGTATACATTGCTAAATGATGAAATCAAGCTAATTAACATATCCATCATCTCATAAATTTTTGTGGTGAGAGTAGATCTTAAATGCTACTCTCTTAGCAATTTAAGATCTAACCTCTTACCAATTTTCAAGTATAAATTATTATTAACTATAGTTATTATGCTGTATAATAGATCTCCAAAACTTACTTATCTTGCTTAACTCAAACTTTGTACCCTTTGACCAACACCTCCCCATTTTTTTCCTCTCCCACACCACAGCCCCTGGCAACCAACCTTCTACTACCTGCTTCTATGAATTTAACTTTTTTAGATTCTACATATAAGTGAGATCATGCAGTATTTGTCTTTCTATGTTTGGCTTATTTAACTTAGCATAACATTCCCCAGGTTCATTCGTGTTGCAGATGGCAAGATTTCCTTCTTTCTAAATGCTGAATAGTATTCCATTGTATATACAGTCATGTGCCACTTAACAATGGTCTGGTCAATGACAGACTGCAGATATGAGGGTGGTCCCTTAAGATTATAATGGAGCTAAAAAGTTCCTATTGCCTAGTGACATTGTAGTGTGCTAATATCATAGCGTCACGAATTACTCACGTGCTTGTGGTGATGCTGGTGTAAACAAATCTACTGTGCTGCCAGCTGTATAGCACATACAATTACATACAGTACATAATACTTGATAATGATAACAAATGACTGTTACTGGTTTATGAACTATCTACTGTGCTTTTTATCATTATTTTAGCATGTACTTCTACTTATTAAAGAACAGTTAACTATAAAACAGTCTCAGGCAAGAACTCCAGGAGGTATTCAGAAGAAGGCATTGTTTTCATTGGAGGTAAGAACTTCATGCCTGTTACTGCCCCTGAAGACCTGCCAGTTGGATGAGATGTGGAGGTGGGAGGCAGTGATATTGATGATACCATCCGGGTGTAGGCTTAACCTAATGTTTGTGTTTTTCTTAGTTTTTAACAAAAAAAAGTTTAAAAAAATAATACAAATATTTAAAAATATAAAAAAGCTTATAGAAAAAGGATATAAAGAAAGAAAATATTTTTGTGCAGCTGTACGATGTGTTTGTGTTTTAAACTAAGGGTTTTTTGCATGTGTGTGTGTGTGAGTGTGTGTGTGTAAGTTTTATTGAGACAGTCTTACTCTGTTGCCCAGGCTGGAGTGTAGCGGTGTGATCTCAGCTAAACTGCAAACTCTGCCTCCTGGGTTCAAGTGATTCTCCTGCCTCAGCCTCCCGAGTAGCTGGGATTACAGGCATGCACCACCACACCTGGCTAATTTGTTTGTATTTTTAGTAAAGACAGGGTTTTGCAATGTTGGTCTCGAACTCCTGACCTCAGGTGATCCGCCTGCCTTGGCCTCCCGAAGTGCTGGGATTACAGGCATGAGCCACCGTGCTCAGCCAAGGCCACATTTTGAATCTAGAACCACAATGCTCAAAGGGTGCTTCACAGACTCCTGGTGATCCCTGAGATCCTTCCAGGGAGTCTGCAAGGTCGAAACTATATTACTGTAATACTAAGTTGCTCTTTTTCTTTTTCACTATGTTAATATTTTCATTAATGATGCAAATGTAATGTTTTGTTTTGTTTTTTATTATTATTATACTTTAAGTTTTAGGGTACATGAGCACAATGTGCAGGTTAGTTACATATGTATACATGTGCCATGCTGGTGTGCTGCACCCATTAACTCATCATTTAGCATTAGGTATATCTCCTAAGGCTACCCCTCCCCCCTCCCCCCACCCCACAACAGTCCCCAGAGTGTGATGTTCCCCTTCCTGCGTCCATGTGTTCTCATTGTTCAATTCCCATCTATGAGTGAGAACACGTGGTGTTTGGTTTTTTGTCCTTGTGATAGTTTACTGAGAATGATGATTTCCAATTTCATCCATGTCCCTACAAAGGACATGAACTCATCATTTTTTTACGGCTGCATGGTATTCCATGGTGTATATGTGCCACAATTTCTTAATCCAGTCTATCATTGTTGGACATTTTGGTTGGTTCCAAGTCTTTGCTATTGCGAATAGTGCCTCATATGGTATGGTTTTAGGTCTAATGTTTAAGTCTTTAATCCATCTTGAATTGATTTTTGTATAAGGTGTAAGAAAGGGATCCAGTTTCAGCTTTCTACCTATGGCTAGCCAGTTTTCCCAGCACCATTTATTAAATAGGGAATCCTTTCCCCATTGCTTGTTTTTGTCAGGTTTGTCAAAGATCAGATAGTTGTAGATATGCGGCATTATTTCTGAGGGCTCTGTTCTGTTCCATTGATCTATATCTCTGTTTTGGTACCAGTACCATGCTGTTTTGGTTACTGTAGCCTTGTAGTATAGTTTGAAGTCAGGTAGCATGATGCCTCCAACTTTGTTCTTTTGGCTTAGGATTGACTTGGCGATGCGGGCTCTTTTTTGGTTCCATATGAACTTTAAAGTAGTTTTTTCCAATTCCGTGAAGAAAGACATTGGTAGCTTGATGGGGATGACATTGAATCTATAAATTACCTTGGGCAGTATGGCCATTTTCATGCTATTGATTCTTCCTACTCATGAGCATGGAATGTTCTTCCATTTGTTTGTATCCTCTTTTATTTCATTGAGCAGTGGTTTGTAGTTCTCCTTGAAGAGGTCCTTCACGTCCCTTGTAAGTTGGATTCCTAGGTATTTTCTTCTCTTTGAAGCAGTTGTGAATGGGAGTTCACTCATGATTTGGCTCTCTGTTTGTCTGTCATTGGTGTATAAGAATGCTTGTGATTTTTGTACATTGATTTTGTATCCTGAGACTTTGCTGAAGTTGCTTATCAGCTTAAGGAGATTTTGGGCTGAGGCAATGGGGTTTTCTAGATATACAATCATGTCATCTGCAAACAGGAACAATTTGACTTCCTCTTTTCCTAATTGAATACCCTTTATTTCCTCCTCCTGCCTAATTGCCCTGGCCAGAACTTCCAACACTATGTTGAATAGGAGTGGTGAGAGAGGGCATCCCTGTCTTGTGCCAGTTTTCAAAGGGAATGCTTCCGGTTTTTGCCCATTCAGTATGATATTTGCTGTGGGTTTGTCATAGATAGCTCTTATTATTTTGAGATATGTCCCATCAATACCTGATTTATTGAGAGTTTTTAGCATGAAGGGTTGTTGAATTTTGTCAAAGGCCTTTTCTGCATCTATTGAGATAATCGTATGGTTTTTGTCTTTGGTTCTGTTTATATGCTGGATTACATTTATTGATTTGCGTATATTGAACCAGCCTTGCATCCCAGGGATGAAGCCCACCTGCTCATGGTGGATAAGCTTTTTGTTGTGCTGCTGGATTCAGTTTGCCAGTATTTTATTGAGGATTTTTGCATCAATGTTCATCAAGGATATTGGTCTAAAATTCTCTTTTTTGGTTGTGTCTCTGCCAGGCTTTGGTATCAGGATGATGCTGGCCTCATAAAATGAGTTAGGGAGGATTCCCTCTTTTTCTATTGATTGGAATAGTTTCAGAAGGAATGGTACCAGTTCCTCCTTGTACCTCTGGTAGAATTCGGCTGTGAATCCATCTGGTCCTGGACTCTTTTTGGTTGGTAAGCTATTGATTATTGCCACAATTTCAGATCCTGTTATTGGTCTATTCAGAGATTCAACTTCTTCCTCGTTTCGTTTAGTCTTGGGAGAGTGTATGTGTCGAGGAATTTATCCATTTCTTCTAGATTTTCTAGTTTATTTGCATAGAGGTGTTTATAGTATTCTCTGATGGTAGTTTGTATTTCTGTGGGATCAGTGATGATATCCCCTTTATCATTTTTTATTGTGTCTATTTGATTCTTCTCTCTTTTTTTCTTTATTAGTCTTGCTAGCGGTCTATCAATTTTGTTGATCCTTTCAAAAAACCAGCTCCTGGATTCATTAATTTTTTGAAGGGTTTTTTGTGTCTCTATTTCCTTCAGTTCTGCTCTGATTTTAGTTATTTCTTGCCTTCTGCTAGCTTTTGAATGTGTTTGCTCTTGCTTTTCTAGTTCTTTTAACTGTGATGTTAGGGTGTCAATTTTGGATCTTTCCTGCTTTCTCTTGTGGGCATTTAGTGCTATAAATTTCCCTCTACACACTGCTTTGAATGTGTCCCAGAGATTCTGGTATGTTGTGTCTTTGTTCTCGTTGGTTTCAAAGAACATCTTTATTTCTGCCTTCATTTCATTATGTACCCAGTAGTCATTCAGGAACAGGTTGTTCAGTTTCCATGTAGTTGAGCGGTTTTGAGTGAGTTTCTTAATCCTGAGTTCTACTTTGATTGCACTGTGGTCTGAGAGACAGTTTGTTATAATTTCTCTTCTTTTACGTTTGTTGAGGAGAGCTTTACTTCCAACTATGTGGTCAATTTTAGAACAGGTGTGGTGTGGTGCTGAAAAGAATGTATATTCTGTTGATTTGAGTTGGAGAGTTCTGTAGATGTCTATTAGGTCCGCTTGCTGCAGAGCTGAGTTCAATTCCTGGGTATCCTTGTTAACTTTCTGTCTCGTTGATCTGTCTAATGTTGACAGTGGGGTGTTAAAGTCTCCCATTATTATTGTGTGGGAGTCTAAGTCTCTTTGTAGGTCGCTCAGGACTTGCTTTATGAATCTGGGTGCTCCTGTATTGGGTGCATATATATTTAGGATAGTTAGCTCTTCTTGTTGAATTGATCCCTTTACCATTATGTAATGGGCTTCTTTGTCTCTTTTGATCTTTGTTGGTTTAAAGTCTGTTTTATCAGAGAGTAGGATTGCAACCCTTGCCTTTTTTTGTTTTCCATTTGCTTGGTAGATCTTCCTCCATCCCTTTATTTTGAGCCTATGTGTGTCTCTGTATGTGAGATGGGTTTCCTGAATACAGCACACTGATGGGTCTTGACTCTTTATCCAGTTTGCCAGTCTGTGTCTTTTAATTGGATAATTTAGTCCATTTACATTTATAGTTAATATTGTTATGTGTGAATTTGATCCTGTCATTATGATGTTAGCTGGTTATTTTGCTTGTTAGTTGATGCAATTTCTTCCTAGTTTCGATGGTCTTTACATTTTGGCATGATTTTGCAGCGGCTGGTACCGGTTGTTCCTTTCCATGTTCAGTGCTTCCTTCAGGAGCTCTTTTAGGGCAGCCTGGTGGTGACAAAATCTCTCAGCATTTGCTTGTCTGTAAAGGATTTTATTTCTCCTTCACTTATGAAGCTTAGTTTGTTTGGCTGGATATGAAATTCTGGGTTGAAAATTCTTTTCTTTAAGAATGTTGAATATTGGCCCCCAGTCTCTTCTGGCTTGTAGTATTTCTGCCGAGAGATCAGCTGTTAGTCTGATGGGCTTCCCTTTGTGGGTAACCCGACCTTTCTGTCTGGCTGCCCTTAACATTTTTTCCTTCATTTCAACTTTGGTGAATCTGACAATTATGTGTCTTGGAGTTGCTCTTCTTGAGGAGTATCTTTGTGGCGTTCTCTGTATTTCCTGAATCTGAATGTTGGCCTGCCTTGCTAGATTGTGGAAGTTCTCCTGGATAATATCCTGCAGAGTGTTTTCCAACTTGGTTCCATTCTCCCCGTCACCTTCAGGTACACCAAACATGCAGATTTGGTCTTTTCACATAGTCCCATATTTCTTGGAGGCTTTGTTCATTTCTTTTTATTCTTCTTTCTCTAAACTTCCCTTCTCACTTCATTTCATTCATTTCATCTTCCATCACTGACACCCTTTCTTCCAGTTGATCACATTGGCTCCTGAGGCCTCTGCATTCTTCACGTAGTTCTCGAGCCTTGGCTTTGAACTCCATCAGCTCCTTTAAGCACTTCTCTGTATTGGTTATTCTAGTTATACATTTGTCTAAATTTTTTTCAAAGTTTTCAACTTCTTTGCCTTTGGTTTGAATTTCCTCCTGTAGCTCGGAGTGGTTGGATCATATGAAGACTTCTTCTCTCAACTTGTCAAAGTCATTCTCTGTCCAGCTTTGTTCCATTGCTGGTGAGGAGCTGCGTTCCTTTGGAGGAGGAGAGGCGCTCTGCTTTTTAGAGTTTCCAGTTTTTTTGCTCTTGTTTTTTCCCCATCTTTGTGGTTTTATCTACTTTTGGTCTTTGATGATGGTGATGTACAGATGGGTTTTTGGTGTGGATGTCCTTTCTGTTTTTTAGTTTTCCTTCTAACAGACAGGACCCTCAGCTGCAGGTCTGTTGGAGTTGCTAGAGGTCCACTCCAGACCCTGTTTGTGTGGGTATCAGCAGTGGTGTCTGCAGAACCATGGATTTTCGTGATCTGTGAATGCTGCTGTCTGATAGTTCCTCTGGAAGTATTGTCTCAGAGAAGTACCCAGCCGTGTGAGGTGTCAGTCTGCCCCTACTGGGGGGTGCCTCCCTGTTAGGCTGCTCGGGGGTCAGGGGTCAGGGACCCACTTGAGGAGGCAGTCTGCCCATTCTCAGATCTCCAGCTGCATGCTGGGAGAACCACTGCTCTCCTCAAAGCTGTCAGTCAGGGACATTTAAGTCTGCAGAGGTTACTGCTGTCTTTTTGTTTGTCTGTGCCCTGCCCCCAGAGGTGGAGCCTACAGAGGCAGGCAGGCCTCCTTGATCTGTGATGGGCTCCACCCAGTTGGAGCTTCCAGGCTGCTTTGTTTACCTAAGTGAGCCTGGGCAATGGCGGTCGCCCCTTCCCCAGCCTCGCTGCCGCCTTGCAGTTTGATCTCAGATTGCTGTGCTAGCAATCAGTGAGACTCCGTGGGTGTAGGACCCTCCGAGCCAGGTGTGGGATATAATCTCCTGGTGCGCCATTTCCTAAGCCCATCGGAAAAGCGTGGTATTCAGGTGGGAGGGGCCCGATTTTCCAGGTGCCGTCTGTCACCCCTTTCCTTGAGCAGGAAAGGGAACTCCCTGATCCCTTGCGCTTCCCGAGTGAGGCAATGCCTTGCCCTGCTTCAGCTGGTGCACGGTGCACTGCACCCACTCTCCTGCGCCCACTGTCTGGCACTCCCTAGTGAGATGAACCGGGTACCTCAGATGGAAATGCAGAAATCACCCATCTTCTGTGTCGCTCACTCTGGGAGCTGTAGACCGGAGCTGTTCCTCTTCGGACATCTTGGCTCCTCCAAATGTAATGTTTTTTAAAACTACTGGCACCATAGCATGAATCAAGACAGTGGCACTGAACTGTACTTTTGGCCTTTCATTTTTCACTGCCATGCACTATGGTTAAAAAAAATAAAAAGTCAACTTTTTCTAAGAATATCCTTGTTGAAAAGTAAAAATTATTAATTTAATTGCATTTTGATTGTTGAGTTTTTTTTTTTTTTTTTTTTTAGCATTCTGTGTGCTGAAATGGGAAGTATGCAGAAAGAACTGCTGCTGTGTACTGACATATCATGGTTGTCTCAAGGAAAAGCACTTGTGAGACTGGGTAGTGAAATGAACCAGCTACCTTTTATATGGAACACTATTTTTCTGCATGAAAGAAGCATTGAAAGACAAACTATAATTATGCAAACTCAAGTATTTAACATATTTTCTTTAAAATGCACAAAGTGAGTCTGTTGCTTTAAGTAAACCGTTGGCCAGTATTTGTTGATAGTGATAAAATTCAAGCTTCTAAGCAAAAATTCAAATTTTGGGAAACTTGGATATGCCACCATGAGCTTGACAGCTTCCCAATACTTAAAGACTTTTTCTAATAAAAGGTCAATGATGATATTGCAAATATAATTCTTTTTTATATCATGCAATGAAAGGTGTCAACATTTGGAAGATCTGCATAATCCAATGAACCACTATTTTTGTCCAGAGCAATGTGCACTGTTACAAAATTTCACATGGGGAAAGGATCCATTCAAAATGCTACACAGACCATGGATTTTTCACATAACAGAGCACTAAAAATTTCTTGATGTGGTTTCGGGTTCTACTCTGCAAGTAACTTTTAAAGAAACTACCATTTGTTAAGTTTTGATGCAGTATTAGAGAAAAAATCCAGTTATTTGAAAAGGCTATTAAAATATTCCTTCTAGATTTTCTTGGCACACTTCAACCCTAATAATATATCACAACACAATGCAGAAACAGATAGGAGAATCCACCTGTCTTCTATTAGGCTAAATATTAATGTGATGTTGAGACAATGCCACTCTTCTCACTAGCTCTTTTTTCGGGAAAATATGTATATTTACATGTAATTGGTTATTACTGTCATTTTAAAATAAATTCATAGTGTTTTGAAAGTTTTCTGTTTTAATTTCTAACATGGTAAATATCCATAGATATAACCAACATAACCACAAACTCTTTGGGGCCTTCCACAGTTTTTAGGAGTGGAAATGGATCCTGAGACCAAAATGTTTGAGAACTGCTGACCTAGAGAAACATTCTCTAAAGTACGTTCCATAGAATGCTCTGCCTTGCAATGCGCTATAGAAACCCAGTTGCCAGAAACAAAGGCAATATAAAGCAGGAATAATTTGTGGTTGAAGAAGTTTACAAATGTTACTAGCTACAGCCCCCCATGGAGATTCACAGTTGGTAATAGCACATTAAAAGTTCAGCTTGAACTTCATTCCAATATCACTCTTTCCCAAACTCTTTTGTCCACAAAAACATTTTCCCATGGAATAAGCTTTGGGGAATACTGTTCCCTTGCCAACAATGAGTCTTAACATTTTAAATATATTGCAAAGTGATGGATTAAAAGTGGTATGTCCTCATTAATTGGCTCCTAAAGTCTGGAATTTTAATTTTAGGGCCATTCATGTTTTCCTTTAGAACAGCCTCCAGCCAGTAACTTCTCTACTCAAGCCACCAGGGAGGTAAAAGGTTTGCCAATTACAGGATAGGGTTTCACTACATTCGCCTTTTTCAGTTCAATAAATCAGATTGTTTTTCAGGTCTCAAAGACAGGCAAATTCATGAAAACCAATGATGGTAAAAATATGTCATGGGTGTCACATATCAATGAACTTGGGAAGGGTTTCTATAGGGGCTGAATACAACTGACTCAGCAGGTTGCTGGCATTACTTGAAATGAATGTGCTTTTGGTAGGAGCTGATTTCTTCTTTCCATGTAATGGTTAGTCAATCATACATGCTCTCTGGTTTGGATTCCTCTGGCAAATTGCCCATTAGTAAGGCTGTGTAAATAAGCAGAGTCTGTTTTACCACCACAGATCTTTCTCCTAGTAAATGATGGTGAATTCTAGCTTAGGAATCCGTTTGCTGATACTAATTCCATAATTACTAGGATAAAATTATACTTGAATATAAGCCTTGCCAACCACTGTATTTTCACTTTGAATCTATACTAAGAAATAAACAGAATGTGAGTTAAATGTGTATTTATGAAGATGTTCACTGGAGCATTATTTATAATACCCCAAGTTGAAATCAACTAAAATGCTGACAAATGTGGAAATAATTGAAAACTATAGCGTATTCACGTAACAAAATGCCACACAGAGTTTTAAAACTCTAGCTTTTGAAGACTATTTAAAAATATGCAACAGTATACCCAAACTAATGTCAGGAAGATAAAAACATCATGATAAATTTTGCTGGACTGTTTTCCAGAAAGGACATTCCAATTTACATCCTCACCAGCATCTGTTTGGGAGTGCTTCTCTCTCTGCATTCTTGCCAACTGTGAGTGTTATTTTAAACAATATTTTCTAATCTGATAGGATAAAAATGATATGTTATTCTTATATTAAGGAGGCATTCAAAAGGGAAGACAGAACAGTAATTGGCACTTCCAGAAGAGACTGCTGGACTCTAATTGCTACCTTGTAGGCAGAACTTTTGGCTGCATTGACTGTAGATGGGTTCCCTCTGATTACTGACATCTGACATCTCCTGGAAGACAGTTCTAGAGCCTAGGGAAGTGATTTGGGCCTAGAAATTAAAAATAACCATGAAAATTCCACCTAGTTAAAGTTGTAGTCATTTATAATTTATCCGTGGATAGATTCAATAAATACTCTGTTAAGTTCATCTCTATCCATGTGTAAACCCCCCAAATAAACATTTAATAGACTTAGAGGCAGAGAGAGAATATATGCCTGTCAGTCTCCTGTGTCAGTGGCTTTGCCATTATAAAGTTATAGTAGATCATAGAATCATCTGTAAGGTGATTAAAATTGTCATCACGGTTTCCATTTTTCACATCCTTTACTTAACAGCATGTATGCAAAAGGTTTGCAGAGTGCCTGTGGGCTTTTTGGAGCTACTAAAGGGACTCGTTTCCTATTCCATTCCCTGCCACTTACCGCAGAGGTGCCAGTCATGCCTACAGAAATATTTTGTCATAGTCACACTGCAACTGGGTAGAATATTGAAGTAAATGTCAAAAATGTAGCCATGTGAAAAGAATCAGAAGGCAGTGTTGTTATTCAAAGAGTTTTCTTCCGGCTTGGGCTCCTGTCTGCATGGAGCAGGCTGGATGTCTAATTTCAGCAGTACAATTAATTCTCGGACAAGATGAGAAAAGATGTAAGTGCCACAATTGTATAACTTGGAAGTTGCTTCACTAATTCATGTGCTTATTTTCTTTGCAATTTCATCTGAAAGCATCTTTTGATGGCTTTTTGATGTTGTTGAATTTTTAAAATCTTTTGAATGATGAAAATGGACAAAAACAGAATTCAGCAAAATGTAAATGAATCAGACCAAATGGGATGCAAGAATATATTGTGCAGATCTGGAATGGAAATAGAAATATTTTTTCTTCCTTTTTGAGGAGAATTATAAAACTTTCCATAGTGTGTCAGACATGGTGTTTCGCCTTCTCTGTTCCCAAACGTTTAAAAGGTGACAAAATGCTGTTTTAAAATGTCGAGGTAATTATTGTTCACTCTGATAATAAATTAAGTGTTCATTCTAACCCAAAGACTTGTCCTCTAACCCTGATATGATCTTTCAACACCACTGTGAATTTATTTTTTAAAATCATGATTCCACTTTTAATGTTTTCACTTTTGCACCTTTCTTTTCTTTTTTACTTAAAGTTCTGGGTTACATGTGCAGAACGTGCAGGTTTGTTACATAGGTATACATGTGCCATGGTGGTTTGCTGCACCCATCAACCTGTCATCTAGGTTTTAAGCCCCGCATGCATTAGTCCTAATGCTATCCCTCCCCTTGCCCCCCAAACCCCCAACAGGCCCCGATGTGTGATGTTCCCCTCCCTGTGTCCATGTGTTCTCATTGTTCAATTCCCACTTATGAGTGAGAACATACGCTGTCTGGTTTTCTGTTCCTGTGTTAGTTTCCTGAGAATGATGGCTTCCAGCTTCATCCATGTAGTGCCGTCTCTTATTATAATTATGATAATATCCTAGATGTAGATGTTAAAGAATATTCTGGACTGAGTCATGGAAAATAGCTATTGTCTGTTAAATAAAAGATGCCATGACAATGGCCTATGTGTGGCTTGAAATACATTTTTGAGAAGGCTGTAACAAAAAATAATATAGTTATAATATATTCTTATTCAAAGGAAGGATGATTTTCAACCTTTATTATACAACAGAGAGGTCACAGTATTAAGAGGGTCAGCTAGGACTTGCTGGGATGGTGTGTGGAGGACAGCTGGAGAGATGGTGGGTGTGAGACGCATGTGTAGCTTCTTAACTGAGCTGTAGAATGTTTAGACTCCGTTCAGTAATTAAGTAGTGTTTTCAAGCTTTTGTGTATATGTGTATACACCATTTACACCTACAGGAGTATGTTCTTCAAAGCCTTGAACATATTTACTGGAAACCATGAATTTCAAAATAGTATTTTTCTCAAAGGGATCTGGTAATGGCATAAAACCACCATAGCCAAGTGATCCCTAGAGACCAACGTTGAATTTCAAACCCGAATTCAATAGAATTGCTTTTCCTTTTCTATTTTTTAAAAAAGTACATTAAATCCAAATTAGTGTCCTGTATTTCTATCATCTTTCTCTTTCTTGTCTTATTTTTGTGACTTCTTTTTGCAACTTGGGGTGACAAGCCTTCACTTCATTAGCTTTGCTTGCCTGACTCTGAAACAAGGTGAAGGTTCTTATTTCCCTTTGGTCTCCATTTTCTTATCTGTAAAGAAGGTTATTGATGCCTTTAATGTTGCTTTCATCTCTGAAGTTCTATGTTTATGTCTCCTTCCTCTTTTATCCTGCTTCCATTATGGATTTACTGTGAGGATAAAATAAGAAAAGTGTCATGAAAGTAGTTTGAAAATTGTAATGCAGTGTAAAAATATAAAGTATGATTGTTGCTATCTTGTATCATTCTCTGTGGTTTCTCCTATGTTTACAAGATTGCATTTTCCAGGTGTGTAGTACCTTAAACTTTTTTTTTTTTTTTTAATTCCACAGTGGACTTAACAGAGTATGTGCTAAAGAAACACCTATGGGTTGGTTCATTCTTCAGCCAGGGATGTTTATTTATCTCTTGGACAGAGTGGCAGTCATGTGAAGCTCACCAGTTAAATAGTTTAATTTTAGGCATTTCTTGAGGCTAAAGAGCAGACTTATCAGCCTCTCAAGATATCTCTGAGAAGTAAGAATATGTTAGTTTTCCAGAGAATCAAGTAGTTGATGGTAAGTTTTAACAACATTATTTTTTAGGAAGCAGCTATAATGATTAATCAGACGACTGACCAGTAAGGAAGGTATGACCCTGACAGAATTGGATCACTTTATTCTTCCTTTGATTTGTATTTAAAATCCAAATAGAATGGCATTCAACAAATTAAGATGCAGAAGCTAATTGCAAAAAAAGGTTCATTTTTCAAGTTGTTTTTCTGTCTCTTTCTGCCTGGAGCAAAGTCTTGCTCTATGTAACAATAACCCCTTGAAATGTCATTTAGATCAGAAGTGCTGATGCAGCACTAATGATTTTAGAGCAAATATGTTACTCTAATTTCCTCCATCTGCTATGAATAAAAGAATATGTTTGTGAAGTCTGGGAGAGCTGTAGAGAAAATTGTTTTGTAGAAAAGTTGAAGATATTTTAAAATGTGTGCAGGTGTGGGGGAAAAATAATTCTTTTTAAAATTTTGTCAAGTATCTAAAAAAATAGAAGCTTTATTGTAGCTCAGTGGAAATGTCATAAACTTTTTTAGCATACTTTTGATAAGACTTTAGGGGAGTAGTAAATGACTTGAAGACAAACCATCTAGGTTTCATTGTGACACAGTCCTGATGATTCAAATAAAAACATTTGCTTTGGTTTGTTTAGAGATTCTAACTAGGGATGAGAACTGCTCTTATTCCCTTGATGATTCATTTTATTCTTGGAAGACTGTCGTCTTCTGATTTAATGCATATGTAGTCGTGTGGGAGGAAGATGGTATGTACCCTCTTAGCTTCCCTTGGTCAACTCTGCCAATCAATACTGGTACGGCTAGATTTTTTTTAAAAAAAAATTTTATAGCCATTCACTTTCAAATCTAGGAAAATGATGATTCTTTAGAAAAGTATATATACATTCAGTATTATATTATTCCCATAGGCAAAATAAAAACATTTAATACCAATAATCATAGAAGAAAGTGGAAAATTATTAAACATGTACCACTAGAAAAAAGGCACCAGGCCCAGATAGTTTTACATGTAAACTAGATATTTAAAAACAGGTACTTTAAAAGATTAAAAGATACTTGTAACATACGAAAGCTTTAAAAAACAGATATTCCCTATGGTTCTTAAACAATTCAAGACTATAGAGAAAATAGAATGGGGCTCAACTGTACAAATCTAGCAAAATGTTATATCAAAACTTGAGATAAATAACACTAATGAGATATTTTATGCTAATTTCATTTTCATATGTGGAAGTATATAATTAAAAAATAGCAACTTGTATCTATCTGCTTATGAAAACATGATAAAATGTTTAAAATAGGCTTCATTTCAAAAATTACAAACTGGTTCTGAATTGGAACTTTATACCATTAATTAAAAGATTAAATGATTTGATTATACAACATATGCTTTGTTAATTTCCTAAAACCACCATAACAAATTACCGTTTGGTAATTTGGTAATGAGTGGCTTAAAATAACAGACATTTATTGTCTGTCAGTTTTGAAAGCTAGAGGTTCAAAATCAAGGTACCAGCAGGGACATCCTGCCTTTGAAGGCTCTAAGGGGTGGCCCTCCCTTGCCTTTTCCTACCTTTTAGTAGCTGCCAACAGTCCTTGGCATTTCTTGGCATGCAGACACATTACTCCAGTCTCTGTCTCCTTTATCACATGGTATTCTCTCTGCGTGTCTGACTATATCTCTGGTTTTGCTTCTTATGAGGGCAACAGTCATTGGGTAGGGGCCGCTCTAATCCCTTATGACCTCTAATTACTGTAATCTAACAAATTACATCTGCAAAGACCCAGTTTCAAAATAAAGTCACTTGAGATTCCACATGACTATAAATTATGGAGGACTGTATTCAACTCAGTATGCATACTGATAAGAAATGTGATAAAATGTATTAGAAATTTCTAGCAATACTCTAAATAAAATGGGCATGGAAGGAAGTTAAACACAATAAGGAATATTTATAAAGACCTATAATCAAACATTACATTAAACAGTAAAATATAAAAGTCACTCATATTAAATCAGGAAGAATACACAGGAATATTTGCTATTAGCACTGTTACTTAGCACTGTGTTATGGGTTCTGCTTGTTGTAATCAAACAAAAAAATTAAGCGAAGAAAATGATACTCTCTTCACTGTCATGTGATATGATTATATTCATAGAGAATTTATGACTGTTACACAGTTACTAAGAAAACATGTTAGCTGGATGATCACAAAATAAATATATAAAAATCAAATTTTTTCTTTATACTTTCAATAACTAGTTATCTAGAAATAGAAAAAAATTACTTTGGAAACAAAAAATATAAAATCCTTAGTAACAATTTAACAAAAAAGGCCTATATAGAAAAAAGAAAAATGTTATGGAGATAAAACTGCCTGTCAAAAGAGTCATACTCATATTCCCTAATAGTTTTTATTATTATAAAATGTCATTCATTCCTATAAAATAGATATGTTAATATAATTTATCAGAATGGCAACAGGTTTCATTTTTACTTTTTCTTCTAAACATTAAAATGTAATATAAAGTTACTGTTATTAAAATGGTATGTTGTTAGCCACGAGAACATTTTATAAATGAAACAGAAAAAAGAGAAACAGATCCAAATATATGAAGTTAATATTCAGTAAAAGTGTCTTTTCAGCTGGATGCAGTGGCTCACGCCTATAATCCCAGCATTTTGGGAGGCCAAGATGGGCAGAGTGCTTGAGCCCCAGGAGTTAGAGACCAGCCTGGGCAACATGGCGAAACCCTGTCTGTATAAAATATACAAAAAATTAGCAAGGCATGGTGGCGAAACCACCTTGGCAAAAATTATAACTGAGAAAATTATGACAGTGAAAGAGATCTGACCTTACTGATTCCATCTTGCTTCTAACCTCCAAGCTTTCCTTGTTCATTCCTGGGTGTAGGCTGAACTAACTTTTGGGAGGAACTCAGTTTATAGTTTAACTTTGAAAAAAGATGATAACAGCCCTTTCCCAAAACAAACCCCCTTCCTGTCTGGGGACTAGACTGCCTTTATAGGACTAACACACTAGCTACAAGATTAGAAATTATGGTTTAGGAGTCATGCAGCTGGAGGCTGCGAGATTCTAAACCTCCCAAATCGCTCCACAGGGAAACATCACTATTGGAAAACCTAAGATCAGTACTTGAGCTATTTTGTAGACCCTACACTCCATAGATCAGCTGGCACCACCTAGATGGATAAACTGACTCATCTGGTCTTGTGGCCCCCACCCAGGAACTGACTCAGCAAAAGAGGACAGCTTCGACTCCCTGTGATTTCATATCCCACCCAACCAATCAGCACTCCCCCCTTTCCGACCCCCTATCCACCACATTATTCTTAAAAGTTTGGATCCCTGAGTTTGGGGGGGAGACTGATTTGAGTAATAATAAAACTCCCGTCTCCCATACAGCCTGCTCTGCGTGAATTAAACTCTTTCTCTATTGCAGTTCCCTCGTCTTGAGAAATTGGCTCTGTCTAGGCAGTAGGCAAGGAGAACCCACTGGGCAATTACAGTGGCACATGCCTGTAGTCCCAGCTACTTTGGAGGCTGAGGTTGGAGGATCACCAGAGCCAGGGAAGTCGAGGCTGCAGTGAGCCGAGGTCACTCCCCTGCACTCCAGCCTGGACAACAAAGGGAGATCCTGTCTTAAAAAAAAAAAAAAAAAAGGGTCTTTTCAGTTCAGTTGGGAAATGTATGTTTATCTAATAAAAGATGCTATGAAAATTGGCTTTTCATCAGTAAGTTGTAAATGTTAGACCACTATTTTTTACAATAAAAATCTAAAAATTCAGATGAATTAAATATATGAATGTACATTAAACAATATAAATTTTAGAAAAATAGGAATTCTTAGACACTGATGACATACAGTTATATACCATATTTGAGAAAAATGGCTAGGGATATTAATTGGCAATTCACAGAGGGAAAATTTAAGTGACCAAGAGACATGCAACTCTGCTCAACTTTACTAGTAGTTGTGGAAATACAAATTAAAATCACAATGAAATAAATACTTTTCCAGTCAAGTAGTTGACAAAATTGGAAAATATTGATAATATCCATGCTTGTTAAAGGTGCTTAGAAATGGAAGAGTTTCATATATTGCTAAATCTGGATATATTTATCAAAATTAATGGTACACTTGCTCTTTGACTCTGCAACCTTAATTTTGGGAGTCAGTAATCTCTGATGTGAAAATGTATATTTAAAGATGGCTGCATTTTTAGTAGTGGCAAAAAAAAATCAAGACAAATAACATTAACATAAAAACAGCACATGAATAGTGAGATTGTTGAATATATTTATACTATAACCATACTGTGAAATATTATGGAACTAATAATAATAACTAAATACATCTATATGTGATGTCCAGCATGTCCATGATATGGCAGCATCTAATCATTTGACTAATTGGAACGATATGAGACCGTTGGAATTAGAAAGCAAAGAATGACTATATCAAAACCTGTTTGTATGTACTGGTATGAAACTAGAAAAAGATGTAGAAGGATAAACAAGTAATTGTTTCTATTTTTTGTTTTGTTTTTTTTAGTTGCCATGGGAAAATGGAATTGGAAATAGTGCTGGGATAGCGTATTGACTTATTTTATATACCACATACATACATACCTGTGTATTTTTTTTTTTTTTTTGAGACAGACTCTCGCTCTGCTGCCCAGGCTGGAGTGCAGTGGCGTGATCTTGGCTCATGGCAACCTCTGCCTCCCGGGTTCAAGCGATTCTCCTGCTTCAGCCTCCTGAGAAGCTGGGATTACAGGCATGCACCCCACACCTGGCTACTTTTTTTGTATTTTTTCACCAGGTTGGCCAGGCTGGTCTTGAACTCCATGACCTCAGATGATCCACCTGCCTCGGCCTCCCAAAGTGTTGGGATTACAGGTGTGAACCACTGTACCTGGCGTATGTGTGCATTTTTGTTTAATTTGTTATGCTGAGTATTGTTTTTAAAATTAAAATGATTTTTCTCATTGTGTGTGTGTATGTGTGTATGTGTGTGTGTGTGTGTGTGTATTTATCTTAAATCCTAATGGTGTTGTACTTTAAGATAATGCTTTTTTTTTTAATTTTTTTTTATTATACTCTAAGTTTTAGGGTACATGTGCACATTGTGCAGGTTAGTTACATATGTATACATGTGCCATGCTGGTGCGCTGCACCCACTAACGATAATGCTTTTATCTTATAGAAAAATGGGCCAAAATTCAAAATACTTTACAAATTACCATTTGAAACGTATCTGAATAATGATTCACAAAGGAAGAGTTATAAAACACCAGTAAAACTCTCAGCCCCATTAGTTATCAAAGCAATAATAATTAGAGCAATAATGACATTTTTGCTCACACTGACAAGTATCCAAAAAATTGATATTTCTCAGTATTATACAGTAGAGGGAAATCTACCTACCTTGCTTAGTAAACTTTCTGGAAGGCAGATTGACAATATTAACCAAAAGGCTCTAATAATGTTTATACTTTCTGGTCCAGCTATACTATTTCTGGAAAGTAATACTAAGGAAATAACTGCAAAGATGTGTGTATGGATGCTCATTTCAATTTTGTTTACAGTAGTGGAAAAAGCTGTAAATCTATGTACTCATAAGTAGTTGGGTATTTAAATAAATTCACTTAAAAGTTATATTTTACAACTATACACACACAGAGATACCCATAAAACATTTAAAAGGTGTAATGAAAATTTTTGTATAATGATACAGATTGTTACTTATGGCATAGAAAGATGTTCATAAAACAGTTGATTAGTTTTGATTGTTATATAATATCATCTAATTTTGTGATACGCTTATGTATTAAGATGAATGGGAGTATAAACACCAGACTGTTAAAAGTCAGTTTCTCTGGGTGATGTGCTAATAGATTATTTTTTATATTTCTGTATTTTTTGAACTTTTTGAAATGTGCTTGATACACTTTTATTAAGAAAAATACATGAAAGTTTGTCCAAAATCCTAATTTTTAAAAAAGCACACAAAGGACCAAACTGGAAATGCTTTAAAAATTAAAAAGGGTAGGGGAGCAATAAAACAATGTAAAATATATATAGACTCAGTGAAGAAAGCATGGCTTATTACTATTAATAGTCTTAATAGTGCAAGTTGTTAGTTGATAATGTAGGCCTATTGAGAGACCTGTTGGAAGGTTTGTTTTGAGCCCATTGTTAGCTTAAATATCTGACCTTTTCTATTTAGCTCCCCAGCCATAGGTAGTTTAACAAAAGGTTCTTCACTAACACATTTACTTTATGCGGTTTGTTTGGGGGTGAGGTTTGCAATTTTTCTCCAGGGAGTAAATTACTTCATGTAGCTTGTTCTCAAACACTTATCTCAGAAGCCGCACACCTTTCTGATAGAAGCCAAATGTCATGACTGAAGGTATGGGACAAAAGCCTGATTTATATTCCTGAAACGCCTCTTTTATGTTCTAGAAGCCAAATCTGCATTCTTATGGAGTGGTGTAGAATGTCAGTACAAATGCTGTATCTATGCTGAACCTGGAAAGGAAAAAAAAAGCCACACTCCACTTCTTTATTTAGAGTTTGCATTGAGAACAGCAAGCACTATTTGAAAGGTCATCCCATTTCAAGTAGCAGATGGATAGGAAAAAAAGACTCTGGCTTTTACAAATAATTTAATTGTATTCTCCTTGCCATTTCTGCAGGCAATTCAGGATATTTTTTAAAGCATTGATCCATAATTATCGCTCAGAGTGGTTAGCATTGTTAGACAGATGTGTAATTCCTTGTGTGTATAAGGGAGCAATACAGCATCCATTTTACCTATTTGATTGTCTTTTCTTTTACTGTGTAAACAAATGCACATAAAAACGACACATCATTGCTTTACAAAAAAGAAGCAAATTAATTTTTTTTCCAGATTTGTTTTTGACTTGAAACTCTCCTTTCTAAGGCATGCTGTATTTATAATGGTCAGCTTCTTTGCCTTCCTTTAAGTAAATTAGTTTGGGTCTAGGTAGCATACTTATGTTTATAGTCCGCTGGACACAAGGGGTCAGAAACCATGAAACACAAATGTATCATATTAATAGAATATGAAATGAAATGACTAAGACTTTTAAGAATGCATTTTATCTGTGGTTTATTTTCCTGTCTTTTAAAATATATATATTATTTGTAATCTAACCATGCTATTCTGATTGGTTTACAATTGCCAGATAAAATTCAGGATGCCCAGTTAAATCTGAATTTCAGAGAAAAAGAATGAACACCTTTTTGAGTATAAGTGTGTCTCATGTAATAGATTGGAGAGTCATCTCAGAATGAAACATACTATTTAAATAAAATTGTGAAATATAATTTGTACAGGAAAAGTGCATATGACATGTATGAACAGTTTAATGAATAACTATAAATAAACACCTATCTCAAGGTTCACCCAAGTCAATACATTGTATTTCTAGCATCCCCAGCAGTCCTCTGAAAATTCCCTGATCTGAACCCTCTCTCTGATCATATTAGAGGTAGTCACTATCCTGTCCTTTGACATATCCATTTTCCTTCATTAATTGATACCTTTATTACCAGCTTAGGTACTTGCAATCACTGTAAGTTCTGTATATTTTAAATTTTATATAAATTGAATTATACTGCATGTATTTGTAAAGGTGAAATATTAATAATTCAATCCAATTTGGGGGAAAATACTAGGGATAACTTTCCATCAAATTATACAATTGACAACTTGAGTATACTTGAGTTTTCCATGTAGGAGAGACTAAAGGGTAATCCTTTAAAAGAAATCTTAATGAGTGCACTCATGTTGCTAGTGCCACAAATATTTACTTTTAAAAAAATACTCTTCCCCTCAAAATGTTTGTTCTCCCACGCATCATTGATTTTCCAGAACTTGGGGCCAGTCCAGTGATACTTTCACTGGATTTCTGTTGTGTTGATATCAGTGGAGTA
Source organism: Homo sapiens (assembly GCF_000001405.40). Taxonomy (NCBI): domain Eukaryota; kingdom Metazoa; phylum Chordata; class Mammalia; order Primates; family Hominidae; genus Homo; species Homo sapiens. Next base: position 60,696,820 of record NC_000003.12, on the reverse strand, counting down.
AATCACATCTTCAACCTAAGGTCGTAATGTTTACCAGTAAATGGATAAAGAGCCTTTTGATTTATTATTCATGTAGATATCAATGCTCAGGATGACTAAGGAACATTCCCTTTTATCTCATAAATTTTATCTAGTGACATTTAAAAACTGTCTTCCGGAGCCCAGCCCTCTGATCCACAGACTCTCTTTCCTTTTGTGGATGGCACCGTGTTCTGCTGTCCTCACTTCTCCTTTATCGCCTTAATGCTGAGAATGGCACATTTTTCCAAGTTGCTTTGAAGAGCAACCATCACAAGAGCAAAAGTAATAAAAAGCAATTTAAAAACAGATTTCTGGATGTTCTAGGAAATAGGCAATTTTGCATGGCAAGCACTTGAACCCAGGGGTGATTTATTATTCATTTGACTGTAGTGAATATTCATGGCTTTTGCATGTTAAATTAGAATTATTGAGATTTTTGTTTACCCTGAAGAAGTATGGGAAGTCGTGTCTTTAAAATTTGAATGTACTGAAATTCACTTTTCAACGTATGGAGAACTTCCTTTCTAGAAGGAACCTTAAAACTGATCTGGTTAAATCTGCTAGGGAATGTGTATAAAAACATTCAGTGTTTTGTAAGACCTGTACTGATATATTTTATATGAGGCTCATACATATAGAGCCATGGTTTCCTTCCTTCCTTCCTTCTTTCCTTCCTTCCTTCCTTTCTTCTTTTAAAGCAGCATTACCCTTTACTCAAAGAAAATCTTGCTTGAAAGTTAAATATGTAAAAGAGCTAGAATTACTTTGTTTGCATACAGAGTGGGACTGGGCTGCACACTCTCCTTATCTCCATTCCTCCGTACAAAGCCCTTGGTTTTCCATAATCACAGCTTTAAAACCATTCATGTACAGCTGAATAGTTTGTCAGACATGTATCAGATACTAGTCTAAACACCTAACAAATATTAACTCTTTAATTCTCACAACAACCCTCATAATGGTTATTATTACTTCCATTTTGTAGGTGAGGGAAGTGAGGTACAAAGAAGTTAAATACGTTGCTCAAGATTACAGCTTGTCAATGGCAGAGCCTCTACAATCTTGTCCCAGCGTCCCTGTTCTTACCCAGAATGCTTTGCAGCCTCTCCCTAGCAGCAGCAGCAATTATGTTGAACTCTTGTTAGGGATTAGGCACTCTGCTACAAGCTTTACATGAATTATCACAGCTGATCCTCCCAAAGCAGCCAGTGAGGTAACAGTATTATCCCCCAGTTTACAGATGTAGGAAATGAAGCATAAATAATTTACATAACATTTCTACAAGGGGAAGACCAGCATCTGAACCCTCACAGTTTGACTTTGGAGCCCATTCTCTTAATCACTATTTCATAAGTTCTCATACAAATGAAAACATTTATATATTTCTTTTTTGTTGTTGTTTCTGAGACAGAGTCTCACTCTGTCGCCCAGGCTGGAGTGCAGTGGCACAATCTCGGCTCACTGCAACCTTTGCCTCCTGGGTTTAAGTGATTCTCCTGCTTCAGCCTCCCAAGTAGCTGAGATTACAGGTACCCGCCACCACACCTGGCTAAATTTTTGTATTTTTAGTAGAGATGGGCTTTTGCCATTTTGGCCAGGCTGGTCTCCAACGCCTGACCTTAGGTGATTCACCTGTCTTGGCTTCCCATAGTGCTGGGATTACAAGAGTGAGCCACAGCACCCGGCCTACCTTTATATATTTCTAAAGTGTTTTAATGGTTTTCTTTTTTTTATTATTATTATACTTTAAGTTCTAGGGTACATGTGCACAACGTGCAGGTTTGTTACATATGTATACATGTGCCATGTTGGTGTGCTGCACCCATTAACCCGTCATTTACATTAGGTATATCTCCTAATGCTATCCCTCCCACCCCCACACCCCACAACAGGCCCCGGTGTGTGATGTTCCCCTTCTTGTGTCCAAGTGTTTTCATTGTTCAGTTCCCACCTGTGAGTGAGAACATGTGGTGTTTGGTTTTTTGTCCTTGCCATAGTTTGCTGAGAATGATGGTTTCCAGCTTCATCCATGTCCCTACAAAGGACATGAAGTCATCCTTTTTTATGGCTGCATAGTATTCCATTGTGTATATGTGCCATATTTTCTTAATCCAGTCTATCATTGATGGACATTTGGGTTGGTTCCAGGTCTTTGCTATTGTGAATAGTGCCGCAATAAACATATGTGTGCATGTGTCTTTATAGCAGCAATATTTATAATCCTTTGGGTATATACCCAGTAATGGGATGGCTGGGTTAAATGGTATTTCTAGTTCTAGATCCTTGAGGAATCGCCACACTGACTTCCACAATGGTTGAAGTAGTTTACAGTCCCACCAACAATGTAAAAGTGTTCCTATTTCTCCACATCCTCTCCAGCACCTATTGTTTCCTGACTTTTTAATGATCGCCATTCTAACTGGTGTGAGGTGATATCTCATTGTGGTTTTAATTTGCATTTCTCTGATTGTTTTCTTTCTTTCTTTCCTTTCTTTTTTTTTTTATTTAATGTTGCTTCACATTGGCTAGTAATGCAAAGAGAGCATCGGGTTTTCTGAGGAGCCTAAACATAGCTCTGCCAGGCAGGATCATGCCCAGAGAAAACAGTAAAGGTCAGCATCTTACTGTTCCTTACCCATGTTTTTATGGTGTTCATATTGCCTTTCTGGTCTTTCCCAAATTAGCTGGTTTAATTTCCTCAGTATTCTTTGCAGCTTTACTAACCAATGTCATCAAGTAATTATACTTATTTGACAAGGGCTAATGCTTCTTCTCCTAGGTCAATCTATGTTTTGACTTAATCCTGCTGGGAATAAAAAGTCTTCATCCAGTTTGATGTTTGCAATGGTGGAAATGCTGGGTTCTGTTGCAGACTAATAGTAGAGGATGCCTCTTTCTATTCAGTGCTGGTGTAGCTAAAGAGCTATGCCACCAGAACAATTGTGTCCAATGTGCAAGCATAAAATTATTTTTATAGTAGGACCAGTGAGAAGCCTGATGTTGTAATATCTAGTACTTACAGATGAATGAGTTTATGCTATTCACTAAACTATAGTGTACTTTGGGCCTTTATCTGCTGTACAGAAAGTTTGCAGGACGAGGTCAAGTGAAGAGTACTGGCTGCCATGGGGCCTTCAGCACTGACAAGGCAGAAGGTGCTGCTGTGTTAACTCTGTAATTATGTGTTTATTTTAGAAAAGTATAGTCTACTCCTTAGACTTAATATGCCTTTGTCAATTCCCTCTTAATATTTACCCACGAGTTTAGCCTCTTTAGTTAAATCTTGGGTAAACACAGGGATTTTCAGAGGCTGGTGAGTAGAGAAATATCTACTTGGTCACATCAGAACATATAGAAATCTTGCTTCTACTAGCATCCTATCTAGATAGAGAGAAACTTTAAAAAATATTGTCTTTTACTCCTTCCCCAAGGGAAATTACTGCTATACGAAATTAAAATAGACAGGCCATAGTCATGCCTATTTAAAGAAAACATTTTTACAGTTAGAAAAATATGCCCATTTTATGAAGGTATAATTTCTTAAGTTTGCATTCACTTATGAGGGAGTGACTTAGGTGGATCAGCACCTTATCCAAGAAGGGATTGAAGAATGAATGAAATTAAATTCATATTGGAGTAGTAGCCTCTATTATACCTGGTTCAACTTTCTATAAAAATACTCAAGAAGATATATGCCAAAAAGAAGTCGCTGCCACTAAAAATTTGTTTTTATAGTCAAGCTAGTCTTGATTCTTGTAGAGAATTCTACTAATGAGATGTTTGGTGGAACTAGAATGAACAATTTCAACAGGTGATTCCCTTATGCTGTGGCCAAACAGAGGGAAGACCTTTAATCATTTGGCTGCTATCTTTCCCCTGCTTCAGAAACATGCAAACGCTAATCAGAAAAGTGAACAAGAATTACTATGCATGTAAGTACTTTTGTGAAGCATCACTTTTAATGAAGACATCTTTTGCATATGCATGTGAAGAATGCAAATAGTGGTTACTCAAATAAATGGTCATATATTAGTTTTCTGTGGCTGCTGTAATAAATTAACACAAACTTTGAGGTTCAAAATGACATAGATTTATTATTTTACAGTTTGGGAGGTCAGAAGTTTGAAATAGATGGATATTAGTGGGCTAAGATGTTAGGCTGAATTCCTTTCTGAGGTCTCTAAGGGAAAATGTGTTTCCTTGTCCTTCCTACCTTCCAGAAGCTGCCTGCATTCCTTAGCTTGTGGCCCCCTTTCATCTTCAATATCAGCAATGGCCAGTCAACTCTTTTTCCTATTGCATTGCTCTGACTATTCTACTTCTGTTTTTGAGATTTAATGACCCTTGTGATTACATTGGTCCCACCCTGGTACTGGAGGATAATCTCCCTGTTTTAAGGTCAGACGATTAGCAAACTTAATTCTATCTGCTACCTTAATTTTCCTTTGCCATGTAATCTAACACATTCACAGATTTTAGGGACTAGGATGTAGACACCTTTGGAAGACCATTATCCTGCTTACTAAATAGGGCAGTAATATTTTTGGAAATATGTTTGTCAGGATCTGTCACAGTTAAAGCACTATATCTATGCTGAAACTACGAGGGCCTTGGGGATTGTTGTTTTTCATAATACAGATGCAGGTAGTGATACAAGATGAGTCTATGCCAATCCCAACAGGTATGCTAGGTGGAAAACCTGCTAGAGGATGGAAATTAGGATATAAGTTTTGTAAACCAACATGTCATTTAGCTGTAAGAGATTTATGTTTAAGTGACACATAAAGACAATCTTCATCTTTTTCTTGGCAAACACGGTCTCTTTCATGATAAACTAAAGTAAAAAGAAATCATTATGGACAAGGAAAAGGGAACAGTATCTCAGAGACTCAGAGTAAATGTTGACCTCCCAAGATGATATGTCACAGAAATCTGAAGGGATTTTTTGTCATCCTCAACAGCATCAGGAAACAGAAAGTGAAATGAGAGAATAAGTTTAGATTGTAAAAAGTAGGATTATTTGGAAAAGGAGATGGATTAGTCAAGAAAATATTGTAAAGAGACCAGAATGTCATAACACAATTGAAGTCTGTGTTGGAAGCTGAAAAGAAATCACTATTTAAAAAACACTCATGGCCAGGTGTGGTACCTCAAGCCTGTAATCTCAGCACTTTGGGAGACAATGCAGGCAGATTGCTCAAGCCCAGGAGTTTGAGACCAGCCTGGGCAACATGTAAACCTGTCACTTCAAAAAAGGCAAAAATTAGCCAGGTGTGGTGGCACACACCTGCAGTCCCAGCTACTTAGGAGGCTGAGGTGGGTAGATCACCTGAGCCTGGGGAGGTGGAGGCTACAGTGAGCTGTGGCTGTGCCATTGCCCTCCAGCCTGGATGACAGAGACCCTGTCTCAAGAAAAAAAAAAAGAAGAAAAAGAAAAAATCAAGAGGGGAAAAAAATTGATAATTTCTGTTGAAATGAACAGGTGCAATAAAAATTAAAATAACAAAAGAGATGATTAAAAATATAGAAAATAGAGATCATAGATTTGAACACCCAGAACCAAAGTAAGAATCACAGATGTTCTTGAGGCAGAAGCAATTAGAACACAAATAGTAGTGAAAGATTAATAAAAGCTCTTCGGAGCACAACGAACAAACAAAAACAAAACCCGATACCAAAAAACAAAAATTGAAGGGACTTTCCGTACTCCAGGCAACATTAATGAAAAGGGTTTTATATCATTTCAACTTGGTAATTTTTTAAAGAATAAAGTAAAAAAAATCCTTCACACACACAGGCAAACAAAACAGTTAGCCTTATAAAGGAGCAAAAAATCAGATATTTTTTTTTTGGCCACACTATATGGTACAAAATATTGCTATAAAACCTACTGCTTAGAACAGTTAGGACTCTGGATGAACTGTAGCAATCTGTGCATTAACAGTCTCTCTAGGAGATTCTTAAACATACTAACATTTAGGAAGCACTGCCCAGGTAACTGAGAGAGAAATTGAAGTTAAGAATTCAGTAACAGAGACTTCACAGATGGTGCTGCCACTGGGAGCCCCGTATTACCAGCTATGGTCAACCCCACTGTTTTCTTCGACATTGCTGTCAATAGCGAGCCCTTGGGCTGCGTCTCCTTCGAGCTGTTTGCAGACAAGCTTCCAAAGACAGCAGAAAATTTTCATGCTCTGAGCACTGGAGAAAAAGGATTTGATTATGAGGGTTACTGCTTTCACAGAATTATTCCAGGGTTTGTATGTCAGGGTGGTGACTTCACATGCCATAATGGCACTGGTAGCAAGTCCATCTACAGGGAGAAATTTGATGACGAGAACTTCATCCTGAAGCATACAGGTCCTGGCATCCTGTCCATGGCAAATGCTGGACCCAACGCAAATGGTTCCCAGTTTTTCATGTGCCCTGCCAAGACCAAGTGGTTGGATGGCAAGCAAGTGGTCTTTGGCAGGGTGAAAGAAGGCATGGATATTGTGGAGGCCATGGAGCGCTTTGTGTTCAGGAATGGCAAGACTAGCAAGAAGGTCACTATTGCTGACTGTGGACAGCTCTAATAAGTTTGACTTGTGTTTTATCTTAACCACCAGACCATTTCTTCTGTTGCTCAGGGGAGCACCCCTCCACCCCATTTGCTCGCAGTATCCTAGAATCTTTGTGCTTTCACTGCAGTTCCCTTTGGGTTCCATGTTTTCCTTGTTCCCTTCCATGCCTAGCTGGATTGCAGAGTTAAGTTTATGATTATGAAATAAAAACTAAATAACAACCACAACAACAACAAAAGAATTCAGTAACAGAGAAGTGGCTGGTTGTTAATAATTAAACCAAGTTAACAAAAAGTGAGATTTAAGTGATTGTAACTTTAATTATAATACTGAATGCAAATGTAAAACTATGCTTTTGAAAGAGAAAATATGTCACACAAAATAATGCTTTAATAAGCATTAAATATTTAATACCTTAATATTTAACACTAAGCAATAAGAAACCCAGGATCATATTTACAAGGTCCAGAAATAAATTTGTGACAAATTCTCATTTTTCTAGGGGTAGACTCAAATATTCTAAATATTTGAAAGTTTTAAAATGTATTCGTTCAACAAATATTAATATTCTTTTTGATATACCAGGTGCCACTATTAGAAACAAAAGTAGGATGCATGACTTCCAAACCAATGGAGAGAGAAAAGAATGTGCAGCCTGATCTAAATCACCAAGTACTGTCGTCCCTTGGTATCTGTGAAGGATTGCTTCCAGATACCAAAATTTGTGGATGCTCAAGTCCCTGGAATAAAATGGCATAATATTTGCATGTAACCTACAGACTACTTTAAATTATCTCTAGACTACTTATAATACCTAATGCAGTGTAAATGCTATATAAATAGTTGTATTGTTTAGGGAATAATGACAATAAAATGTCTGTACATATTCAGTATAGATGCCATTTTTTTTTCCTGAGTGTATTAGTCCTTTTTACTGCTGCTGATAAAGACATACCTGAGACTGGGCAATTCACAAACAAAGACGTTTATTTGACTTGCAGTTCCACGTGGCTGGGGAGGCCTCACAATCATGGCAGAAGGTGAAAGGCAAGGAGGAGCAAGTCACATCTTATGTGGATGGCAGCAGGCAAAAAGAGAGAGCTTGTGCAGGGAAACTCCTGTTTTTAAAACCATCAGATCTTGTGAGACTTATTCACTATCAGGAGAACAGCATGAGAAAGACCCACCCCCCATGATTCAATTGTCTTCCACCAAGTCCCTCCTACAACACAAGGGAATTATGGGAGCTACAAGATGAGATTTGGGTGGGGACACAGAGCCACACCATATCACTGAGCATTTTCAATCCATGATTGGTTGAATCCACAGATGTGGAACCCACAGACAAGGAGGGCCAATAGTATATAAAACAAAGAAAAAAGAGTAAAGCATAAACTACACAAAGCATGAAATAAGATTACAGTGTTACAAACATATCATTTACGGCAATAAAAATAAATAGTATAAAGTCCCCCAGTGGAAGAAAAATTAGATAATTTGACCATGGCCGGACACAGGGGCTTACACCTGTAATCCCAGCACTTTGGGAGGCTGAGGTGGGTGGATCACCTGGGGCCAGGAGTTTGAGACCAGCCTGGCCAATATGGAGAAACCCCAACTCTACTAAAAATACAAAAATTAGCCTGGCCTTGTGGTGAGTGCCTGTAATCCCAGCTACTCAAGAGGCTGAGGCGGGAGAATCACTTGAACCCAGGAGGTGAAGGGTGCAGTGAGCTGAGATTGCACCATTGCATTCCAGCTGGGGCAGTAAGAGCGAAACTCTGTCTAAAAAAAAAAACAAAAAAAAAAACACAAAACATAATTTGACCAAATAGTCTATCTGAATATTGATGTTCAGCAAGGGGATAGTATATGTTTGTAAAAAGCCATTTTCTTAGTATTATCATCCTTTGGTTAAGTCTTGCCACTGCCATATATTACCTGAATGACCTTGGGAAATGCATCTAACCTATCTGGCTTTGAATTTCCTTATGCATAACATAGGAATGACATTTCCCCTGTACCTGATATGTTGAAAAGAGGAAATATAAATGTGAAAGCATTGTGTAAAGCTGAATCTCATTGTGAAATGTTTATTAAACTAGTCTATTAAAATACAACAACTGTATATTTCAGCTAAAAAGCAAAATCTAACTGTAGGGTACTGAGAAGAAATATACCTAAAACAAAGTAACTCATTAGATTAAAAAAGAAAGAACAATAGAATGGACAAGATTTATTAGGCAGAAGCGAAATTAAAAAAAAAAGTAATCTTGGCAATATTTAGATGAAATAGAATCAAAGGCTATAAAAATATTAAATGCAATCAAGAAGGTTATATTTTCTTTAAGATAGACTTCACAATGAAGATAAGGCAGTTCTGAATTTTTATTGACTTGGTAACAGCCTCAAAATACATGAAACAAAGGCTGTTAGAAATATAAGGAAAAATTGATGGAAGTAGAATTGTTGTATGACACTTTAATACACTTTTATTGATCTTTCATGGGTCAAATAAACACAGAATTGATAGAATATTTTAATAATCTAACAAAGATGATTTAATAAATATTTATTAAATTTTGTTCTCTAGAAATAAGCAATACACTTTTTTAAGGAGCCATGAAGCATTTAGAAAAAAATTGATCATATATTATATCTCAAAGAAACCATATTAAATTATGAAATATAAAGTGTTAACAGCCTCCATGTTCTGCCTACACTGAAATAGAGCTAGACATTAATAGCAAAAGTTTAAATGCAAAAATCAGTAGCTTGGAAAAGAGAAATAATGATAACAAAAACCAAATTTTTTTCTAAAAACTCCAGATTCAAACAGGAAAGGAAACTATATAATAAACTGTTAGGAGAGTAAGAACTCTATGTATCAATATTTTAAATGGCTAAAGCTGTATTTAGCAGAAAATTAATAGCCCTGAGAACTTTCATTATTAAAGGAGAGTAACAAAATCAATCTGTGGAAAATAAAACTAATGAATTAATAAATAGAGACTCCTTTTTTTTCTGTTAAATAAGACCAACAAGCAAATAATATTTATTTAATGAGCTAGAAATAGGAGGAGCTTACGCAGCATAATACAAGATATTTACTGGAAACCTGTAGCAAGGTATGTTATTTAACGTTAACATTGTAAATATTACTTTCACTGCCACAAATGAGATGAGTGCTTGTGATTTTTGTAAAAGTTAAATCCCAAAGAACAATTTCTGCTTCCCATGTAGTCTGTAAACCCTCACAAAACACAAACAGCAGCAACAACAAAACTCTCTGAGGGATCTGAAGAATGAACAAAGGCAGCAAGATTCTCGAAGGGGGTTGAAGACACCTGGAAGTAGTATAGGTTAAATTTCTTATGACTATTATCCTGAGGTCAAGCCACAGGTAGGGCCACACAGAGTGGCTGAAACTCCTGTAGGAAGCTCAGTCTTTCTGGCCTTATGAACCAGGGGACAGAGTTTGGAGCAACCCCAGCTACTGGAAAGTAAGGGAGGAATGTCATTAAAAAGAGGGCCAGAAAAGGAGCATTACAAATTTTTGGTGTAAATTCTGCTCAAATCTCTGGCTGACCTTTGGAATATACATACACAGGCAGACCAAAGCAGTCAGTGAATTTGATAATATCAATATAGATTTTCTCTATGAAGAACAGAGATTGTATTTTTAAAAAGGATTAAAAAAAAAGCAACCAGAGCCTCAGGTTCCTATGGGATAATTCTTTTAACATATGAGTAATTGGTTCCCCAGAAGGAAAGGTGATAGAGAATGGGTCATAAAAATATTAGGTTGGTGCAAAAGTAATCGTGGTTTTGCAATTACTTTTCATTACAAAACCCACAATTACTTTTGTGCCAACCTAATATTTGAAGAAACAGTGGCCCCACACACTTCCCAAAATTGGTGAGAGATAAATGTACACGTTCAAGATGCTGAGGCACATTGTAATCAAACTGCTGAAAACCCAAGACACTATCTTGAAAATAGCCGGAGAAAAACAACACACTATATACATGAAACTGCACTGCTAAATACTGCCAACCTACCTTCAAAAACTATGAAAGCAAGAAGACAATGAAACAATATCTTCAATGTGCTGTAAGGAGATATGACTATCCAATCCCGAAGTCCATATCCAAAGATACTCATACTTCAGGAACGGAGTCAAAATAAAGTTGCATTCAGAAAAACAAAAACAGAATATTTATTGCCAGCAGACCAACTTACACTGTAAAAAATGCTTTGTTCTTTGGGATGACAAGAAAAAATAGATGAAAACTCAGATCCTTATGTAAAAATAAAGAAATCATAAATAGTAAGATAAATATAAAAATCAATTTTTTCCTCCTAATGTTTTAAGAATATGTATGTTTGTTTAAGTAAAAACTATAGCATCATTTTTATGGGATTTATAATACAGGTAGATGTAATTTCAATGACAACTTGAATTTAGAGGGAGTTTGTAAATAGATTCATACATGTGTGAGGTTTCCATATTGTATGTAAATAGTATAATAGTAATTCTAGGTAGACTGTAAAAAGAGAGGTTGGATTGAATTCCTGGTAATATGTGTTTAAATGGAATGAATACTCGTTCTTAGAATGAAGAGAAGTGTGCAGAATGGAACTTTGCAAGCCCTTACTGGCCCATATGTCACGGGGTGGAGATGTCACCATTTTCTATATGGCTCCAGATCAAGCAATCTCTTGACAAAAAGCAAGCTGGCTTCGAGTAACCTTCAAACGGAGTGTACCAGGCCAATGCAGAAGACATAACATGGTTTGCTTTCTTTCTCCCGTCCATTTTAGTATCTTAAGTACCAGCAGATAGAAGGTCCAGAAAAAAGAAAGAGGATGACATTGTAGGGGAGGCCAAATTTTCTCTCTTAGGGTTTTTTAGCTGGGCCTGAGGATTGAATTGACATAAGGCAGATCAGCGGGAGAAAAGCATACAAATTTAATTCATTCAATTTTTATGTGAGCACAAGAGCCCTCTTAAGGAAATGAAACCCAAAGACAGAGTTGAAAGTTGAACACCTATGTACTGAATTGGGAAAGGAATAGAAAATTGTGAGTATGTGACAAAGCCAACGGGCTTGGGCTAGGGAGGTTAATTGGGTAGAGAAGTAACTAGGAAGATAAGGGTTACTTTAATAAGGTGTGTTTGTTCAGATTTCTCTCAGCATCAACTTCTCGTCTTTGATGATAAGAACGCTACTTTCCCTCTGGCGTAGGGAGGACAAGTTATCTCCTGTTTCTAAGGAAAAGAAGAAAGCTCAGAGTATATTTTTTGTATCTGCTGTTTTTCCAAGTGTCTTTAAGCTCAAAATAGTCAATATACTAGAGCAACATATTTTGGAGTATTGTGTTCTGAACTCCTTCAATCTTTAGCATTTCTCTTCTGTCATTCTTCAGGCTCTTGAGCACTTTTGAGAAACTAATATGAATGGGAAAGATGTAATATTTACTCCCAGGAAGGTTGCTTTGGTGATCTAGTCTGTGAACTAGACTCAGGAAACTGTCTGGGTATTGGAAAGGAAGTCACGGATGCGCAATGGAATTTGTAAAGGGGTGGCACAGCTCTTGAATACTCTCCTTGGAAGAGACCCTGGCACGGAGAGAACAGAGTATTAACCTCACTCTGAGGTTGGGAAGACTAAGGGAATCTGAGGTGTGAGGAGGGATGGAGACGACAGGTCACACAATGTGATGGAAAACCGCACATGGAGTGGAAAGAACATGAACTCTGGAGTCTGGAACTCCTATATCTGGACTTGACACCGTATTCTGCTATGTGGCCTTCGGTGAGTGTGCCAAGTTGAATATTGGCTCTGCAAACGTATCCACATCAAATTTCTAGAGCTTGTGAATGTGACCTTGTTTGCAAAAAAAATGGTCCTTGCAGATATGATTAAATTGAGGATCTTGAGATGAGGAAATCATCCTGGATTATTTTGGGAGACCTAAATGCTATTACAAGAGTCCCACCAACCACCAGAAGCTGAAAGTGGCAAGGAATGGAATCCCTCCTAGAGCCTCTGGAGGGATCTTTGCTCTTAAACATCTTAATTTTGGGCTTCTGGCTTCCAGAGCTGTGAGAGCCACAAAGTTTGTGGTTATTTTTTATTGCAGCCACAGTGAAGAAGATAATAAAGCCAGCTACTGACCTCTCTGAATCTCAGTGCCCTCATCTGTAAGATAGAATCAGCTAGCTACTTTATAGCATTTTTCCAGGATTAAATGAGACATGTAAAATAGAAAACAAACAAACAAGCAAACAAAGAAAAGATAAGGAACATGCTGAGAAAAAAATATAGACACCCCTTGTTTGATGTTACTAATTGATTCCTGATGATCAGATGTATTACCCAAAAATGATTTCCTTGAGACAGTTTGCCATTACTTAAATGGGAAAAAATGTGTTATATGTCAAACCAACCCTCTAGTGAATTTCTTGAAGTGTAAGTAAAACACAGTAAAATAACCATAGTAGAACAATAATGTCACACTGAGACTTAAAATGCAGGCATATCTATATCTCAGAGATACTGCATGTTCACTTCCAGACCATCACAATAAAGTGAATATTGCAATAAAACAAGGCACACAAACTTTTTTGTTTCCCAGTGAATATAAAAGTTGTGTTTACAGTCTATAGTAGTCTAGTATGCAATAGCATTATAAAAAAATATGTTATCTTAATTTAAAAATTTTTTTTGCTAAAAATACTGGTGATCATTTGAGCCTTCAGTAAGTCATAATCTTTCTGCTGGTGGAGGGTCTTGCCTTGATATTTATGGCTGCCGACTGATCAGACTGGTGGTTGTTGAGGGCAGAAGTGGCTGTGGCAATTTGTTAAAGTAAGAAAACAGTAAAGTTTTCAACATCAGTGGCTTCTTGCTTTCACGAATGACTTCTCTGTTGCATACAGCACTGTTTGCCAGCATTTTACCCACAATAAAACTCCTTTCAAAATGAGTGAATCCTCTCCAACCCTTCTTTATCAACTAAGTTTATGTAATATTCTAAAGCTTTTGTTGTCATTTCAACGATGTTCATAACATCTTCTTCAGGAGTAGATTTTACCTCAAGAAATCCTTTTCTTTGCTTACCCGTAAGAAGCAACTCCTCACTCATTCAAGTTTTATTGTAAAATTACAGTAATTCAGTCACATCTTCAAGCTTTACTTCTGATTCTAGTTGTCGCTATTTCTTCCACATCTTCAGCTCCTTCCTCCACTGAAGTCTTGAACCCCTCAAAGTCATCCATGAGAGTTGGAATCAACTTCTCCCAAACACCTTTTCATGTTAATATTTTGTTGTCCTCCCATAAATCATGAATGTTCTCAATGACATCCAGCATGGTGAATCCTTTCCAGAAGGTTTTCATTTTACTTTGCCCAGATCAATCTGATAAATCACTATGTATAGTCTTACAAATGTATTTCTTAAATAATGAGACTTGAAAGTCAAAATTACTCCTTCACCCATGGGCTGCAGAATGGATGCTGTGTTGGCAGGCATGAAAACAACATTCATTTCCTTTTACATCTCCATCAGAACTCTTGGGTGACCAGGTACATTTTCAGTGAGCAGTAATATTTTGAAAGGAATCTTTTTTCTGAGCAATAGGTCTCAAGAGAGGGCTTAAAATATTCAGTAAACCATACTATAAACAGATGTACTGTCATCTAGGCTTTCCTGTTTCTTTTCAGAGAACATGAAGAGTTGGTGTAGTATCATTCTTAAGGGCCTTAGCATTTTCAGAATGGTCAATGAGCATTGGCTTCAACTTAAAGTCACCAGCTGCGTTAGCAGCTAACAAAAGAATCAGCCTGTTCTTTGAAGATTTGAAGCCAGGTATCGACTTCTCCTCTCTAGCTAGGAAAATCCTAGATGGCATCTTCTTCCAACAGAGGGCTGTTTCATCTCTCTTGAAAATCTGCCTTTGGCCGGGTGTGGTGGCTTACCCCTGTAATCCCAGCATTGTGGGAGGCCGAGGCAGGCAAATAATGAGGTCAGGAGTTCGAGACCAGCCTAGCCAACATGGGGAAACCATGTCTCTACTAAAAATACAAAAAATTAGCAGGGCGTAGTGGTGGGCACCTGTAATCCCAGGTACTTGGGAGGCTGAGGCAGGAGAATTGCTTGAACCCGGGAGGCAGAGGTTGCAGTGAGCTGAGATCGCACCATTGCACTCCAGCCCTAGTGACAGAGTGAGACTATGTTTCAAAAAAAAAAAAAAAATCTGCTGTTTAGTGTAGCCACCTTCATTAGTTATCTTAGCTAGATCTTCTGGATAACTTGCTGCAGCATCTATATAAGCACTTCCTGCTTTGCCTTTTATGTTCTGGAGATGGCTTCTCTCCTTGAACCTCATGAATCAGCCTCTGCTATCTTCAAACTTTTCTTCTGCAGCTTCTTTACCTCTTTTAGCCTTCATAGAATTGAATATAGTTAGGGCCTTTCTCTGGTTTAAGCCTTGGGTTAAGGGAATGTTGTGGCTAGTTTGATCTTCTATCCAGACCACTCAAACTTTCCCATATCCTCAACAAGCCTGTTTCACTTTCTTATCATTTGTATGTTCATTGGAGTAGCACTTTTAATTTCCTTCAAGAACTTTTCCTTTGCATTCACAACTTGGCTATTTGGTGCAAGAGGCCTAGCTTTCATCCTAGCTCAGCTTTTGACATGCCTTCCTCGCCAAGCTTAATCATTTCTAATTTTTGATCTACAGGGAGAGACATGGGACTCTTCCTTTCACTTGAACACTTAGAAGCTGTTGTCTGCTTATTAGTTGGACTAATTTCAATTTGTTGTGTCTCAGGGAATAGGGAAGCCTGAGGAGAGGGAAAAATGGCTAGTCAGTGCAGCAGTCAGAACACACAAACATTTACTGATAAAGTTCACCATCTTATATTGGGCTCCATAACACTTACAATAGGAACATCTAAGATCACTGATCACAGATCACCACAACAGACATAATAATAATGAATTAGTTTGAAATATTGGGAGAATTACCAAATTGTGATACATAGACGTGAAATGAACACGTGCTGTTGGAAAAATGGTGCCAATAGACTTGCTAGATGCAAAGTTGCCACAAACCTTCAACTTGTAAAACCACATTATCTGTGAAGTGCAATGAAACAAAGTGCAGTAAAACAAGGTATGCCTGTACTTAAAAAAATTATATCCTCGATCACTTGTACTTAAAAAAATTATATCCTTGATGACTTCTACAATTAACATGTTATAAAATGTTTGCTTTGTACGTAGTAGCTATTCTCACTTGTTTTGTTTTCTTCTCTACAATTGTCTTCAGTGTTTTCTCAACAATTTGGGGATTTCAACAATAAGCAAAAAAAGTAAAATGGGGAAGGCACTGGGAAATGTGCTCTAGTGCCTGGTGGCCAAGTGTGGCTCACACTGATGGTATGATGGCCTTTTAGCATCAGCAACTTCTGAAATGGGTGTTTCGTGTGTTGTCACTCAGCTTGCTTTCCAAAATATCTATATATTATTCTGATGTTCTACTGAATATGTTTTGAAAATATCTTGATGATTTTCCTATATTTCCTTTTATTGAAAGTTTTGCAGAGTTTGGTATTATAAATCTAAAGTTTTGCTACATGAACATTGGCAAAAAAAAAAAAATAGATGATGAAATTTGGATTTTAAAAACCAAGAGTCATTTTACCATGAAAATGTTAATCGAGGCAACATCATTCAGGTTATGCCTGTATTTGCAGAATGTTTCATAGTAGAAAATTAATATGAAATATAAAAAGAGTTAATACAAACAAGTAATCAGAAATAAAAATCAATAGAAAAATAACTAAGGGGTCTGAAGAAACATAAATTGGAGAAGCAACAGAAATGGACAATTAATGAATGAAAGAATGTACAACTGCAAAAGTAATCAGGAAATGCCTTCTAAAATCAGCACAGTATAGCTTTTTACATCTATCCAATTGTCAAAATTAAAGGGAAAAATAAATCTAACAATTCTAGGTGTTGGAGAGGTTGTAAAGCAATGAAGATTATCATTCACAGAGCAAACTGGTACAGCCACTGTGGAATATAGTGTGGCATCATCCAGAATAGTTGAAGACATGCAACTCCCATGGCCCACATGCCAAGGGGAATGTGCACAACATACTTACAATAGTATCTTTTTGATAATTCAGGAAAACGTACATGTTCACCAATAGCTAATACATAAATATTATTATTCAACTAAGAGACGATTTTCGAAAAGCAAAAAAAGAATGAGTAAAAACAACATATAGTAACAAGAATAACTATAAATATATGTTGAGTAAAGATGTTTTGAAAATGAGTTTCAGAAGAATGCAATCTAATACCATTATATAACAATTTAAAACATGCAAAAAAAACCCCATCATTTTCAGCTAGTTGGCAAATGTAGTGGAATTGGGCATGGGGATATTCTCCCTAGAAAAAGAATTTTTTAATGTTTTTTGATCTAGTAATCTCATTTATAGAAATCTTTCTTAAAGAAATAGAGATGCAGGCAAAAATTCATTATTATACTTTGGTATTATAGTATTTATAGAATAATTAAGTACTCTAAATTATCTGTCAGTAAACAGTGAAATTGTTAAATAAATTATGGAACATAAGGTAGTGTTTTAAAATCTTTCAAAAATTATATCTAATAATATGGGAAAATTGCATTGCTATGTAATCCGAATTTGGTTTAAAAATTAAACAAATAGCAAAAAAAGAAGGCAAATATATAAATAAGACTGGGAACTATAAAAACACTATCAATGTTTATCTCTGAGTGATAGAATAATATGTGATTTTTAAAAATGTTTTTCTGTAATTCTCAAATTAGGTGCAGTAAGCAGACATGACTTCTACAATCATAACAGGTAGCTTCATTGACCTGTTTCTAAAATGGGTAGGACTTTTTAAGGATTGAAGTTGTTTTGTCCAGTTGGACGGATTCTTATCCCTTTGTCTTTTCTTGTATTGCCAACTTCTGCCTATACTTGAAATAGTAGGGCAGATTTCTATATGTAAGCATTTAAAGGGTCTGCAAGAAATACTAAGCCATGTAGGAACTGTGAATATTAAATGAGATAATGAATGAAAAGAAGCCTAGCACAGTCCCTAGCCCAAGTAAGTACCTATTATTATTATTATCATTGACTTTACTACGGCTTTGGTGTTATGTCACAGACAAAAGTTTGCAAACCACTTTTTTTTTTGCTTGTTTTTTTTTTTTAAGGACTCAAAACAGTTACCTTTGAGTACTAAAGTCCTTAAGATGGAAAACGAGATGATATTTATTATGCCACTGATATGTTTCAGGAAGAGCTTGTGGAGAGAGCAGACAAAACAAATGGTAAATCTTGTTCTTAGAAAGAAAGAGCTATCTGTCCCCATTACAGCCAGCTGTCATGCCCAGGCTGGAGCCACTCTTGGGACAAAATTAGGGACACTTGAAAATGGTAAATCTTGGAAACTGAGAGCTCTGTATTTTTCAACTTAGGATCATAATCTATTAACCCCTATTTCTATCCCAGTTTTTCTCTTGGATAACTGATTTCATTTGTGCAACTTGCATTGAGAAGGTCAGGATAAGGCCTGGAAATTGTCAAACTCTAGATTTTGATGACATTTTGGTAACTCCTTACAGGAAAATCTATCAGTTACATGGTCCAATTGTAGGGGTGATATTTACTAATTTTGCATTCTATTGAACAGCGATATATAATGGAATGTATGTTGTGAATCTTCAATAAGTGTTTCTTTTCTCTTATAACCCAATGAATTGACCTCTATAATAACATGCAGTTGCTAAATGAAAAAAGAATTGTATTTAAGCAGAAAAAAGTTTTAGCAAATGTGATTTTGTATGCCAAAATATGCATATTAGTAGCTTTTATGAGAAGTGTCCTTGAAGGAAAATATGGTGAATTTGTATCTGGTTCAGGTCTTCTTTTAATAACCAGAAAACAAGGCTGAAACAAGCACAAGGCAGTTCTATCTGTTTGAATGATATAAATTGGTTGTTAAAAATAAAAATAAAATGAAAATGAAAACCAAGATAACAATACCAAGGATAAGTTAAACAAAAAGTTGGTTTTTTGAAAAGATGAACAAAATTGATAAGCCTCTGGCTGTACTAACCAAGAAAAGATCCAAATAAAAGTCAGAAATGAAAAAGAAGACATTACAAATGATACCATAGGAATACAAAAGATGATCAGAGACTACTATGAAGAAGTGTACACTCACAATCTAGATAATGTAGAGGAAATTGACAAATTCTTGTAAACATATGACTGCCCAAGATTGAACCAGAAAGAAATAGAAATCTTAAACAGACCAATAATGAATAGTAAGATTGAATCAATAATTTTAAAACCTTCCCCCTAAAATGCCCAGGACTGGATGGCTTCATAGCCAAATTCTACAAAATGTGCAAAGAAGAACTGATACTCATCCTACTGAAACTCTTCCAAAAAAATCAAGATGATTAAATAAAGAAAATGTGCTCTGTGTGTGTATATAAGTGTATACATATGTATATATATACACACACACATACACATATACATATGTATACACATATATACACACACACCACATGTATATACATATACACATATATACATACAGCACATTTTATTTATGTATATGTGTGTGTATATATGTATACATAATAGAATACTATTCAGCCACAGAAAATGAATGAAAACATGTCTTTTACAACAACATGGATGGAATAGGAGGTCATTATCTTAAGTGAAAAAACTCAGAAACATAGTGAAATACCACATGTCCTCACACGTGGGAGCTGAATAATGTGTGTATGTAGACATAGAGTATAGAATAATAGTCACTGGAGACTCAGAATGATGATGGGGTGGGAGGGGAGTGAGGTAGTACAATGTACACTATTTAGGTGTTGATTACATTAAAAGCCCAGACTTGACCACTATGCGGTATATCCATATAACAAAACTGCACTTGTACCCCTTTAATTTACGTAATTAAAAAATTGGCTGGGCACAGTGGCTCATGCCTGTAATCCAAACACTTTGGGAGGCCCAGGCGGGCAGATCAATTGAGCCCAGGAGTTGGAGACTAGCCTGGGCAACATGGCAAAACACCACCTCTACCAAAAAAATACAAAAATTAGCTGGGCATGGTGCCACATGCCTGTAATCCCAGCTACTATGGAGGCTCAGGTGAGAGGATCCCTTGAACCCAGGAGGCGGAAGTTGTAGTGAGCCAAGATGGCGCCACGGCATTCCAGCCTAGGTGACATTATGAGACCCTGTCTCAAAAACAACAATAACAACAATAACAACAAAAGAAAAAATTATGCTCACTAAAAGAAAAAAACAGTAATTAAAAAAAATGAGTTCTTGTGGTGAAACATAATGGCACCTCCTGGTTCCTTCTTGCATTTGAAGATTATAGATGAGGATTTTCAGGGAATGGTCAAGATCAAAACCTATTTGGTCTCCCAAGATTTTCCAGGAGAGGCTGTAGGCCTCTTCCTAGCTTACCTGGCATGTACATACTAACTGCAGGTAGCAGCTGTATGAAGTTGTTGGGTAACTCATTTTTGGTTGTGTTCTCTAGGTGACACATTAGGCATTTTTGTCTACCTTTAAGTCCTCCATTCTCACCTCTGGTAGAGTGTAAACTCCATAATGAGAGAGACTGCTTCTGACTTGTCCACCTCTGTACCCTAATTTAATGAAAACATGTTGAACAAATAAAGAATAAACCTAGTGGTGGTCCCAATCATCCACCTGCCCTTCCAACCATCGTCCTTTCCAGATTGCAGCCTTCTATATCAGAAGTGTCAGCCTTTGTTTTCTTGCTCTGGGAAGTGATGATTTAAGTTCCACACCACCAAAGGATTGTCAAATACACACAACAAAAATAAACTTGAGCTAAAATTGTGATGTAATATGCAGAGAGATTGAAAAAGCTAAGAAAATAAATTATACCACTTTGGCCATGCAGATACAGGAACCATCTGGAAGCATCTCAGCAACCTGAAAGGGAGCATCTGATGCCTCGAATTGCCCTGTCCGTCAGCTTTAGCTGCTATTCCCATTTGCTTCTCTTAAATGTATTTAACTTGGGACAAGTTGGGAGCCACCTTCTCTTTTCTGAGGTGATCTTAGAAGATTGATATACGTAAGTTGCAGCTTGTTTGGATTGTTTATCTGTATTTAAAGGCTCTAGCCAGGCATTGTATTTTGCTGTTAAGATAAAATCAATAAATAAAAACTTAAAAAAGAACCAGACTAATCCTTGAACATTCCTAAACATATACTCTCTCCTGCTTTCAAAAAGGAACACTGCTTAATGTTTACTTATTGTAGTCTTCTGAGAATTTGATTTGCTGTGATTGCACCTTTATTCAAAAGTACAGAACCTAAAAATGGTACAAAGAAAGTTTATTTCAAATCAGATGCATTTGCAAGCCAGTGTCATTAAAAAACATGCTGTTGGTAGGCTGAGGTCAGAGTCTATCATAGAGACAGATGTGATTTATTGCAAAAGAGAGCAGACTACTGCTTAGGTATCAGGTGCAACCAATACATAACTACCACCAAGGAAGGGCTGGTTGTGATGACGGTATTGGAAGCTGGTGCATCAGACTCATTACAATTTTCATGTAATCTCTAAACTTCCTTGTTAAACTATTTTCTACTCTTCGTAACTTTTGAAAAGAGAGAATATGGGAGAACTTGAGCTTCCTCTTTCTCCTTCTCTGGCTTCTTTTGTTCCCGGGCAGAGACATTAGCTAGCAGTCAGATATCTGAGAACATGGTAAGAGAAATAAGAGCAGGAAGCCTCGGCAACTCACTTGATAATTATTTTTCATCATTTAGTAGCAGGTGGTAGAATAAATAGGATCATTTGTAAAGTTCAAGTGTTGATGGTGGTAGTGGAGAGAGATACTAAAGCATTTTAGTTTTCAAGCCACAATGAAGTAACTGGTATCATTCTTGACCTCATTTCATGAATAACTATAAAATTAGATAAAATGTATGCGGCAACTGTTTTCAGAAATTGGCTAACAGGCAATGCAGGGCTGTGACCCTTGAGACAAGGTAAACCCCTGAGGCAAGCCTTGCATTCACCTTGGCTTTCTGCCTAGGGGTGCATTCACTGGACTGGCTAGTAAGGAGGTGGGGCCAAGCATTACATGCTTGTTTCAATGAACTGATAAGGCAGAGTTTGTACTTTGTTGCTGCTGAGGGGCTGGAATTAGCAGAGTAGGGTACTGAATAAGAGAGATGCATGAGGTAGGGCATGTGGAGGTAGTGTACATGGAGGTTTCTTTGCAGGTCATTGTCTGAAGGATTGACTATGTATAAGCAGGGCAAGACACCATGAGGCCTAGCAGAGAGGGTTCACTGTGGGACCAAGAGCCGAACAAAGACACTAGTGGTTGCCCAGAGATGGGAGACGTTGGAATTCTTAGTCTGAGAGGGCAGATTTCCCTGAGAACCTGGGCATTCAGTTGAAACCCCAGAAAGGCCAGCCTCAGGAGTGAGACCTGTACACTACCATAAGGCTGTGTTCTACAACTAAGGACAAATTTGAACTAGACCAGTTCTAACAATGAAAGGTTCAAGAGAATATTTTAGAAATGTAATTTCCTGCCAGAAAAAAACTCAGTACCCTATAAGGAAGACAATATAATGCAGATTCCCTAAATGTGTCGCCCTGTGTTTAGCATACAACAAAAAAATTACTGGATGTGTGAAGAGGAAGCTCCATTAATCAGAAAAAAGCAATAAATAGAAACAGACTTTGAAATAACTCAGACATTAGAATTAGAAAATGAGGAATTTAAAATAACTAGATAAGTATATTCAAGGACTTGACATAAAATGGGTGACATAAAATGAAGAGGCGGGAAATCTCAGAGAAACAAATGTAAACTATAAAAAAGAAACAAATCTATATTATAGAACTGCAAATAATAATTTCCAAAATGAAAAGTTTACTGAATGGCCTTAGCAACATATTAGAAACTACAGAAAAGATCAGGAAACTTTAAGACAGATCAGTAGAAATTGTCTGATCTGAAGAACAGGAGGAAAAAATAGAAAAAATATATGAATCTTCAGTGATCTGTGGGGCAAAAGCGAGAAGTCTAACATTTGTACAATTTGAGGTCCAGAAATGAGGATAGAGAGAATGAGGGAGGAAAAAAAATAGTTTAAAAAAATGAACAAATTTTCCCAAATATAGTGAAAAAATCAAACTACAGGTTGAAGATGTTTAGCAAACCAAAGCAGGATAAAAACAAAGAAAACCATACCTGGATGTATGACGGCCAACTGATAAAAATCCAAAAGTAAAGAAAAAAGCTGCTGAGGATGGGAGGAGTGGAGAGACATTACATATAGGAGAACAACAGTAAGAGTTATTTTAGACTCCTAAATAAAAACTATTCAAGCCAGAAGACAATAGAATGACATTTTTAAATTCTTTTTTTAAATTTAAATTTATTTTATTTTAAATTCTGGGAAACGTGTGCAGGATGTGTAGCTTTGTTACATATGTAAACATTTGCCATGGTGGTTTGCTGTACCTATCAAACCATCACCTAGGTATTAAGCCACACATGCATTAGCTATTTATCCTGATGCTCTCCCTCCCACCGCTGCCCCCCATCCCACCCCAGACAGGCCCCAGTGTGTGTTGTTTCCCTCCCTGTGGCCATGTGTTCTCATTGGTCAGCTCCCACTTATGAGTGAGAACATGCAGTGTTTGGTTTTCTGTTCCTGTGTTAGCTTGTTGAGGATGATCTCTTCCAGCTCTATCCATGCCCCTGCAAAGGACATGATCTAATTCCTTTTTATGGCTGCATAAACAAAACCTAAGTTTTAGATAAACAAAACCTAAGAAAATGTACTGCTAGTCAACCCGCATTATAAGAAATGTTAAAGCAAATTCTTCAGCCTAAAAGAAAGTGAAAGCAAATGGAAACAGATTAACAGGAAGGAATGAGGAGCACAGAAATGGTAAATATATGGAATAATATATATATTTTTAAACCGTCTTTATTTTCTGTTAAGCTCTTACGGGGTAACTTACTATTTAAAGCAAAACTCATGACAATGTATTGAAAGGATTATAATGCAAATAGAAGTAAAACATGTGACAGCATAATGGACAAGGAAGTAATAAATGTCAGGTTCTTATATTTTACATGAGATAGTATAATATTAATTTTAGGTAGATTTTGATAAGATAAGGATGCATATTGTTAGTCCTAGAGCATGCATGCACACACACACACACACACACACACACACACACGCTACAAAGAGGTATAATTAAAAACCCTAATAGTGGTATAAAGATGGAAACTTTAGAAATATGCATTTTAACAGAAAGAAGGCAAGAAAGAAGGAAGAAGGAAACAAAAAAAGATGGCATAAATATTCAGATGGTAGACTTAAAACTGAATTATATCATTACATTAAATATAAATGGACTAAATGTCCCAATTAATAGTCATAGATTGTCAATATGGATACTGTCAGGCCTCTGAGCCCAAGCCAAGCCATCGCATCCCCTGTGACTTGCACGTATACGCCCAGATGGCCCGAAGTAACTGAAGAATCACAAAAGAAGTGAATATGCCCTGCCTCACCTTAACTGATGACATTCCATCACAAAAGAAGTGTAAATGGCTGGTCCTTGCCTTAAGTGATGACATTACCTTGTGAAAGTCCTTTTCCTAGCTCATCCTGGCTCAAAAAGCACCCCCACTGAGCACCTTGCGACCCCCACTCCTGCCAGCCAGAGAACAAACCCCCTTTGACTGTAATTTTCCTTTACCTACCCAAATCCTATAAAATGGCCCCACCCTTATCTCCCTTCGCTAACTCTCTTTTTGGACTCAGCCCGCCTGCACCCAGGTGAAATAAACAGCCATGTTGCTCACACAAAGCCTGTTTGGTGGTCTCTTCACACGGACGTGCATGAAAGATACAAAATAAATAAAACCCAATAATATGCTGACTACAACATATGCACTTTAAATACAAAAACACAAAGAGTTAAAAGTAAAAGGAATACAAATATATGTTATAGAAATAATTTTTAGAAAGCCAATGTGGCTACATCAATTACACAAAGTAAACTTTAAGACAAGAAGGTTTACCAAAGATAAAGAGGGACATATCATAATGATAAAGGGGTCAATTAAGAACAAATAATAATTCCAATTTTTTTTTCAAGACAGAGTTTTGCTCTTGTTGCCCAGGATGGAGTGCAATGGCATGGTCTCAGCTCCCTGCAATCTTCTTCTCCTGGTTTCAAGTGATTCTGCTGCCTCAGCCTGCCAAGTAGCTGGGATTACAGGTGCCTGCCACTACACCCGGCTAATTTTTGTGTTTTTTTTTTTTTTTAGTAGAGATGGGGTTTCACCATGTTGGTCAGGCTGGTCACGAACTCCTGACCTCAGGTGATCCACTTGCCTCAGCCTCCCAAAATGCTGGGATTACAGGCATGAGCCACTGCACCCGGCCAATAATTCTAAATGTTTACTCAACTAAAACTTTAAGAACTTTCAGATATAGGAATCAAGAGCGGGATTTTTTTTTCAATATTGTATTATGAAAAAATTAAACGTATATGAAAACTGAAGTAATTTTATAGTGAACACCCTGTGTAACCACCGCTTGGTGTCTAACATTAACATTCTATTGTGTTTATTATATTACATTTGTACCTATCTGTTACCCCTTCTTTCTATTTGTCAATTCATCAGCTGCAGTGATTTTGAAACTCTACTCTGTAAAGTTCCAGGAATTGTGTGTGTGTGTGTATGTGTGTATTTTGGAAGTGGGGTAGTGTTTTGAGAACACTAGTAGTCCTCATTTGACCAAATAATTTATACTTTTATCTATTATTCTATCTTATATATTGGACTTCTGTTTAGGTTCCCTGAAAACATGGTTTTGTGAGTAAAGGAAAATTTTGAAAGCTTTTATCAAGGGTATTCTGAGGGTAATCCACTCTCCCAATCTAGTTAAGCATAATCTAGAAACCTGACCATGTGTTCCTTGAAGACACTGAGTGAGTGTACCCAATTTGGCAGCTTTTGTGAGAGCAAGGACCATCCTTCATTTTTAATTCCCTTCAGGTTCATGCCTACAGTGAAAAGTCAGTACATCTTGCTGGATGAATGAAGGTGGGCAATGTATTTATTCTATATAATATTGTATTTTGTGGGCACACCTGTGAGAATATGACACAGGTTGGACAGTTCTACCTGGCTCTTAGCTATGTTAATTACCAACTAATTATGAGGTTGTTTTATTTTCAGAACCCCGTTAAGTCCATTTATTAATTAGAATAAGACTATAAATTCCCTCTGTTTAATCCAAATTTCACTATCTGGCATCCCCCAAATCAGAAATGTTAACACTGGAACATTGCTTGCTTTCAAATTAAATAGGTAAGATTTGAAGAGAACTTTGGAGTTTAAGAGGTTACATCTAATGTGTTCTAAATATTAGGACTCGTTTTTCTTCTGATTACACCCCTACAAAGTGCCAAGCCTTTGATAGCTCATTTTGTGTTTTCTGAAGTTCTAGTTCTCCTGGTCACATTCTCCAGCAAGGCCCTGTGTATTAAGTGTAACCAGTAATGGAAAATCCTCTACATAGAATGTACTCAGAAAATTTGAGGAGCTTAAGCACTTGACTTCTCTTTGGAAACACAGTGGATATTTGTGTCGCTACTGTACACAAAGGAGGAGACACTGAGAAATAAAGAAGGTTATCCCAAGTCCCCAGTAAAACAGGATGAGGTTTTTAGGTTTGAGGAAAGTGCCTCATTCACTCCATTCCTGCCTCAGGATACTGAAAGGCAGGTTTCTAGGCTGAGTTTTCTACTGTAGGAAATCCTATTTTTTACTTATCAAGAATGCATTAGAGTTGGAAGAATTACAGTCTTCCTACACCATATGCTAATGTTAATTCCAGCTGGATTAAAGCAATAAATAAATGTATAAAATCAATCATTAGAAACCCAGAATAGAAATGAGTATTTATCCCTACTGGAGTGAGAGGGGACTTCATAAACTTGAAGACAAAGAGAAAGATCGTTTCTGAAAAGAGTAATAGATTTGACTCCATTAAAAATTAAAACTTCTGTTTGCCAAAAAGCAAATCCACACAGTGATAAGTATGTGCCACAGATATGAGGGACAAGTGACTAGGAATCTTAAAAGACCAAGCCAATTGATAACAATGCATGATTACAATGGTTAAATGGGAGGTCAGGCATCCATTGTTTTCCTGCCTAATGCTGTTATTTTCAATTCTTTCTTGCTCAGTGGGAGAACTCAATTGCCCAGGGTCTCTTCCTGCTTGCTTTTCTATCATTCCTATTTCTGAGCCCCAGCAGGGGCCTGGTCTTACATTCCATGGCATTCCCTGCCTGAGGCCTTCTAGCTCTCACATGCAATCTTCAGTGATGTTTTCGTGAGGTCTATTTGGGGATTCCCAGCAATGTTGTTCTGTGCCATTTGTTATTAGGTATGGGTGTTTTATGCTCATCTTTCATTGGACAAATGATTGTTTTATTTCTAGAAAAGAAAATTCATCATGTTCCCCTACTTCCTATCTTGGATGCTTGAAACATACATGTATGTGTATGTTAGTGTGTATATATGTGTGTGTTTGTGTGTTCAAGGTTTTAAGCTAGAAGCGGGTAATGGCTTTAGGAAGTAATGGTGGGGAAATCTGTCACAGCATTATCACATGTTCCCATCTGCTGAAAGCAGAAAAATGATTGTGAGATTGTGATGACCAGAGGGAAGTGATGACCAAGTGAGCCTATGTTCTGAACCAGGTTTCTGTAAATCACATTAAGCAAGTTTCTCCCTGTTACTCCTATGTCCATTTGCAAGGATGAACACTTATAAGTCATGTTTACATTCTACCAACAACCACTCTTTTAACAGGTAGGTCTTGTTCCATTGTACAGCCCCAGAGAAAATATGCATGAACATTCATTCATGTATAAGTACCTTTAAGGAAGAATCTGCTTTGTTCAAGGCACTGTAAAATACACAAAGATAAATTACCAAGATGTTTCAAATCCGTGGATGTACACAAATAATTATAATAAGATCTAAAAGGGTTAATTGCCAAAAAATGAATGGAAATATGCAATTAAAATATAATAAACAGATTTCTGGTCCAGAAAAGATGATGTAGACCCATTTTCCCCTGCTTTTTCCTGCTAAGAACAACTACCAACTCTGGTAATGGTACAAGAGACAACCAAATGAGAGCGCTGAAAGACAGTAAGAATGAGCTGGTTTGCTCACGCCTGTAAGCCCAGCACTTTGGGAGGGCGAGGCAGGTGGATCATGAGGTCAGGAGAGCGAGACCATCCTGGCTAACACGGTGGAACCCCGTCTCTACTAAAAATACAAAAACAAAATTAGCCAGGCGTAGTGGTGGGCACTTGTAGTCCCAGCTACTTGGGAGGCTGAGGCAGGAGAATGGCGTGAACCTGGGAGGCGGAGCTTGCAGTGAGAAGCGATCGTGCCACTGCACTCCAGCCTGGGCGACAGAGCGAGATTCCGTCTCAAAAAAAAAAAAAAAAAAAAAAAAAGAATGAGCTGGCCTCCCTAGGCCTGGAGGAACAGCACAGTAGCAGAGTGTTTAGAGTGTCCCAACCCAACAGAAGATGGTCACCTAGACCGAGTGTTTCCTAACTGAGTGTTTCCTAAGTCCAAGCCTGGCAACAAGAAGCAGCTCAGGGAGGCTGATTTTTTTTTTTTTTTTTTTTTTTTTTCCTGATTGAGCGGATGTCCCTCTGGAACTATCAGACAAGTTCAACGCTACCAGCCAAAGAGATTAATTGGAAGCCTCGCCAAAAATAATTGGCCAGAGGAAGGACTCTGCTCTCCCTCAGCCCTGAGACTCTCCCTTTCCACCAAGAAATACTGAAGTGGGCAGGCAGAACACGTAAAAAAAGAATGAACTATAGCAAATAATACTGTCAGGGAAGCCTCTTTTTCTCTGTGTGCCTCAAATGATCCTCCCCTGTCTAGAGTCACTGGGGCAAGAAGACATAACCAGCAACAAGGATGCAACCACAAAAAGTGGCCAATTCTAGGAAGCCTCTTTGTTCTCACATGCCTGAGACTCTCCTTCCCTGCCCAAAGACACTGAGGCAGATGGCAGACCCCACCGTATTCCTCTCCCACTGAGAGATACCTGAGGCCCAGTGTGGGGAAATCTGTTCTGCCCCACAAGGCAGTGGGGTAGAGGCAGGAACCAGTGGCCTCTTGCAACCAGATTAATCAAGCAGAACAAAATAACACCTCAAAGTCTGTGAAAATTAGAGTGCCACTGGAGCCACAGCTGATAAAAGTAGCCAAGACCCACATGATTAATTTAACAGGGTTACTGACTTACAACGAAAGACTTAAATAGGACCTAGTCTCTCCTATCATAATAGGCAAAATGCCCAGGATTCAATAAAAAATTATCCTTCATACCAAGAACCAAGAAAATCACAAATTGAATGAGAAAAGACAATCAACTGACACAAACACCAAGATGAATCAGATATTGGAATTATCTGACAATAATTTTAAAGCATCTGTCATATAAATGACCTATAAAGCAGCTGCAAATTTTTGATACAATTTTTTAAAATAGAAAATATTAGAAAAGAAATAGAAGTTATAAAACAACTGAATAAAAATTCTAGAAATAAAAAATAACAGAAATAAAAATAGTGCTGGATAGTATTAACGATAGGTTAGACTATCTACTGTTAATTAGAGATAAGAGAGGGTAGAATTACTAAATTTGAGGACAAAACAATGGAATCCACCCAATCAGAGCAATAGACCAAAAATAGACTGAAAAAATGAACAGGACCCCAGAGATCTGTGAGACAATGACAAATGGCCCAACATTCATGTCATTGGAGTCCCAGAAGAGGATAAAGATAATGGGACTGAAAGAGTATTTGATTAGCTGACAGCCAGACATGGTGGCTCATGCCTGTAATCTCAGCATTTTGGGAGGCTGAGGTGGCCATATTGCTTGAGCTCAGGAGTTCAAGACCAGCCTAGGCAAAATGGTAAAACCCTGTCTCTACCAAAAAAAAAAAAAAAAAAAAAAAAAAAAATTAACCAGGCATGGTGGTGCACACCTGTAGTCCCAGCTACTCAGGAGGCTGAGGTGAGAGGATTGGTTGAGCCCAGGAGGCAGAGGTTGCAGTGAGCCTTGATTATGTCACTGCCCTGTATAATAAAGTGAGACTCTGTCTCAAAAAAAAAAAAAAAGAAAAGAAAAGAAAAAAGAAAAAGATAAATTGGGCATGGTGATGCACACCTGTGGTCCCAGCTACTCAGGAGGCTGAGGCAGGAGGATTTCTTGCACCTATGAGGTCAAGGCTGCATGCAGTGAGCTGTGATTGTGCCACTATACTCCAGCCTGGGTGATAGAGGGAGATCCTGTCTCAAACAAACAAATAAACACGAGTATTTGAAGAAATGATGACTGAAAACTTAACTAATTTGGTGAAAGACAGAAACCTACAGCTTCAAGAAGCTGAATGAACCCCACACGTAATCCCAATGAAATCTGTGCTATGATATATCATAATTAATCTTTTAAAAATAAAATATACTGAAGAAATCTTGAAAGCAGTAAGAGAAATGACACATTACCTATAGAGGAATACCAATTCAAATGACAGCAGATTTCTCATAAAATGGAGATGAGAAGGAAATGCCACAATATTTTTCAAGTACTGAAAGAATTATCAACTGTAAATTCTATGTCTGGAAAAACTATACTTCCAGAGTGAAGAGGAAATAAAAACATTCTCAGATGAAGGAAAAGTAAATGAATTTGTTGCTAGCAGACCTACTCTTAAAGATTGGCTAAAGAAAGTTCTTTAAACAGAAAGGAAACAATACAAGATGAAATCTTAGAGGATTAGGAAGGAAGAAAGAACATTGGAAAGACATTTGTGGGTACATACAATAAACTGTTCTTTTCTCTTTGAGTTTTATAAATCATGTTTGATGATTAAAACAAAAATTATAATACCATCTGATACTCAATTCAATGTTATTGAAAAATGGGAAGGACAAGAGATTTAAATGGGAGTGAAGTTTCAAACTAGTTAAATGTTGATAATGTAGCCTGTAACAAGTCACATATTAGGTTTTAGTACTCAGGGAAACCACAGTGAAAACTATACAAAGAAGTACTTCCCAAAACACTGTATATCAAAATGAAATCCTAAAAAATGTTTAGGTTACACACAGGAAGGCAAGAAAAGAGAAACAGAGGAATGAGAACCAGAGGAATCAAATAGAAAACAAGTAATGAAATGGTATAGTGAAATGCTAACTTATCAATAGTTACCTTGAAGGTAAATCATCTAAACACCATCAAAAGACAGAGATAAACAAAGTGAATAATAGAACATAATCTAACTGTATGCTGCCTACAAGAAACTCACTTCAAATTCTATGATTAGTTAAGTTGAAAGTAAAAGGGTGGAAAAACATATATCATACAAATATTAATTTTTAAAAAAACAGGAGTGCTTATACTAGTATCTGATAAAAGTGGACTTTGGAACAAAGAAAATATCTGGAAACAAGAAGGAACATTATATAATGATAAAAGAATGGATCCACCTGGAAGACAAAATGATCTTATGTACATACCAAATAACAGAGCCTCAAAATACACAAAGCAAAAACTGATAGAACTGAAAGAGAAACAAATAAATCATCAATTATATTTCAGGACTTCAATGTCCTCTCTCAACAACAAATAGAACTACTATACAGAAAATCATCAAGAATATAGAAGATTGCGCCATCACAATCAGCAAATAGAATCTAATTGAAATATATAGAATACTCCATCCAACAACAGCAGAATATACTTTTTATCTCAAGCAACCGAAGAACATTCACCAAAATAGATCATATCATAGGCCATAAAAAATGCTTAGCAAATTTTTACAGAATGTGTTATCCATAACAAAAAAATAGCAGAAAAATCTCTAAAACATGAAAATTTATAACACACTTCTAAGTTATCAACAGGTCAAAGAGTAAGTCTTTAAAGGCCTCACATCAATAACCTAAGTTCCTATTTTGAGAAACGAGAAAAATAAAGTAAAAGCAAGTAGACAGAGGAAATAATAAGGATAAAAGAATAAATCAATGGAATTAAAAATAAGAAAAAGGTAGTCAATGAGACAAAGAACAGGTTCTTCTAAAAAATTAATACAATTGATAAACTACTAGCAAAATTGACAATAACAAAATTACCAATACCAGGAAGGAAATAGGAAATATAAATACAGATCCTGTGGTCACTAAAACACAATAAAAATACTATGAACAACTTTACACTCATATATTCAACGAACATAGAAGAAATAGACCAATTTCTAAAAAAAAAAAAAAAACTAGCTAAACTCAGCCAACATGAAATGAACAGCCCTAGCCTAGTCCTATAGCTATTTAAAAAATTGAATTAATAATTAAAAATATCCCAAAAAAGAAATCTCTAGGACTACATTGTTTCACTGGAGAATTATACCAAATGTTAAAAAAAAATAATGCCAATTTTATATTATCTTTTCTAGAAAATAGAAGAGGCAGGAACACTTTTCAACTCATTATTACCCTGATACCAAAACCAGGCAAAGAAGAAGAAGGAGGAAGAGGAAGAAGGGGGAGGGAGGAAAGAAGACTATAGTTCAATGTCTTTTGTAAATTTTGACTCAGAAATTCTTAATGAAATAATAGCAAAGAATAAAAAGAATTATGTAATATGATGAAGTAGGATTTATTATATGCCAGGTATGTAAGGTTGGTTCAACATTTTAAAATTAATTAATGTAATATACCATAGAAATAAGCTACAGAAGAAAATTCATTGAGGAAACACTGGAAGAAATTAAAAATAAAAAAAGTAAATAATATCATCATATAAAAAGGCGTCTGACAAAATCCAACATCTATTTATAATAAAAATTCTCAGCAATTTAGAAATAGTGATGAATTATCTCGACTTGCTAAAGAGCATCCCTGAGATTAGAAACAAGGCCAGGAGGTTCACTCTCATGACTTTTATTCAACCAGTACTGGAAAGTCTAGCCAAAACAATAAGGCAAGAAAAGAAAATAGAAGGCATGCAGTTTGGAAATAAATGAAATAAATCTCTCTTTGTAGATGATATGATTGTCTACATATATAATCCCTAGAAATCTACAACAACAAAAATCCTAGAACAAGTGAGTTCAGCAAGGGTGCAGGATGCATACAACAGTTAATCGTATTTTTACATGCTAACAAAGAATGTGTAGGAACCAATATCAAAAACAGTGTATCAATTACAATAGTTCCAAAGAAAATAAAAGATTCAGGTATACACTTAATAAAACAGGTACAGAGGCCGGGTGCAGTGGCTCATGCCTGTAATCCCTGCACTTTGAGAGGCTGAGGTCAAGAGTTTGAGACCAGCCTGGCCAACATGATGAAACCCCCTCTCTTGTAAAAATACAAAAAATTAGCCGGGCATGGTGGTGGGTGCCTGTAATCCCAGCTACTCAGGAGCCTGAGGCTGGAGAATCACTTGAACCTAGGAGATGGAGGTTGCAGTGAGCCGAGATTGCACCACTGCACTCCAGCCTGGGCAACAAGAGTGAAATTCCGTCTCAGAAATAAATAAATAAATAAGTAAATAAAAACAGGTACAGAGTTTATATAATGAAATTACAAAATGCTGATGAAAGAAATTAAAGACTTAAATGAGTAGAGACTTGGAAGGCTCAGCATGGTAAAGATGTCAGTTCTGCCCAAATTGATCTTTGAGAAATTAAATTTCTAACAAAATTCTAGCAAACTTATTTGATCTCCATTTATATGGAAATGCACAGGACCTACAATAGCTAAAACAATGTTGACATAAAATAAAGTGGGAAGAATCAACCAACCCAACATTAAAGAGATATATATCTCCACCCAATATTAGGGCTATATAGCTATAGTAATCAAACCAACATGGTTTTGGCAGAAGAATATACAAAATGGAACAGAATAGAGGACCCAGAAATAGACTTCCATAAATAGGCTCAAATGATTTTTGACAAAGATGCAAAAGCAACTTAATGAAGGAAGTCCAGCCTTTCAACAAATGATGCTAGAGCATTAGACATCCATTGGGAAAAAAAATGAACATTGATCTAAATCTCATACCTTCATACAAAAATTAACTCAAAGTGGATCATAGAATTAAATGTAAAATAATAACAATTTTAAAAAATAAATGTGGGAGAAAATCTCTGTATGTAAGGCAAGGCAAAATGTTCTTATATAAAATAGTTAGAAATATACCTAACCAAGGAGGTGAAAGACCACTACAAGGAAAACTACAAAACACTACTTAAGGAAATCATAGATGACGCAAACAAATGGAAACATATCCCATGTTCAGGGATGGATAGAATCAATATTGTGAAAATGCCTATATTGCCTAAAGAAATCTTTTTCTTTCAAATTCAAGTCAATTTTCATCAAAATACCACCATCATTCTTCATAGAACTAGAAAAAAACAATCCAAAAATTCATATGGAACCAAAAAAGAGCCCACAAAGCCAAAGCAAGACTAAGCAAAAAGAACAAATCTGGAGGCATCTCATTACCCAACTTCAAACTATACTATAAGACCATAGTCACCAAAACAGCATGGTACTGGTATAAACATAGGCACGGAGACGAATGGAGCAGAATAGAGAACCCAGAAATAAAGCCAAATACTTACAGCCAACCAATCGTCAACAAAGCAAACAAAAACACAAAGTGGGGAACAGACACCCTATTCCACAAATGGTGCTGGGATAACTGGCAAGCCACATGTAGAAGAATGAAACTGGATCCTCATCTCTCACTTTGCACAAAAATCAACTCAAGATGGTTCAAAGACTTAAATCTAAGACCTGAAACCATACAATTTCTAGAAGATAACATTGGAAAACTCTTCTAGATATTGGCTTAGGCAAAGACTTCATGACTACGAAACGAAAAGCAAAAACAAAGATAAATAGATGGGACTTAATTAAACTAAAAAGCTTCTGCACAGCAAAAGAAACAGTCAGTAAACAGACAACCCACAGAGTGGGAGAAAATCTTCACCATTTATACATCTGACAGAGGACCAATATCCAGAATCTATAAGGAACTCAAACAAATTAGCAAGAAAAAAAACAAACAATCCCATCAAAAACTGGGCTAAAGACATGAATAGACAATTGTCAGAAGAAGATATACAAATAACCAACAAACATATGAAAAACTGCTTGACATCACTAATTATTAGGAACATGCGAGTCAAAACCACAATGTAATACTACCTTACAGCTGCAAGAATGGCCATAATCAAAAAATCAAAAAATAATAGATGTTGGTGGGGATGTGGTGAAAAGGAACACTTTTACACTGCTGGTGGGAATGTAAATTAGTGCAGCCACTATGGAAAACAGCGTGGAGATTCCTTAAAGCACTAAAAGTAAAACTACCATTTGATCCAACAATCCCACTATTGGGTATCTACCCAGAGGAAAATAAGCTATTATACAAAAAAGATACTTGCACACACATGTTTATAGCAGCACAATTTCCAATTGCAAAACTATGGAACCATCCCAAATGCCCAACAGTTAATGAGTGGATAAAGAAATTGTGGAACATATATACCATGGAATACTATTCAGCCGTAAAAAAGAAATGAAATAATGATATTCACAGTTACATGGGTGGAATTGGAGATCATTATTCTAAGTAGAGTAACTCAGGAATGGAAAAGCAAATATTCTATGTTCTCACTCATAAGTGGGAGCTAAGCTATGAGGATGCAAAGGCATAAGAATGATACAATGGACTTTGGAGATTCAAGTGAGGGAGGAGGGAGGTGAAGGATGAGAGACGACAAATTGGGTACAGTGTATACTGTTTGGGTATTGGGTGCACCAAAATCTCAGAAACCATGGCTAAAGAACCTATTCATGTAACCAAACACCACCTATTTTTCCAAAACCTATAGAAATAAAAAATAAAAATAAAAAAACAAACCAAAGTGTCCTTAGATTTAACACCAAAGGCATAATCCACAAAAGGAGAATTGCTAGATTCAACTTCATCAACATTAAAACTTTTGCTTTGTGAAAGCCCAACTACAAGGAATGAAAAGTCAATTTACAGGCTGGTTGGAAATATCTGCAAACCACATATTACACAAAGAACTAGTATTTACAATATATAAAGAACTCTGAAAAGTCAAGAGTAAAAAAACCCAAACAGTCCAATTAGAAAATGGGCAAAAAACATGAAGAGACATTTCACTGAAGAGAATGGCAGATGGCAAAAAAAAAAAAAAAAAAAAAGAGCACAATAAAAGATATTCCACATCATTAGCCATCAGAGAAATGCAAATATAAACCATAATGAGATATCATTACCCATCTATTAAAATGGCTAAATAAAAAAAATTGATAAGGAGGGGATTCTGGGAAGATCAAAAAGTAGAAAGCACCAGGAATGTATCTCCTCACCTAGAGAACAACTGCATGGCATAATCTGTCTGATGTAACTATTTTAGAACTCTAGAGTCTATTGAAGGCTTTTAATTTCCAAGAGAAGGCTTGGGCAGTAAATTGCCCTTAACTGTGGTTGACTTTAGCTCTTAGAATAATATCAGCTACTCATACCCCACTCGCAGGCATCCTTGCACAGATTCCAGGAGTAGCCTGCACACAGTTTATGGGAGCCAGGGTGTGCAAAAAGGCCACTGTCATTCAAAAATCAGGAATCTGTTCTCTGATAGCTAATTGTTGCTTCTGATTACAAAGGTGCAGACAGAGCCAGGGGCCATTGTTGTTGCATTTCCTTCCATTGTTGCAAGCCCTTCTTTCTCCAGCTGAAGTGACTTCCAGGGGATTTAAAGGGCTAGCACTCTTTTCCTTTTGTTTTCATTTTTTTTCTTTTCCCCTTTTGTGTTTGGAGCCAGACATTAAAGACTAGTACATTTTAAAGCAGCCACATATACATGGGAAATTAGAAAGTCACCGCTCATACCTAGAGAAAGATGCAGGCTCACAAAAGATGTGAGAAGGACTTAACTTTACATCTCAGGCTTATCCTCAGCACAGAGACAACCTACAACAATTCAGAATGAAAAAGCAAACCCTGGGGAAGGGGAAGGAGAATCTGATTTTCACAGTTATCACATTATTTTATTTCAATGTCCGGTTTTCAACAACAACAACAAAATCACAGCACATAAAAAGAAACAGGCAAGTATGGCACATTCAAAGGAAAGAAAATGAACCAACGAGGTCTGTCCCTGAAAAAGTTATAATTGTGGATCTACTAGACAAAGAGTCTAAAACAAGTATCTTAAAGATGCTCAAAAAACTAAAAGATATGGAAAAAGTAAAAAATAAATGATGTATGAACTAACTAGCAACATCAATACAGAGATTCAGAAAAAGTAAAAATAGAACGAGAAATTTTTCAGTTGAAAAGTATAATAACTGAAATGAAAAATTCACTGGAGATATTCAAAGGCATATTTGAACAGGTAGAAGAAAGAGTCAGTAAACTTGAAGATAGGACAAGGAAATTATGAGTCTTAGGAACAGAAAGAAAAAATATTGAAGAAGAAGGAACAGAGCTGCTGGACACCATGAAGCAGACCAACATACCCATTGTGAGAGTTCAGAAGCTTAAGAAGAGAGAGAAAGAATAGAGAGATTATTTGGAGACATAATGGCCAAAAGCTTCCCAAATCTGATGCAAGACATAAACATAAAAATCCAAGAAGCTCAATGAATTCCAAATAGGATGAACTCAAAGAGATCCACCCCAAGACACAAGACACAGTATACTCAAACTGTTGAAAGACAAAGAGAGAATCTTGAAAACAACATGAGAGAAGCAACTCATTATGTAGAAGGAATCATCAATACGATTATCAGAATTATTGTCAGAAATGTAGGAGTCCAGAATGCAATGGGCTGACATAGTCAAAGGGCTACAGAAAGAACAAAACAAAACAAAAAAAACTGCCAACCAAGAATCCTACATTCAGCAAATTGTCCTTCAAAAGTGAGTAAGAAATTAA
Source organism: Homo sapiens (assembly GCF_000001405.40). Taxonomy (NCBI): domain Eukaryota; kingdom Metazoa; phylum Chordata; class Mammalia; order Primates; family Hominidae; genus Homo; species Homo sapiens. The sequence goes on along the minus strand of NC_000003.12, from coordinate 60,658,990 downwards.
GGCATTCTCATATTAAAAAAAAAAAAAAAGCTGAGGAAGTTTATTACCACTACACATGCTCTGTAAGAAATGCTAAAATGAGTTCTACAGGTTGAAATGAAAGGACACTAATAGTAACTTGAATCTTAGTTAAGAAATAAAGTTCTCCGTAAAGGTAAAAATGTGGGCAATTATAAAAGCTAGTATTATTGTAATAATGCTTTGTTAACTCCATTTTTTTTCTACATGATATGAGACTAATTTTTTTAAATTATTAGTCTAAAAGCTAGTATTATTGTAACTTTGGTTTGTAACTCCACATTTTGTTTTCTACATAATTTGAGAAGCTAATACATCTTTTAAAATATCAGTTTATATTTTAGAGCATATTGCATGAAGATGTTAATTTTTTGTCATCAATAATTTAAAGAAGTGGGGACAGAGAAGTAGAGGAGCAATGTTTTTGTATGTTATTAAAGTTAAGCTGGTATAATTCCAAATTAGAATCGATAACTTTAGGATATTAAATATAATCCCTGTGGTAACTACAAAGAAAATAGATATACACAAGGGGAAATGAGAAAGGAATTTAAATGTTTCACTACAAAAAATAAACTAACCACACAAGAAGACAGTGATGCAGGAAATGAGGGACAGAAAAAAACTGTAAGGTGTGTAGAAAATCAATAGCAAAATGGGACAGAAGGAAGTCCCTCCTTATCAGTTGGCCTTAAAAAGGAAGTAAATTCTGACATATGCTACAACATGATTGAAACTTGAGGACATTATGCTAAGTGAAATAAGACAGTCACGCAAAGACAAATACTGTATGATTTCATCTATTTGTGGTGCTTTGAGTATTCAAAATCGTAGAGACAGAAAGTAGAATGGTGGCTAGGGGCTGAGGAGAAGTAGGAATTGAGAGTTGTTAAATGGTATAGAGTTTCAGTTTTGCAAGATGAAGAGTTCTGGAGATAGATAGGTGGTGATGGTTGTAACAATATGAATGTACTTAATACTACTGAAATATACACTTAAAATTGTTAAGATGCTAAATTTTATGTTATGTATGTTTTACCACAAAAAAATTGGAAAAAAATAATAATAACGCCAAATGCTGGCAAGGATGCAGAAAAATTGGATCAGGAAAATTGGATACATTGTTATGAAATGTACCTAAAGGCAGGCCATGTGATTAAACCACCTAAGGGATGGTGGTGGATATGGAATCTGATCAGATATTGAGGGTAATCCAATATTGAAGATGAAGGGTTCTGGATAAACCAGTCTAAGAGGATTCTTGCTAAAATTGGGCAATACAGAGAAAGACACAGAAGTCCAAAAGTTAAGGCCTGATTAGGGAGAGAATCAGAGGAGCCTGATTAACGTTTGGTCAAGGAGAGACTCTTGGTCAATAGCAGTACTTTCACTGTACACAGATGGTACATAATACATATTTATTGAATGGATAAGTGACTTACCATCATTTCACCACTAGATGATTCCTTTAGTCATTGACTATCTGCCAGACACCTAAGTTTGCAAAATGAGAAATCAAAGGACCCAGGACAAGGAGCTCATTTTGCCTTAGTGCAGCATTGACAACCTCCCATTTGAGGTCAGTGTTTCCCAAGGGGGATCTATTGGCATTCTGGGCAGGAAAAGTCTTCGCTCTGTGGTGCTAACACACTACAGAACTTTTAGCAACATTTTGAGAACTCTCCAAATGTCAGTTTTGCCCTCCAATTGCTGAGACATCAAAGAAATGTCCTCACCTCCTCCATTTCCTAGTGCCTCCTAGGGATACTGGTTGAGAATCAGCACTTTGTCTCTTTCTAATTATTATAGCTCCAAGAGAACTTAAGGATAAACATAATTCATGAGCTACATTTCATATCCTCCCGTGGCATGGTTGCATGTATGTTATAAAAAGAAATAGGACTTCCTTGCCTTCTGAGTGGCTCTAAGTTTGAGTTTGAATTTGTCTAAAGTATTCATTTGGCTTTTATTTGTCCTGGATGTTTTTTTTTGTGTGGACATAAAAAAATTCCCTTTCAGAAAAATGCTGCTGAGCACATACCATATAGCACTCTGCAAACCACCTCTTTCAATCTCAATAGAAGAAAAATATTTGAAAGGGAAAAGTATTACTGGATTATTTTTGTCAATGTGCAAAATCTCTTGAAAGGACAATTTTCTCTTGTTGACTAGCAGAAACACAGCAGTGTTAATTAAGTTGCCTTGTTAAATCTGAAAGAATGTACATAGTTAACGTTGGAAACCCTTCTAATTGCCTTTGTGGAAAGACATCAAAGGGATCTACAAGCATCTTGTTTAGAGAAGTGCTGAGGCTTGAGCTTGGGCCAATGGGACCTTTGGGAAAAACTCCTGGGGAGGTGGAGGGTGGAGAAAGCCAGAATTATCATTTCACGTATTGAGCGCTTGACAAGTTTGTTTCCTTTTCCTCCATTCCCTTTGGAGAGAGGAGGAGGATGTGCGTTTGAATGGAGAGTCTGTAGAGGTGCCCCAATTCATTTGGGTGCGGGCGTCCTCATACTTGCTATCTTGGCCCATGGTAGCAGGTTAGCCTTCTAGCTGTGGGAAGAGGAAAAACAAATCTTGCCCCCAGTAATAGAGTTCTTTCAAAAGACCCCAGGCAAAGTATGCAGCTTATATAGAAAACAATAAACACAAAATGATGATTTGCATTAAAAAATGAAAACACTGTTGCTTTCCCATAAATCTAGTTCTGGGATAGGAATTTGGGGTGAAGAGAGAGCCCCAGAAGTGTAGAAGAATGACATTTGAGGTAACAACAGGAGTTCAGAGGTCCTGCTTTTGTACCCTTCTTGAGTTTCAGATGAGATAAAACCAGCAGCTCTGCTAAGATGCAGTGCAAAGGCTTACATGGCTTCTTGAGAAAAGCAATTTATTTTAGATTATAGCACAGCAGCTATCGTTTAAACTGCTAGGGATTGTAATTGAACTCAGAACCAACCTTTTCTGTGAACACAGGGTGCAGTAATAAGTTTACCCAGGCTGTTCTAAATAACATGGACACCAGGCTTTCAGGACAGAAAGGCGTAGTAGCCAAAACGTGGAGTCACTAGTGTCTTGCCAACCTTCCAACAACTAACCCCTTCCAAAATACATTCTGGGAAATGTACCTAGCTGTGCATCCAAATATACACTTGCTGTCTGCTTTCTGTGATATTAACATCAAATGGCTAGGAGACAGCAATCTTGGGGATGTGAGAGAATATGCAATTAGCACTTGGGGACTTTTGTTCAATTCCCATCTTATCTAGGGTCATGACAGAGCTTGGGGTGGGGAGTTCGAGGAGAATACAGAATAAATAAAACTGTTCCTCTTGATACTGGATAATCTTTGATTTGATAATGAAGGTGATGTGCTTACCCTCCAAACCCCCGAATGTCATCCTGTCATTAAGCCCTAATGAAAGCTTAATTGTTCTGTCGAGATAAAATGATGTGTCTCATTTCCGTACACTGCATTTGCTCTCTCCTCGTTATAAATAAATCCAGTTATACTTTATTCGCTATTCCTCCAGCGTGTCCAGTGGCTTAGAAGACAGCATTTCATACAGGCTCAATTATGCGTTGTTGTTTTTAGTAAAAGAGCTTGTAACAATGTACTTGCTTTTTATAATCATAATTTGGAATTGTTTTTTATGAAAGCAAAAATAAGCACGTAGTTAAAAATCAAATGGTTTTGAAACACCTGTAGTGCAAAGTAACAGTTCCCAGTCCCACCCTTCCCACCTCCAGCTGAGCTCCCTAAATGCAATCACTTTTCAACATTCCTGGTCTTACTTCCATATTGCTAGTTAACACTTATTTATTTTTTATGTTATCTACTGATTTTCTTCTAAAGACAAGAAGTATTTGCCTTACACTAACTTACACTAAACTTTTCACATGCTCCCACCATAACATGACATTATTCTCAACTTCTATTGGGCTTGCCACTTCTAAATTGTATTTATACCTCCCCTGATTGGTCCATCAATCTAGCCTGTGTCTCTTGCCTCCACACATCACAGGATGAGATATGGGCACTCAATACCCTTTTCTTCACTGCTTTTCTTTTCCTTCCACTTTCCATTCTCGGTCAGCTATATACCATTATTTTTGCATTGTCAAATTTAATTGACATTTGCTCTGTCACCAGAGTAGTCTTTTTTTGTGATTTTTCCAAAGTTGGAAATAATGAAAATATTTGCACAATTAAGATTTGCTAAATTATTTAGTGCAGCCCCACATGGTCTCTGTCACAATTCCTGTGATACTCAAAGACATTGTGTCTAGAATCAGGTGCAAATGGATTCTCTTCCTTTAAATCATTTTATCAAAATCATTCCACCTTTTAGTTTCTGTAATATATATTTCAAGTTTTTCTTATAAAGTTATTTTTGTTTGTTTTTGCTGGAATTTCTGATGTCCTATTGCCTTTTCTGAGTATATACCTCAATAATATCTTCAAGTTTTTTCAAGCTCATAATTACACTCTTTGTTCTATTGGTCCTGTCTCTTACAGACCTCCATTTTGCTCCCATTTGGACAGGTGGCTCTGTAGACATGCTGTGTAGAATCATCCTGAGATGTCCCCATTGCTCTCCAGGGTTGGAGTCACTGTTTGCTGGATTGAATGGGTTTTCTTTCTTTTCTAATTTGCCTTCTGATTTTGCTATTAACTTCCTAAGAAAGGGTGTGTATTAGGCCATTTTTGCATTGCTATAAATACCTGAGACTGGATAATTTATAAAGAAAAGAGGTTTAATTGGCTCATGGTTCTGCAGGCTTTACAGGAAGCACGGTGCTGGCTCGGCTTCTAGGGAGGCCTCAGGAAGCTTACAATTATGGCGGAAGGGGAAGTAGGCACATAATGTGACGAAGACAGGAGCAAGAGGGAGAGAGAGTGGGGAAGCGAGGTGCTACACAATTTTAAACCACCAGATCTCATGTGAACTCAGAGCAATAGCTCACTTGTCACCAAGGAAATAGCCCAAGCCATTTATGAGGGATCTGTCCCCATGATCCAAACACCTCCCACCAGGCCCCACCTCCAGCACCGGGGATTACATTTTGAAGAGATTTGGGCAGGAACAAATATCCAAGCCATATCAGGGTGAATGGGAGGTAAACTTTCTGCATGCTTGCAGGTTTAGAATTTTTTATTTTGCCCTCAAAAGACAATTGATAGTTTGGGTGTAGACTTCTCTGTTGAAAATCCTTTTTCCTGTCTTTTAGTATGCAATCCTGCTGCTGCTAAGTCTGATGCTACTCTGATTCTTATTTTGTAGGCCACCTTCTTTTTTTTTTTACTTTTCAGGAAATTGTTAGGAATTTCATTTTTCTACCACTTTACAGTTAATTATTCTTGGTATCAAGTAGATTCCTATACTTTGAACATTCATCTTTCTCTTTAACTCTGGGGAATTTTACCATGCAATCTCTTTGATAATTCCCTCCACTCCAGTTTCTTTTTTTCTTATTGTGAAAATTTGGTTAGTCATCCTTAGACCTCCTGAATTGTTCATCTATATATTTTATTTTTTTCTCACTTACTTCTGTACTTGGTCTATAGTCTAGGAGATTTTTTCCAACGTTGCCTACAAACTTTCTATTGAATTTTTTACTTACGCATTTATAAAATTCCAAAGAGCTCTTTCTTATCTGATTATTCCTTTTCAATAGAACCCTGTTTTTGTTTTGTAGTTACCAAATCTCCTCAAATCTTTCTTGACGATATTAACTAGATTTTATTTTTAAAGTTTGTGTCTTTCCCCTAAACTGTTTTCTCCAGTGTCATGTTTTCTGTTGTTTTACTTGCTCATTTTCTTTTCTGTGGTAGACTTTCTTGTCATATTAAATTTCTGGTGATCTGTGGTGTGTGTGAAAGAATGAGGCAATAAGAAGGCTATTGTTGCGGTCTATTTTTAAGTGGGTGGGTCTTGTGAATAGCAAGCTTGAAGAGTTTCAGTTTAGGGTGTGTGCATGGGAACTGGGGAATCGCAATGTGCTAGAGTAAGGTTTTGTTTTGTTTTGTTTTGTTTTGTTTTGTTTTGTTTTGTTTTGTTTGAGATGAACTTTCACTCTGTTGCCCAGGCTGGAGTGCAATGCTGTGATCTTGGCTCACTGCAACCTCTGCCTCCCAGGTTCAAGCAATTCTCCTGCCTCAGCCTCCTGAGTAGCTAGGATTACAGGCACCTGCCACCATGCTGAGGTACTTTTTGAATTTTTTTTTTTTTTTTTTTTTTTTTGAGATGGAGTCTCTCTCTTTTGCCCAGGCTGGAGTGCAGTGGCACAATCTCAGCTCACTGCAAGCTCCGCTCCCGGGTTCACGCCATTCTCCTGCTTCAGCCTCCCAAGTAGCTGAGACTACAGGTGCCTGCCACCACACCTGACTAATTGTATTTTTAGTAGAGATGGGGTTTCACCATATTAGCCAGGATGGTCTCGATATCCTGACCTCATGATCCGCCCTCCTGGGCCTCCCAAAGTGCTGGGATTACAGGCGTGACCGCGCCTGGCCCTACTTTTTGTATTTTAGTAGAGATGGGATTTCACCGTGTTGACCAGGCTGGTCTCGAACTCCCAACCTCAAGTGATCCCCCCTGCCTTGGCCTCCCAAAGTGCTGGGATTACAGACGTGAACTACCACGCCTGGCCTAGAGTGAGGTTTTAACACTAATGATAACTGTGATGGTTCTCCCCACTTTTTTATTGCCTTGAAGCTGGTGCTTGGCCTCAGGCTAGTCCACATGGAGAGCCAGGAGGAAGGGTGGTCAATGTTACATATTCAGCCTGGCCTGTAATTAACCCCCCTTTTCAGCCCCACCAATCTCTTCCATCCTGTGTTGTACCTGCTATTTCTGAGGCTCGATTCTTTCTGGAATAACCAGGCAGGTCGGCCCTCCTTTGCCGCAATCCCTTTTTAGGCTGTGGTTTCCTTTGCTGTGTGGTTCAGAAGCCAACAGACTTTTATTCAAATCATTTATCTTCTAATGGCTTCTTCCCATTCTCTTTGTGGTTATGAGTTTGCACTTTTGCATTTCTTTAGTATCATTTAGAAAGTATTTTGGGTGGGAAAGGCAGTAAATAGGTTTGCTCAGTGGACCAGTGTGAACCAGAACACTCTATTTTTAAAGACAGAGTTTGTGATTTTTATATGCCACATGTCAAAGAAATACCATGTAGCTCTTCATTTTATGTCAACCGTTTGTTAATCTAATGCTTGGAATGAGCAGATGCAGAAAGTTGCAGGAAGGTTTCATTAATTAGATAGAGCTTATACAAAATATACTTGGAAAAAAAGTGTGTTCCGTTCATTTTTCTACAGCCTCCAACTGATCAGCCCAGAAGTTTGTGTTTCTTAAGCTTTAGTGAATTAAATAAGTTTATTAATTTATTTTAAAAATTCATTATTTATTTATTGAAAAAAAAAAAGATTGGATCTATCAAAATGCTTTCCTTTTTTCTCAGTAAATAAATGGGCCAAGACCTCAAGAGTAGATCTGCCAAAGGATGGCCACAATGGCCAATGGGTATACCAAATTTTTCAATAATAAAGATTCAAGTTAAAATAAATTTTAATTTTAATTTTGCCACCTGTAAAATTAACAAAGGTTTGAAAATATGTTTTACTGAAAAAGGATTATAAAATGGGTACTTCTATGTACTTTTGGTAGGAACAACAAAATTTGTTATAAACTTCCTGGTAATTTAAAATGCTCATAGTATTTAATCTGGCAATTCCCCATTTTAGGAATTTAAGACAAGAAAATAATCAGAAATTAAGATCAAGATGGATTTCTTACAATGCTCATCATAGAATAATGTATAATAGAAAAACCCTAAATGACATAAATAAAGAAAAAATAAAATTTGGCACTCTATACCATGGAATATTATTCATACATTAAATAATGTTTATAAATAGTTTTTAATGAATTCATAAAATGCTTAGGTATAATTTAGGTAAAAAACAAAACAAAACTTGGAAATGGTATATATATGAAGTGCTCAACCATTCAAAAAGGAAAAAAACCTAGAAGGAACTATACTAACATTTTAACTGTGGTTTTTTTGTTGGCTGAATTGTGTGACATGTTTTCTTTTTTTGCTTCTTAAAATTTTGTTGCATTTTTCAGATGTTTTCTAGTAACTATGTTTGGTTTTGATAGAAGAAAAAGAAAAACACTTTAAATTATGTGCCTCTGAAAGTAAAAATCTTAAAAACGTCACCAAATGACCCGCGTAGTTTTCTTCCCCTGAACTTTTTCCCTTTTCTATCACAGAAGCAAAAGTCGACTGCATAAAGTAGTATATGTAGTGTTTTCCATTATTGAAAGTATTTCTCATGCATTTGGAAAAGCTAACTAGTACATTATGTTAGATTTCCTGCCTTTTTCTCTCTGTATGTCACATCAGATGTCGAAAGTCTGATTTATTTCAACATTAGCTAAAGGAATATTCAGATTGTCCAGAAGGGGGAAGCTATAGCTGTGTCTTGAATGGAATTAGAGCTGAAGTGATAAACAGTGGACTGACTACCAGACCCTCGGCTTTAGTCCTGGCTAGCTCACTTGATGACTAGTCTGGGCTTTCTCTTGTGAAAAATGAGGATGCTGAATGGGGTGATCTCTAAGGTCCTCTTAGGTCTCTTACTCCAACATTGCAAATTCCTTACTATGGAATAGACCACAAGAAACTAAGACAAAGAAATGACTGAGTGAGAGGCATGTGTTCTGTAGTATGTTTTGTTGACAATTCTGTGCTTTAAGCAGAGAACATGGGTTTTTTGAATTAATACTTTTACATCCACTTGAACAATGAGACAACAGAGGTACCACAAGCCCAAAATAGAAGACAGACTGTATTTTAGGCCTAGAAAGGATTATTTGCTCTCAGAAGCACAGTATAGACTGAGTTTTCTGGCCCCCAGAACATAAAGATAAGTTCTACAATTAATTTTGGTGCATTTGTTTCCCCTCTTTGAGAAGATGTACCCAGTTGGCGGAATTTTGTGTGAAAACAGAAGCCATTATGGGACAGGTGCTGGTGCTTTGTGCAGTGAGAGCCTTGTTGTTAGGCCCTGGTTGACGTCTGCTTTGCCCAGTAACTGCTGCTACCCTGCTATCCTTCCTACTGTATTCAAGATCCAAAATGGAAATTGCTGGGTTTTTTTTTCCAGATTATAAAAGTAATACCTGACTATTTTATAACAATTAAAATTTAAAAATCCAACACAACAGAAAAATATTAAAAAATATCAGTTATCCTACAACAGCAATAAGCTTGATTAATATGCAGGATTTTCTCCCACACGTTCTTATTCACACACATACACACACTCACACAATTGACACATCCAGTAATACTATTTTGTTGTTTTATTTTACCACGTATCATGTCCATAGAATTTTATATCGTCATTTATAATTTCAGTATAGTATTACATTGTATGAGTGAAATATAATACACTTGGCTTGGATCACCCCCTTTGAATGACTTCTAGTTTGTGTGCAACTTTGGTTCTTAGAAGCAATGCTGCAATGAAGAATTTTTTGTTTTGTTTTGTTTTTTTGAGATGGACTCTCGCTCTGTCACCCAGGCTGGAGTGCAGTGGTGCCATCTCGGCTAGCTGCAAGCTCTGCCTCCCAGGTTAACGCCTCAGCCTCCTGCCTCAGACTCCTGAGTAGCTGGGACTACAGGTGCCCGCCACCACGCCCGGCTAATTTCTTTTTGTATTTTTAGTAGAGACGGGGTTTCACCGTGTTAGCCAGAATGGTCTCGATCTCCTGACCTGGTGATCCACCCGTCTCGGCCTCCCAAAGTGCTGGGATTACAGGCGTGAGCCACCGCGCCCGGCCGCAATGAAGAATTTTGTATGTATATCTTTGCACTGTTCTTCAACCATTTCTCAAGGAGAATTTTATGAAAATGGAATTTCTATGTCAATAATATATAACATATATGTGTGTATATGTAGGTATATATACTTACATAAACACAGGCATACACAATGTTAACTGCCCTCCATAAAAGTTGGACTATTAATTCCTCCACCACTGCCACAGCTTTATTCCTCCACGTGCCCCTTATCACTGAGTGAACCTCAGATGTTTCCAATTGAAGAGAGGGTCAACAAACTGCACCTGAGAAGGGAGTCTCTGGCTTAAGGCAGGCGCAAACGCCTTTAGGAAGGGCCAGATTTGGGAGCTGTCAGTGGGAGTTCTGACTCGCTCCTTTTTTAGCTTTTCATCTCACATTAGCTCTCTTAGCTCTGGAGAGTTTTGCAGAACAAGAAAAGCAACAGGAGTGTTTTGCCTTTGCTCCTGCGATGCTTCATCAAGTAACAGGTGTCCAGATTTTCACTGTCTACTATATGTAAGTGCCCCCCTTCCTGTTTACCTGGCATGTGGTGTTTTTAGCAATATTCAATGTTTTCTGTTTGTTTCCTTTGCTTTAGGCTTCTACCCTCCCCCAAATCCTTCACCCCCAACTCCTAGACTGCCCACCTGCTACACTAGACCAGGGAGATAAAGTACCACGCACAATTGTTCTTAAGCCCAGACCATTGATTTTCCTGAGTTTAAGCTGGCATCATGAGTTGTTAACCCTGTTAGAAAAATACAAGTTGGATTTATGATTCCCTTACACAGGTAATTGGGCTCTAATTTTAAAATCCAAGCCAATTGATTTATACCATATTGCATTATAAATAACAAAAGCGCAGTTCAGTCCAGGTGACGTATGAATTTGAGCTTCCAATTACCTGATAAATTTTCAGTTCATTGATAAGTGATACCTAGGTGGACGTCAACCTGTTGTGGTTCCCTCTACCCACTCCCTGACTCCCCACCCCATTGTCGTCCCATCTATCCTCTGTCCTCTCATTTTTCCCTTTTTTCCTAAGCTTGAAGGCTTAGGAGTGACCTGCTTCAGAAGTCCAAACCCTGCATATTGAGACATTATCAGGACTTTTGTGTCTTATTCTTCCCCACAAACTCTTGTTAACATTTTATTTCAACTCACAGTGTATTTCTGCTGGGTCACTATTATTGCATTGATTATAATATTTGCTGTTAAGCCACCAGGTATATAAATTGCTTTCTTGGTGTATGACAATTCATCCCCAAGATTACTAGCTTTTCCCATCCTTTTTCCTCCTTTGCAATAATTTTCTGCATTGTATGTATTCTACATATTTCTGTAAAACATATCAAGTTATTTTTGGAACAAAGGTTGGCTATAAACAAATAACACATACTGCTAGAATCGGTTTCTGGGAGTCTTGAAGAGTTATCCAGCAATCAGAGGCAGTTAATTGGAATCTCTATTTCAAGGTGTTTTTCTTCTTTTGGCAAGCCCTTGTTATTTTGAGCAGGGGACTATTTTAAGTAATCCTTTGAACATTTGTCAGATCAAGGGGCAGAGGAGAGGACAACCAGGGATAAACCTGGGCAAGTGGAAAGAACCCTGGACTTGAGGGCCTCGAGTACCAGAGTCTCTTCTTCTTTCTAGGAGGCCTTGGGCAGGTCCCTTCACCTCTCTAAATCTCACTTCTCACATTTGCAACATGATTTCCTTATCTCTGAGGCCCTTCAGAATTGCAGGAGCTAAATCTAAAGGCTGTAACTTTGGAGAAAAGTCTAATCTCTCACCCCATTATGACTTTCTGTGTTACTTTTAACTCCCACCCTTCTGAAAAACAAATTACCTGCTGCAGAGTATTTGAAAGTGCTCAGGTATTGGATGGCTACCCTGTAAGAAATATTTTCTGCCTCACGCTAAAGCAAGTAAAGAGAGTAGACTCTCTCCCATGCCTTTCCACAACGATATGTTTTCCTAGTGTTCATTGCTAAAGGTATATTTCTTAGGAGGGCCATGTAGGGATATGGAAGAAATATGTGAAGTAGTAGAGGAAGCTGTTAGGAAAAATCTGTATTGTATTAAACGAAGAGCTCTCTTGCTGTATGTAGGACCACTTCTTGAGCATGGCCAATTCTGAGCTATTTTAAAAATAAACTAGAGCACTGTGATTGCTGAATGATAGCATTGCAGTTTCGCTCTATATGCTCTGGGTTATGTAATCCACATTTTCTCTTCTTTTCTGGTAAATTGTTTGAAGTAATGCAGGTGGGAGAAGTGTTCTGATTTGAATTAAGGCCAGGTGAAGACAGTGAAATAATCAGTTACTTTACAGTTTTGCTTTTTTCCCCCACTTTTACCCTTAACCAGTCACTGTGAGTAACGCCATGTCAACTCTGCTCTCTAGTAACATTGGTGGTTCTTTTTCTTTCAAAAAATTTTTTCTCACTTTTTTCTAACTCCTCTAAAAGAAATTGTTTCCCCCACAAAAGAAAATCAGAATTATTTTTATAAAGTTCTCAGCAGCTCTTTAAAATATTCTTTTTGGCTGATGAATCCAGTCACTTTTGATCTGTGAGCATAATGGATAAAAAACTTGTATGAAATTGAATCTGAAAATGTCATTTTATTGTGAATAGATCCAAAATGTTTTATTTTTGACAGTCCCAGATAAAGGATGATATAATTAGGCATCTGACTTAACTATGAGAGAATTTTTTTCTTAGGCAAATTACACGGTTGTTTTTCAAATGGACATGGGCAGAATTAACCAGATTTAATACCATTTTGCTCACTTGATATTAAAAAATGTGTGCGTAAATGTATATATATATAAGTAATTTTTTACATTCTTGACCATGTATTACTTCCCATTTCAGGTTATAACCAGTAGGAATTTGCTAGTTCACTCCGGTAATTATCTGTTCTCCTAGCTGCAAACACTGCTAAGTAGCCTTTAAATGCAGCTGAGATGATTGTTAAAAGAACATTTAAAATCCTTCCATTAAAAACAAGTAACCAAATTTGGTAAAGTTCTTTCTGACCATCTGGGCTCTTGCAAAAGTTGAGAAATCTAGGGCACTATCAGGAATGTCACCAATAGCTAGTTATTCGAGAGTAATTTCATGTGTGAGGAATGCGTTGGAAGACTATTTTAAGTCCACATATTTCAAGTAGGTTTTATTTATTTGAATCTGGGAACATAGGGATTGAAAAATTCTCAAGGTAAGCTTTTGGTTGTGAAGTCATTTATAACCAAATCAGCAGTGATCAGTGAAAGCTGGAGATTATAATTGAATTGGGGAGTGTTGAGGCTCTTATAGCGTTAACTATTTGAAGTTGTTATAGAAACCGTATAGTAAAATATGACGTACACACATATATATGTGTACGACGTAGGTAGTAGGATGTTAGAATGGTTGTATTGTCTATTGTCTCAGTTTCACAGAGCCACCCATAATACAGCGACCAAAAGACAGCTGCCTCATATAGAAAGTCATGATCCTGGTCCATGGCTTTTGTATATATGAGTCCAGAGGAGACAAGAGAAGATGTCTCTTTAGAGACAACTGTGGCCATGTATTGAGTCATCATTACCCTCTTGGGAGAAAAAGTAGAGTGTACTATCTTGTAACCCAAAACCCCAATAGGAGGCATTAAGAGGACTAATCAGAAAGCTCTGAATTATTTCTTGCAGTTGGAAAACCAGAGGCTTGTGCCTGCATCAAGCCTGGGAAGTTTAGAGGGCCCATGCATTTGAGACTCACCCTGAAACTCTGGAAGGCCAGGAGAAGAGGGGCTGGCCAACTGCTTGGGTGGTAGGGTAGGAATGCTCCTGCTTGCGAAGTGGCCAATATTTCCCAGTTTTTGTCAAGGCATGAGATGTGTGTGTTTCCTGGGGATCAGTTCTGGACTGTGCAAAGGAGAGGGCCAACGTGGGGTTGTTTTTGATATACTTCAATACAGTAACTGAAGGAGTCATGGAAAAGTAGCATATGAAGTCCAAGGCAGATGCCTAGATGACCTGGGGCTTGGGATGGGGGATCCCTGGCCACCCACCTGGGATCTAGTGAGCTGTTTGAGAAAAGAACCCAACAGGAAACCTCTGCAGAATCCATAAAAGCTTATCAAAAGAGAAAGTGTCAGCCCTAACTATCTGCCAGGCCCAGAGACAGCCAAGCTAGATTATAACAGAACTAGCACAAGGAGGAGCCCTTCTGTCTCTTAGTTTCTTCAACCTTGAGAAAGGCAGAATGCTGGCTAATAAGGTGGAGGGGCCACAGGGTGATCTGGAGGCTTTCAGTCTGAAGCAGGGCCAAGCTGAGAAGGGGAAAGATTCCATACAAAAGCAACATGGTTGTGGAGTTTGTTTTCTCACCTGGGACTGTATGTGTAACCTGAAGTTGTTTTAGAACTGCCCATTACCTGTGAACAGCAAACTCGTGGGCCTGCTGTAGTTTTTATCCAAGGGCAAAGGAAGATTATTACCACCTAATCAAATTTAGAGGGGCAAGGAGAGTAAAATGTTGTGTTTTATGCAATGGATCATGCTTGTTCAGCATACTCGTTACATGAAGTTATGTATTTGTATGCTTATTTCTAAACAGACATGCTCTCTACAAAACTCCTAGGTACATACCTATGTATTCAACACATATTAATAAATGTATCTATTTAGATTAATAGAACCATTTTTTTCAGTAAAATAATTTGCTTTAGGAACCAACATTAATCAATTTCAAATTTTCAATATTTCACGGTATCAGTTTTTCAACATGCTTGTATTACTGTTTTCTCCCATTTTAATATTAGAGATAATGAGAAAACAAAAATATTGTGGGGCAAACACCTATGAAGAAAAACAGGATATATAGAATAGATTCAGTAGCAGGAAAGCATGTTAAATTTTCTCTTTTTCAGTCTTGTAGTACCTGTCTATTCTAGAACATCTTTCCTCCAGTGCAGCATTTCCTAAAATATGGCCTTCAGGATAGTAAGAGGAAGTATTTGAAATGACGGTTTCCTAGTTAGATATGTGAGGGAAACACATTTCCCTTTGCCAAGCTCTACCAGCCATGGGATTTCTCAAACTCTCTGTTAGTGTATGTTGTAAATTTCACAGTGGCATTGCCCAAACATATTTGGTAACAGCACACTGTTTTGATGGGGGCTGTGTTTTGAAAACATGCCTTTAAGATCCCTGGTGGACTGTTCAAGTCTCATAGTTACCCTCACAAATACAGAACATAGATTCCAGATCCCAAAAATATCAGATGATTCTAATGATGATAAGTTATTTCTGGAGGCAAGGAAATATATTCTGCCAATTCGTTCCTTTCTGGTTTGGAGGAAACTACTTAATGCAGATACTACTACCCTTGATCATAGAAGGAGTATAAATAATTGAGTATACTGCAACCCTAAGGTGATCATTCTTGACTTTGTGGCTGGAGAAAGTTTTGACATATCTAAAACCTATTTAGAAGACCATCTGCGTACAGCATCTACATGAGCCTAAGAATGCAAGTAACTTGGTTTTATTAAACACTTTTGCATCTGTGAATCTAGATGTAGGATTTAGCTTGGTACAGTTAAGATCACTCTGCCTCGTAGTATAGTCTGAAGTCGGGTAATATGCCTTAAGATTTGTTCTTTTTGCTTAGTCTTGCTTTGTCTATGCAGGTTCTTTTTTGGTTCCATATGAATTTTAGGATTGTTTTTTCTAGTTCTGTGAAGAATGATGATGGTATTTTGATGGGAATTGCATGGAATCTGTAGGTTGCTCTTGGAAATATGGTCATTTTCACAATATTGATTCTACCCATCTATGAGCATAGGATGTGTTTCCAGTAATTTAATGCTGTGGGGGGTGGGGGAAAGAAAACAAAATCATGTTGTACATTGAAAGGGAAAAACGTAGATGGTCTCTAGAGTGGAAAACTGTTGTCACTTTATCTTGCAGTGAAGACTCATTCATTCGACAATAGTTGGGTGCCTACTATGAGCCAGATTATATGTGAGGCCCTGGAAATGCAATGGTACTCAAAGATACACATAGTCCTTGCCACGTGGAACTACCAGTTCAGCTGGGGAGATAGACAATATCAAACAGCCATACCAAAAACTGTGAAAGTGCTTTCATGAAGGAAAAGTTCCAGATGCTATGACAGTATGTCTTAGGGGCTTTGACCTCATTAGTGAACATGGGAAAGTTTCCTCTGGAAAGTGACAATTGAGCTAAGATAGGAATAGGAGTTAACAAGTGAAGGAAGGGAGGAAAGCACATTAAGGGCAGAGAAAGCAGCAGGTACAAAACCCAGGGCCAGAGGAAGCAGGGTTGGCATCACCAACCAAGAGAGGACCACATACCCCTGGAGCGGGGGAGGTGGGGGGAAGAGGATACTCCTCTCCCATCTGATCTTGAGATTGTTTCCACCTGTGATGACTTTGCTCTGAACTCTTCTCTTTCGCAGAGTGATGGTTAAAGCCCAATGGAAAATGCAACCACATTTCTCCCCTTTTTTGTGCATTTACTTTGGAAATTTCTAATATAGAAGAAAAGATTTTTGTTTTACAAACTTGAGAATGAGCATGAGTAGCTCCTTACCGTTTCCCCCATGGGGAGGGTGTGTGTGTGTGGGTAAAGAATCTGTTATCATTCATTGTCTTTGGGCCTCTTGTGAAATGCTTAGAAATACTCAGTTCCATTTAAATTAAGGATCTGCAACCCTGGGTCTGACTGAATTAGCTTTTGCCAAATGGCCATCATTTCTAACTAACTGTGGCTTTGAAGATCTTATGTATTCCAGTGTGGTGTAAATTACCCTTTGGGGGCATGTGCTGGTAATTCTCCATCCCCCGCCTTCCTAGCCTATTAGGCGACCTTGTCTGCCCTGCTTGTTGACCCAGGAGGTTGACTGTGTCACCTGGGCTTCCATGTCTCTGTCTTCCAGTTTGGGCTTGGTCAATGGGAGGTACTGGAAAGAGACCAGGCAATGGGCAGAGAGAGAGAGATGGGGGATGTTTACTCCCATGGAAGTCTTTCTCATCATGTTTTTCAGGGTCTGTGTCCCTTCAAGGCTGTAGCAGTGATGATAGTCGTCCCACTCCCCACCCCCTACCCCTAACCCACCCACCTTTACCTCACCAGGCTCTGATAACATGTTCTCTTTCTTTGCTTTTTTAGGCCCAGGATACTAAAGGCATTCTGCTGTAGCTAGTACCAGGGGCTTCAAATCCTTACCTTGTAACCCAACCTCCACCTCTGAAAATAGTTTATTTCTCTTCAAAGTTGCAGAGGAGTATGACATCTGTGTCCTGTCAGGATTCTGACTGATGCCATCAGAATCTGGTTTTTGGCTGCCCATTTTATTCTCTCCCTTCCAAAACCTGAATAGGCTTCAGATGGAGATAACTAGGGACCAGAAGAAGGATGGTGAAATTCCCAGGATTATACAAGCTCACTTTCCTCTCTTTGGGCCCAAAGTAGATCAGTCTCTGGAGAAACGAAGGACACTGTTTGTCATCATATATCTGCCTGGCTGTCATTCAGGACCTAATTGGACTCTCGTAAATTTCATTCTTTTCATGCTTGTCATGTTTCTGGGCCCCTGAGAAAATTCTTGCCATGCAAATTCTGAAGCAAGACATTTTGACATAGCCATTTTGATGCTGTGGGTATTTTAATCTTCAAAGTGCAAAGAATAGAATATAGGTCATAGGCACAATAGACATCTTCACACCCTCCTGGGCCCTCTGCCTCATCCTTGTACCTCATCTTCACTTGAATTGTATTTTTACTTTGTAAAAATATTCTTACATATATGCAAAACTCAAGAGAATAGTATGGATTCTCATGCATCTGTCATCCAACTTCCATGATGATCAACCTATACTTGAGCACATGTATTTTTTCCTTTTCTTTTCTTTTTTTTGAGACAGAGTTTCACTCCTGTTGCCCAGGCCGGAGTGCAATGGCATAATCTTGGCTTACTACAACCTCCACCTCCCAGTTTCAAGCAATTCTCCTGCCTCAGCCTCCCAAGTAGCTGGGATTACAGGTACCCACCACCATACCTGGCTAAATTTTGTATTTTTGGTAAAGACAGGGTTTCACCATGTTGGTCAGGCTGGTCTTGAACTCCTGACCTCAGGTGATCCTCCTGCCTCAGCCACCCAAAGTGCTGGGATTACAGGCATGAGCCACCACACCTGGCCTGTGTGTTTCTTTTTTGCTGATGTTTAAAGCAAATCCTACTCAATTATTTCACCTATAAATACTTTAGTATGTTTATTTAGCAGATAAGGACTTTAAATGTAATCACAGTAGCATGCAATAAAATGAGCAAGCATTCTTTAATATATGATAAATAGTCCATGTTTGATTTTCATTCATTTCCTCACATTTTTTTCAGTTGAGTTTTTAAAATCATAAGCCATATGACATCCATGCATTGCCTTTGGTTGCTTTGTCTCTTGGATTTTCTTTAATTTCTCTCAATCCTCCACCTTTAAATTTTCTTATTGAAGTATGACAAAAACAGCAAAAGTGCACACATTTTAAGTGTTTAGCTCAATAAATATTTTCAAAATAAACATCCCATGTAACTATTTCTCAAAGATGTAGAAAATACCACTCACTAGCACTAGTACCCAGAAATTTCCTGTTCACTAAGTGAACACCTGCTCTGCAAGATATACACCATTTTAATAATCATGGATTGATTTTATCTGTTTTTAAACTTCAATAGAATAATACAGCAACTTATCTTTTTGATCTGTCTTTGGGGAATTTCAACTGTCTTTTAGGAAAAAAAAAGCTTATTGGGGTATAGTGTGTATATAATAAACTGTGCCCATGTAAAATTCATTCATTGAGCTTTAAAAGAGGGATACACCCATGAGTCCACCAAAATCAAGGTGCAGAACATTTCTGCCACCCCTAAAACTTTCCTTGTGCCACACTGTGGACATTTCCTTCTGTCACTCCCAGCTCTCAGGCAACCGTTGATTTTATTTTCTGTCACTAGCGGTGATTTTGCATTTTCTAGGATTTTTAATGAATTAACCCATAATATGAACTCCCTTGTGTCTCGCTTCCTTTAGTGAACATAATGACTTGGAGAATAGTGGTTGCATGTGTTAATGTTCCTTTTTATTGCAGAATAGTATTCCATTGTATGGTTATTCGACATTTTGTGTATCCATTCACTTGGTTCACATAGGGGTTGTTTACAAGTTTGGATTATTGTGAATGAAGCTGCTTATGTATAGATATTTGTGTGGACATGTATTCATTTCTCTTGATTAAATTGTTAGAGTGGTACTTACCCCAATTTACCTAGTACTCTTTCTTCCATCCTACATTCTATGCTTTCATCTGGGAAATTTTTAATCTGCCCAAATAACCCCCTTTAGTTCCTTTTAGTGTTTCCTTTAATGTGGATTTTATCTTCTTGCAGAGATATGTTAACATTCTGGCAGGTGGATACAGTATAAGCAAGTTATATTGATTTAATCCAGAAATGATATTTTTCAAATTCTGTGGTCTATTTCTAGTTTGTCCTAACAATTCAAGCCTTTTGAGTTTCTCAAATGAAATTTTGGGGCATTTACGATGGCCCTTTCTCCTTAGTGTCTTCTAAATTGCAATTTTGTCTCCCCAACCCTTTTAGACTGACAAAATGGCTCCTTCGTTTTTGGTCTTTTAGCATTGATTTTTGCTTAGTTAATTGGTCTCTTCATATGTTTGCAGTTTAGGAATTTGCAAATATCTCAAGGGGAAATTACGTTAGGAGTATTGGGATCACTTTTCTTTGGTTCACCGTTCTCACAAATCTTAGTCCCTCAAGTCCTAGCTGCTGCTTCTATAGCCCTTAACTTCCAAACTTCTCTCTCTAGCTCAGAAACTGCATCAAGCTCTAGCTGCTGCTTTCTACTTGGTTTATTCCCTCACGATGCAAATTCGCAAATGCCCTTAGGACACAAAGTTGCTTTAACTATAGAGCTCACCTCAGTGGGCTTTCTTTGCCTACATCATCTAGGATGCTTGAATCTTGCATGCCTTGGTTGTGCTCTGATGCTTTTGAACAGCTTTTTTTTTTTTTTTAATTTATGCATCTATCACAATTACTTTCTGCAGGAGGATTAGTCTGATGTATGAAGTTATTCATTCATAGCCAGAAGCATAACTTTTCCAGTCATGTTTTAAGGAAAGCCCTCCATTCCCACCCCCAACACACCATTTTTTAAAATGACATTTGTTTGTTGAGAAGATATGCCATTCACACCCTCTTTGAATTTTTCACACATTTGATTTCTGATTTGCATTTTTGTAGTCATTCTTAAACACGTTTCTTCTGTTTCTGGTAAATATTTGGTTATATATCATAGGATGTTAATATATCTCCCTATGATAGTAACATTAATATATCATAGGGAGCATCACACCATGAGCCATAAAATGAAAAGATTCCTGAACTTTGCTCCACAGTGGAATCACCTAAAACATCTCAAATTAAAATTACTGATACTCTTACCCCAGACATTGTGATTTGATTGATCTGGTACACGACCTGAACATTAAGATTTTTAAGAGTTCCCCAAGTGATTCTAATGTGCTTCAAAGTATGGGAACCACTGATGTAATGTACTATTATCCCACATTTAGTTAAGTTAGGATTGATCCTAGATTCACATGTTGTCAGTGTGATGCCTTAAATATCAAGTTTCCAATTAAGCTTTAAGGCAAAGGTTTTGCAGCTATGAATGGTGGTTGTCTAGACCCATTATTTCATTAAGAGCTGTGAAATGGTGATTTTCTAAATCTGTCATTCCTCCTGCTTTTATTAACTGTGATTCCTCTATGAGGAAAAACGTTCCCTCCATGTCGTGTTGTTACTTTGAAAGGTTGTCCATACAGGAAAGGCAGGGTAAGTGTTTAATTTCCCTTAGTTTCTTTTTGTTAATATTTTCTAAATCATAAGTTGGTGTCCTGGCAACTTCTAAGGGTGACCATTGATTTTTACTCTTAAGAAATGTTTGAATGTTTGTGTATTTGATCTATTTCATTCTACCACTTTCATTGTTTTTATTGAAGTTGATTTGTCTTGGCCAGTGGGAGCCCCTTTCAAGTTAGCTCCAAGTCCTTTTGACATTACTCTAGTAGGTTTTGATAGCTTTCCACAACAAAATTTGCCAATTCATCATGTCTATTTCCTGGAGCAGATCTGGAATCAGTCATTTCTTTAAGAATCCCTGGTCCCTTTCCGTGAAAAGAAATGCTTAAAAGTCCAAAATAGAGGCACTAAGTACAACCTTATCCTTATCTCTCAGCCTATTCATTTCTCCCAATTTACTTGACAAGACTAATCATAATAATAACCTAATTCAATTTTTTACCACATACTGTATATATGTTTTAGGATACTTCTCTGCACTTCAGTGTTCACATCTATGAAATGGGAATGATAATTGAAATAATCTAAGCATAATGCTTGTCCCATTGGCTTTACAATAGACAGCCAATAGGAATAATGATGGTGACAATAGTAATTATGTGGCAATAATGGTAGTAGTGATGGTAGCAGTTCATTTTTTCAACAAATTATTATGTATCTAATGTAAGCACTGGACATAGGCAGTAGTAGTGATGGTCATAGTAGTTATTTTTTAAATAAATATACCCTTCCTATATGTGAGGTACCATATTGAGTACTAGAGATGGAATGGTAAACGAGACAGGCATAGCCCTTATCTTTAAGGGGAGAAATGAAAGACAAACTGGCAAATATAAATTATTTTTGATCAAAAAGCATTTACTTAGGTAATTCTCTAACTTCTACTAAAATTCCAAGAAGTTTCATACCAAAATCAAAATGACTGCTTCAAAGTGGTGCTATCAAAGTGGCCATAATGAAATGTCTCCTACCCAAGTGTCCTATGCATTTTGCTGAGTCTTTTTTTTTCTCTAAGCACCTTTCCCTTGAGAACTAGTTTTAATGAAGGGGATTCTTTTGCAGTGACTCAGAGGGTTGAAACTGGAGCTTCTCTTCTCTCTCTATCCCTGGTGCTGCCAGGATTCCCAGACAGCAGCTGTTTCCCAAGGAGATCCACCTGTCTTGGAAATGGAAGGAAGCCCCACCAGCCCCCACCATGACTTGGCCTCAGAGGAGGAGAAAGGCACCATCAAAGCAAGGGTTTCTATAGAACCCAGAGTCAGGAAGCCACTTGGCTTTCTCTGTTACTTTAGAGTGAAAATGAGGTCACAGGATGTCCCTTTCTGTGAATGATTGAATAAAAGACCAAGAGAAAACCTTCTCCGTGTCCAACAGCTAAAAGTATCCTCATGCTGTGAAGGACTCACTTTTTTGGCTTTTTATGTAGTAGCCAAAAGACAGTCTCAGCAGGATAGGAGCACAGGACGCTGGAGAGGTGAGAGCGGTTATTTTCCTCCTCTCACTTCTGGTGATGCCTGCTTACTTCATAGCGGGGGAAAGCCTCTTAATTGGAAAAAGAATAACACAAAATTTTCAGCATTTTGCCACTCTTGATCTTGCGTTATTTTCTCTTACTACATAGGAATTTATCAGGATTCTTCCTCCTCTTGATCATTGTGTCCATCCATAGGAATTTATCCAGCTCCCTTTTGTGGAAAGTGAACTGTTTTTTAACTGTAGGACATGCCCAAGTCTGGTAACCTTGAGGATCTTGTTGTCTAGAGGATGAAGGTAAAATTCATTCATTCTGGCCAGGCGTGATGGCTCATGCCTGTAATCCCAGCACTTTGGGAGGCCAAGGCGGGTGGATCATGAGGTCAAGAGATCGAGACCATCCTGACCAACATGGTGAAACCCCATCTCTACTAAAAATATAAAAATTAGCTAGGCGTGGTGGTGCATGCCTGTAGTTCCAGCTACTCTGGAGGCTGAAGCAGGAGACTCACTTGAACCTGAGAGGTGGAGGTTGCAGTGAGCCGAGATTGAGATGGCGCCACTGCACTCCAGTCTGGGCGAGAGAGCAAGACTCTGTCTCAAAAAAAAAAAATCATTGTACAAAGCTTAATTGATTCTGCACAGGATTCTTGGGCCTGGGTTAAAGTCATGAATCCAGTAGAAAATGCTCCTATTCTCCTGAGCAGGGGTTGACAAACTAAGACCAAATTCAGCTGTGGCCTGTGTGTATGACCCTTTGAGCTAATAATAGATTTATGTATTTAAAGTATTCTTTTTTAAAAATGCAAGAGACTATATATATATGTGGCTCACAAAGGCAAAAATACTTGCTGTCTGCCCGTTTAAGGGAAAAGTTTGCCAACCCTGCTCTTGGACATTTATCCCGAGGCTGCTTTTTCTATTATATAAAGGTCATGAGTATGGGCTCAGAGTTCCAATTCTGACTCGGCCACTTACTATGCAGTCTTAGGCAAGTGGCTTCACTCCTCTGAGCTTTTAATCTGTCAAAAGAAAATACTAAGAGTCAGCCAGGCAGCAAATATTTATGGAGTATCTACAACTTACCAGGGATTTCTAGGCATGGGACATGGAGTAAGATAATAAACATACACACAAATAGATGACTTAAATTCCTATAAAACTATGAAGACAAATGGAGCCAGGTAGTAGAGGTGGGGAAAGGGTAGTGTGGTTGGGGGGTTTATGTGCAAGAAAACGGCTTATGAAGGAGGGGAGTGGTCAACTGGCCAAATGCCACTAAGTGGTTCAGTAAAGGGAGGCCAGAAATTGGCCACGGGCTTTGGCAAGATGCGGTTTACGAGGGAGATGCTATGAGTGGCCTTTGGCCTTTATGCATTCATAATAAAAAGAAAAATGTGATTCTGGCTTTTTAAAGAACCTGGAGTAATCTTTCAAAGGAAACAAATAGGCTGAATTTAAAAAAACTTCTGCAAGTAATTTTATATTTCTGACTCTAACAATTGTATTATAGATAATAAGGAACAAAGAAATTAATGACTGCCTGCTGTCCTTTTAGTTTGTGTCCCTAAGATCTGCTGCAGTATTCCAAAATTATCCTGCTCTTAGGGTGCTAATTGGAAACATTTTTCAATTGAAATCTTTTATAGGCTGGGCGCAGTGGGGCATGCAGTAGCTCTAGCTACTCAGGAGGCTGAGGTGCGAGGATTGCTTGAGCCCAGGTGTTTGAGGCTGTTGTGGGTTGAGGATAGTACCTGTGAATAGCCACTGCACTCCAGCCTGGGAAATAGAGATGGCGTCTCACTCTAAAATAAGGTATTTTCCACATGGGAATGCAAAAGAAATCATGTTAAAACAAATCCCTGTGACTTTTAAATGCATGTCTAAGCCAATATTTGCAAACAGCATTTAGGGTGAATTAGCATGGAACACTTCGGGTTTCTAACACAGAGAGGTATTCTCCCAAACTTCTTCTCCTCTTTCTCATTTATCACAAAGATTTTTTCATCTTGGTGCTCGTCTGCAGCATCAGAGGAAACTCTGGCCACACAGCACTGCATTACTGGAGAGAAAATGCTGGTGCCGTTACCCCAGGATAGAAAAGAAGAAAAAAGGCCAACGTCTATTGATTGCGATTTCTCAAGCAGAGTGATGCCTTTAACACTCTGTAATGAAAGTTTTTATATGTGAGAGGGATTACCAACACTGGGCTGTTACTGTCCTTTGATGTGCCTCAGAAATATTACAGAAGTTATTAAAGAATCAATTGTGGGAAGCCAACTGCCCTACTCGGGCAGCTTCTTGCTTTGCTCCTGGCTAATTTATGTAGCGGTGAATTTTCTTTCTTCGTCTCCTAGTTCAGTTTGTTAGCTTTTGAAAAGATTTTTTTTTTGTTGTTTTAGAGTGGTGTGAGAGTAGATTGGCAACCCGTTTAAGTTCAGGATAGCAAATGAGTTGAGACTAACAGCATCTATCTAGGCACATGTGAAACATGTTTGTGTCCCCAGAACTCACTGAAGTTGGCTTTCACCCATTTTACAGATGAGGAAAGTGAAGCTCAGAGGAGTCAGGACATGGCCAAGGTCACTGTGCCAATTGGATGTCCACCCACAAACGTGAAACAGGCTCATGTTACTCAAAGTCCAGTGATTTCTACTTACAGTACAGCAGCTCTGTGCCAGAGAGAAGGTTAAAATTGTTTAAAACCTGGAAACTAATGAAACATGAAGAAATCATATGCTATGAGCCTGTGCGTTCCCCAGATTTCCACTGAACTGGAAATTGTTGGGACACCACCGTGGGTCTGAAACCTTTCCCTGGCAGCTGGACTTGGTGTCCGCAGAGGCGCTCTGTGGCTTGTGGTTAAATCGCGCAGATGGAAACCAGGCAGTGCTTGGGTACGGGCTCATGCTTTCTCCTCGCTTGCCCAAATTAAGCTGCCTAACTGTGTTCCTGGGGAGGCTGAAGGTTTGTTGAGGGTCAGCTAGCATTTCCTAACAGCTCTCTAGAATGCGAGTAGCATACAGTTTCCTTTCCCAAGTGATGACAGACACAGTCATCGCGGAATAGCTTGAAAGATTTTTCTAAATTTGGACTGCTTTTATTTGGCTCCTTATATTAAATCCAAAGGACCTCACATAACACCATCTTTTGTACAACTGTTTTGATCCATGATTTTATAGCTTCTCAAGTCAGAAATGTTCCAAGTATGTACAGATTACCGCTTTATACTTAAATATAATAATTTGTTGTATTTCTAATACTTATTGTGTGTTTACTGTGGGGGCAGGTATTGTACTAACAGCTTTACACATATTATTTGATTTAGCTTTTGCAGTAGTTGTGGAGCTTTCATTATTCCTCTTATACAGGTAGGAAATCTGGGGGTTAAGTCACTTGCTCAATATCACACAGCTAGTTCATCGTGCAATCGGGATGTGGAATCAGGTGGTTTGACTCATGTCTCATATTCCTAACTATTGCCTCCCTAGATTAATAAAGTCTTTGAGGATATTTTGGGCACATTTCTTTTTATTAAATTGCTTTGAAGGTTATTTATTTCTTACAGATTTTGTTTAGGCTTGTGGCAATCTACAGTTGTATTTTGCATAGAAGGAAACTAACACCCCAAGAAGTAAAATGTCCACAGCATGGTTCTTCTTACACTCTCCCATCCTTGCCCCTTTTACTCTGTTCTCTTTTGCTCACAAGATACCTACCTCTGAAGGAGTTTAGTGTCAGGTTTCAAGATTCTGCATTATTGATAACTTGCTTAGTGTCCAAAGGCTGGAGAAGCTATGTTGCATTGTCTCCTCTGGGTCTAGAAATAACCTCTGTTGTATTGTCTAAGAAGGTAGTGAGGGAAAGAAATCCATTCTCAAAAGAGAACTTTAGTTTTTTTTAACCCTTTCCTCGGTGACAATGAATTTTAGAAAATTTATTTACATTAAGGTTTGTTGATTAATTGAGAATAAGATAAAGATACTAAGAAGTATGTCCTTCCCATGATTTTTGGAATTAGGGTCAAATTATGGCGTTAGCTTGTTCTAGAAAGTTTATCTCCGAGGTATTCTTTTGGCCACATTTTCATCCGATTAGTTTTGTGAGCCAGACCTGGAAATCAGGACTAAATTATATTCTGTGCCTTTGTCACCTCTTTACGTCCCTGCGGAAACTGTCATCTGCCAGCATTTGGAGAAGACGCGCTCTCCTACAACACCTCTTCTGTATTCAAGTCATCTTTACTACAAAAACAAAAGACATGGAGCCCCTTGGTAACGGGCCATGTCAACTTGGAGCTAAGATAGTTGTTCGGAAGAGAAGTACAGGTGTAGAAACACAGCATGTGCTAAAAGTAGTTTCTGTGGAAAACCTGATCCTTCTATTCCCTGTGGTTACTGAGTGAGTAGAACTCCTGGCAGAAATCAGAGAAATCGTTCTCATACATCATTTACTCTTTCACCACTAACCACTCTTAGAGGAACCAATCATTTAAGAATTAGTCAGCCCCTGAAGATGTCTGTGGCTGTCTTCATGATTTTCCCCCATTTTTGAAACTTAGTAGTTGCAATTAAAAAAAAACAAAAAACAAAAAAAAAACACTTCTTTCCCAAATTCTCCCCAGCCAAGAGCACATTCTAGTTGAATCTAGAGACTGGCACAAAAATAATTTCAATTTTCAGAGTCCTACCCGTGGTGTTTCTTGCGTCCATCTCTAAATCCCAGTAGAAGATGCTGGTAGTCTGCCCAGTTCTGTGTAGCTGTGTGGTACAAACAACAGCTAACTCTTTTTTTCATGTTTCATCTCAGAAGAAACTGGGTTTTCTGTGTTACCCAAAGTGATTTATTGTTTTCCATGCAAATGAGAGTCGGATTTTAAAATAGCATTAAGATGGTTCTAGAGGAAAGGCACGGTGCCCACGTAAGTCATTATCTGGGGATGCCGTGCGACACACGCACATGGTAGCATATGGTGGCGGTGGATGGACTGAGGCCCAGAGAGACAATTTGATGGATTTCTTTGAGACTCTGAATTAGACAGTGCCTCCGGAGATGAAAGAAGGCTATTTTTCATAAAGTTATCTCCCCTCCCCCTGCCAACTTCCCCTCTTCTCTAAGTGTTAATTTTTTTCCTCTTGTTCTAGGGGATGGGCCCCTGGATTAGGTTGATGACAGATTAATGAATGGATAGGTCCAGCAAGCACAGGCATTGTTGCCATCTCCCTCCGCATTTCTGCATGGATCCCCTAGATGTAAATCAGAATAATAGTTAGTGAAACAATGCTCAGGTGCTGGAAAGACAGGCTCTTGTTTTTAGGCTCTCTGGAAAATTTTCCCTTTATTTGATTTTGGTGGTTTCAGTCATATGGTCTAATACAGTTTCATACAAATGTAATCTGGCTTCCCCAGCCTAGTACAACCCAAATCAAAATGATATTATACCTCTTCACAGCTGTAAATCCTTCCTCAAATTAAAGCTCTGAAACCTAATCTGCTAGAAGTCTACAGAGGAGGAGGGGCGCCTCAAGCTCCCCACCAAGAATAGCATTAAGCATCTAATGACAACTTGACAGAGACTTTTATCTGTTGTCCCCTGTGAAATAAAATCTTCAAAGTTATCTGCCTCCTCTTTGAAACTTAGCACAGGCTGTACTTGGCCAGGTGTCTCAAAGCTGATACCAAGAGGGCAAAGATTGAGAGTGTTTTTTACTCAGTTATTTCTGTGTGTTTTTTTTTTTTTTTTTTTTTTAATGACCTGGGAAGAAGTGAGTAAATTTGACATGTGGCTATTTTCCAAAAAAGGTTAAAGAATCCTAACAGGGACTCAGGTAAGACATTGATTTAATTGAATTCATCAATTAACCAGTGATTTAATTACTCTGTATAAACCAGAGGGACGTCAAGATAGGACAAGGAGTGGGTCAGTCTTGGGTGAGAGGAAGGATTAGAAAGCTGGAGAACTAGATGAGCTAGATTTCCTGGCAAAGTTCAACTGTAAGTGTTGAGTGGATGGGCAGGGGCCTGGCAGAGTCTCAGGGATGGCGTAAGGCTCACATAGTAGGCAGACACTGCTAAGACAAATGCTGGGTTAAGTGTCTCTTGCATCTAGAACACAATTAGTTCCCAGAGAGGCTTGTGGTGGTGGTACAGTGACTCCTTTTTTGTGTTACTATTCCAGGAATTTTCCAGAGCTTCTAGACATGGTCCCCTTAATATAGGATTTTGATTGCTTTGGAAAGAGTGGGTTCTTGCAACTCTAAACAAGAGGACAAACATGTATCCTTTGTGATCAACGAGAGCATTGCTTAGGCATTTTAGTCTCCCTGGGGGAATAGGGTAGAGGCTGATTATTCAAAATCATTTGCCTTCTGTCCAGTAGTGTCTTCTTTTGGTGTCGACTTCCTCACACTGGTTGTCATTTATAAAACTGATGGAATCACACTAGTTGTGTCACATCAGTTAATGATACCAGAGTACACACTTTAGGTTTCTGAGATAACTTCGAAAATGAAGCCAGACCTCCTGGCTAGAAGAATCTTGGAATACTTTATTGATAGAGTCCTTTAGGACATAGGAGTCAGGTAGGGTTCCTGTTTGAACCAGTCTCTGGGAGGATACTTTCAGAAAGATAACATAAGACAAATAGCCCTCCCATACGCTTTGATCCCCAGGGCAGCCAGTGTAACAAAGGAACAGGAGCAAGGTCCTGACACTGTCATTCAAAAAATACCTTTTGGGAGCAGCTATCAAGTGTCAGGCTAGCCAGACACTGTTTTAGGCTCTGAGAATACTAGAGTGAATAAAATAGTTTGTATCCCTGCTCTTATGATTCTAGGATTGTCATCTTTAAATGGGCACTGTGTTTCAAAGACTGCAAGTAGCCTACATTAACTTGGGACTTCTTAATAGAGGCAGTCTACCTAGATACATTAAAGCAATCAAGTGGGGACAACAGAACAAAAGAAAAACAGGAAGGGCATTATTCTAGAATCTGGCCAGTGACGGCTACTCAGCTTTAAGGGACAAGAACCTATCAGAGAAAGATAGAGTTGGAAAATCATTTTACTTTCCTTGAGTTGACTTTAATTCTGCTTTAATACTAGACACGGCTTTCATCATGCTAAACTAGGCTTTCCTGCAGTAATAAGCAACCTCTAAGTCTCAGAGGCTTAAAGAGAAGTTTCTTGGAGTTTTATTTCCAGAATGGCAGAATAAGGTGTTCCATGGACCATTTCCCAGAAAACATCCATAACTGATGAAAAATATAAAGAAACTCATTTAAAGTCTCTGGAAATTATTGTAATGGAATATGACAAATCAAAAGCACTTATGTGAGCAAATCTGAAGAATCTCCCTAAGAACATGAGAGTCTGTAGCATGTCAGACACAGCCTGCTATCTATCCCTTTCATGTAGCTCTGTGAGATGGAGCCTCCACTCTGGGCAGATGTGGCCAAAGAGATGGTGCTGCCTTTCCCCTCAGCTTCCAGTCAAGGGATATGGTATCTCACTGAGGAACAGGTCACTAGAATTTCTCATTCCCTCTGCCCTAAACTGCAGAGGCTAAGTTCTTGGTGAGAGTGGCGGAAAGTTTAGGAATTACCTTCTTCCACCTACCCCCAACTAATTAGGTGGATGTTCTACCCCGGGTATGGGAGGCTGAGAATATTGAGGCCCCAGTCCCCCTTGCCTCAGCTTACTCATAGGCAGATTCTATGCTGAGAGAGGCAAGCTGAGAGAGGCAAGCTAAGAAAGCCAGAGGCTGCCACCCCCAACAAGTCCCCTACTCAGAAAGTATAGGTGTTACTCTGCCTGCCAGCTCTGGAGCTCCAGGCTCAGATTTTGCTAGGGGTAGAAGCAGTCCATAAGAACTCTGAAGCTCATAGGAATTGATTTCATTTGAAACAGTGGGGGGAATGTCAAGCCTAACTAAGGTCATTGTCCAAAGCAATAGACATTGTGGTGATAAGCCATTAAAAGGAGGCTGGTAGCTCTATAAAATCTACAAGCTAACCCATCGATTACCTAGATGATCAGAGAGAATCAAAGAAAGGTAAAGGTAAGAGAGCCCTCCTGGAGTAACGAAAAATTGGCCTGAAGATCTAACTCCCAAAGGCCCTTGAATTTAATTGGGTCAGACTGTGGAGAAATTTATGCCTCTAGGGTATTTTTCAAAACAATAGAATGATTATCCAGTAATTAGTGAAGCATAACAGCTGGGTGTGAGGCCAATTGAGGCAGACAACAGAAATATCAGAGAAAGAGATAAAACCTTCAATATTCATTGTTCTCAAGTGTACATGGAACATTTTCCAAATATACCACATGCTAAGCCATAAAAGCCTCAATATATTCAAATGATTGAAATCATATAAAGTATATTCTCTAGCTACAATAAGGTGAAATTAGAAATCTAACATATTTTTGGAAACTTGCAAATACACAGAACTTAAACAACACACTCCTAAATATCCAATGAGTCAATTTAAAAAATCACAATGAAAATGAGAAACAATTTTATGTCATTGATGAAAATGAAGATGTAACATAACAGCTGATAGAATGCAACTAAAACAGGGCTTTGAGGGAAACATATAGCTTAAGTACCTGTATTTTTAAAAAATCTCAAATCAGTAACCTATGTTTCACCTTAATAAACTATAAAATGAGTAAACCACACAAAGCAGAAGAAAATAATAAAGGTTGGAACAGAAATTAATGAAATAGAGAATAGAAAAATAGAATCAATGTAACCAGAGTTGGTTCAAAAGATGAACAAACCAGAGAAAACTTTACCTAGACTGACTAAGCAGGAAAGAAAGAAGACTCAAATTATTAAAATCAGGAATAAAAAGTGGGACCTGGCCAGGCGCAGTGGCTCACGCCTATAATTCCAGCCCTTTGGGAGGCTGAGGTGGGCGGATCACGTGGTCAGGAGTATGTGACTAGCCTGGCCAATATGGTGACACCCCGTCTCTACTAAAAATACGAAAATTAGCCGGGTGTGGTGGCACATGCCTGTAGTCCCAGCTACTCGGGAAGCTGAGGCAGAAGAATTGCTTGAACCTGGGAGGCAGAGGTTTCAGTGAGCCTAGATCCCGCCACTGCACTCCAGCCTGTCACTGCACTCCAGCCTGGGTGGCAGAGCGAGACTCCATCTCAAAAATTAAAAAAGGGGACCTTACTACTCACCTTGCAGAAAGAAAAAGGATTACAAGGGAAAACAATGAATAAATGTATGACTATGAATTGGATAACTTGGATGAAATGAACAAATTCCTAAACAGATACAAACAAAACTGATTCTACAAATATAAAGCCTGAATAACCCATCAAAAGTAAAAAGACTGAATATATATTTTTTATAATAAAAAACTACCCACAAATAAAAGTCCAAGTTCAGATGACTTCACTGGCCAATTCTACCAAACATTTAAAAAATTAATATCAGTTTTTCAGAAACTCTTCCAAAAATTATCACTACATTCTATGAGGCCAATAGCATCCTGTTAACCAAAACAGACAGACATCACAATGCAAGGAAACTACAGACCAATATCTTATCAATACAGATGTAAAAATCCTCAGTGGAAGACAAGCAAACTGGATCCAGCAACATATTTTGTACCATGGCCATGTGGAATTTATCCCAGAAATGCAAGATCATTTTAACATATGAAAACTAATAAATGTAATATAGCATATCAATAGAATAAAGGATAAAAGCAACATGATTATATCAATAGACATAGAAAAAATATTTGAAAAACATTTAACACCCTTTCATGATAAAAACACTCAAGGAAATAGAATAGTATGAAACTTTCTCAACCTGATAAAAAGCATTATTAAAAATTCACAGCTCATATCATACTTAACGTAAAAAAAAAAAAAAAAAAGAGTGTTTTCCCCTAAGATAAGGAAGAAGGCACAGATATCCCCTCTTGCCATTTCCATTCAACATTGTCTAACAGTTCTAACCAGGGAAATTAGGCAAGAAAAAGAAACTGCATTCATATTTGAAAAGAAGAAAAACTTTATTATAAATGGCATAATCTTATATATAGAAGATCTTAAATCCACTAAAAAACCTATCAGAAATAAACAAGTTGAGCAAGTTTTTAGGATACAAGAACAATATACACAAACTCATTCTCTCTATTCACTTGTGATAGACAATCAGAAAATGAAACTGAGAAAATTCCATTTATGAGGGCATCAAAAAGAATAAATACTTGGGAATAAATTAAAAGCAACAAAAAATATAAACTCTGAATTTATGTATATTTGAAATAAGTTGAAGAATATCTAAATACAAGGCAAGACTTTTTATGTTTGGGGATTGGAAGAGTTATTGTTAAAAGTGCCAAAAATTGTTGAGTGCCATAAAGATTCAATGCAACTCCTATCAAAATCTCAGCAGATATTGTTGTAAAACTTGACAGGATAATCCTAAAATCATACAGAAATTCAAGGGATCCTGAGAATAGCTGAAACAGTCTTGAAAAAAAGTGCGAACTTGGAGGATTTCCTGGTTTCGGAACTCATGACAACTCTACAGTGATCAAGAGAGTGTAGTGCTGACATAACAATAAAGATCAATGGCATAGAACTGAGATTCCAGAAATAAACTCACATTTACTATCAACTGATTTTCAAAAGTGCTGCCAAGACAATTCATGGTAAAAACCTTTTAAACAAATGATTCTGGGGCAACTAGGTCTCCACATGCAAAAGAATGAATTTGGATCCTTACCTGACCCCATATACAAAGATTATCTCAAAATGAATCTTGGCCTCAAATGTAAAAGCTAAAACTATAAAACTCTTAGAAGGAAACATAAGCATAACAAATGGCCTTGGATTAGGCAAAATATTTTAGATATGATGTCTTAACAACATATGGAAAAAGACAACACAAGCAACAAATGGAAAAAGACACAAGCATTAAAAACTTT
The DNA here is from genome assembly GCF_000001405.40 of Homo sapiens. NCBI lineage: Eukaryota > Metazoa > Chordata > Mammalia > Primates > Hominidae > Homo > Homo sapiens. Next base: position 60,625,726 of record NC_000003.12, on the reverse strand, counting down.
TGTGTTTCCATGGATAACATCCAGAAGCTGAAAAGAAACTCCACAGAATGGGATAAAATACTTACATATCATATATCTGATAAGAGACTTGTATCTAGAATATATAAATATTTGTATAAACCCAATTTAAAAAATGGATAAAAGGTCTGAATAGATATTTATCCAAAGAAGATATACAGATGACCAATAAGCCCATAAAAAGATACTCAGCATCACTAGTCATCAAGAAAATACAAATCAAAACCATAGTGAGATACCACATCACCTCATAGGATGGCTATAATTGAAAAGAAGACATAGAGGAACTTGAACATACATTGCTGGTGAGAATGTAACATGGTATAGCCACTTTGGAAAACAGTCTATCATTTCCCCAAAAGGTTGAAAAACGAATTGCCATATGATTCAGCAATTCCACCTGTAGATATATACCCAAGAGAAATGAAAACATATGTCCACTCAAAAGCTTGTACGTGAATGTTCATAGCAACATTAAATTTGCTAAAAACTAGAAACAAGGCCAGGCGTGGTCGTTCATGCCTGTAATCCCAACATTTTGGGAGGCTGAGGCGAGTGGATCACTTGAGCTCAGAAGTTCAAGACCAGTCTGGGCAACATGGTGAAACCTCACCTCTACAAAAAATACAAAAATTTGCCAGGCATGGTGGCATGTGCCTGTAGTCCCAGATACTTGGGAGGCTGAAGTGGGAGGATTGCTTGAGCCTGAGAGGCGGAGATTGCAGTGAGCTGAGATTGTGCCATTGTACTCCAGCCTGAGCAACAGGGCAAGACTGTCTCAAAAACAAACAAACAAACAAACAAAAAAAAAAACTAGAAACAAGCCAAATATCTTATCAATTTCTGAATGGACAAACATGGCATATCCTGTCAATTCAATATCATCTTGTAAAAAAAAGGAATGAAGTACTGATACATGTTACAACATGGATGAACCTTATAAACATTACAGTAAGTGAAAGAAGCCAGTCAGAAAAGACCACATATGGAATAATGGACAGCCAGAGGGTCAGGCCTACCACAGACACATTTAACATTATTAACATTGCTAAGTAATTTCAGTAATATTATTTATTCCAAGTTTTTATTCTGCCTTTATCCAGTTTTTCTTCTTGGTAGACTCCATTCCCACCCTTCTTGAATATTTTACTTTTGGAATCATTGTCAAAGCAGTCCTCTCTCTTCATTCCTATTCTCATTCATGTTCCTATATTTATAAAACTATAAAACTTGCTCAGATTCCTGTATTTTGCTGGGACTCTCCATCAGCTTCCTAACTTGGGCTGGTCTTCTGTCCAATTCCATTCAAATCCACACCAGCTGTAGGGATTTTTCTAAACTTCATATCCAACCTGTCCTCTGCCAAATCTTGCCAAATATGTGTTCATCATTGTCAAGTTGAAGCCCAAGCTGCTCAGCATGGCTGACTTAAAAAGTAAGCTAAGCTTTCCTGCTGTCTCTTACCACTCCTTGCTTCTCATTTTGCATTCTGGCACCACTGAACTGCATGGACTTCTCTGCATACGTCCTACTGGCTTTTGCCTTCACACCACTGGCTCTACCATTTCTTCTCTCTGGGATGCTCTCCTCATTAACTTTTGGCCTCCTTACTCCACTTAGGCATGGATTAAACAGCCCTTTTGAATGTGCTCTGAGTCAGTTTTTCTGTTTTTCTCTGTATTACTATAACATTGTACTTAGCATGTTCTGCCATAATTATCTGTTCATGTATTGTAGAATTTTTCAAAAGCAAACACTATGTTTTACTCGTTGTATAGCACAGTGCCTGATGCATAGGAGATCCTGAAGTGGGGGGTATGGAGGGAGACATTGACCTTGAGAGAAGCCTTCTGTTCCCTCCAACTGGCTTCTTCAGGCAAGTTTAAAGACCAAATCGGGTTGGGCAAATAGATGGTTAACCGGTGTGTTCCTGAAGACACGCCGAAACGAGGACTTCCTTGCTCTTCCCATAGTTTTACTACCATGACAGTCCATTTCTAACTGCAATTTAATTTGTATCTTACCAATATGACATGCTAGTGCTGTTCCTTCTGCTTTAACTGAGCCTATGTATCACCCAGTGCCTCTCAAGCAATTGTTTTTTATAAGTCATAAAGGCTCTTGACTTAAACTTTGGTATGTGCGAGTTGAGTGATACAAACACACAGTATTTCACTTGAGGTCAGAACACAGCCCAGCACAGATTTAAAAAGAAAAAAATGAACATGTTTTACAGCTAAAATGATGGGATATAAATCCTTGTCCTATCATTTATTAGCTCTGGGACTGTGGCTAGATTACTTGATTTCTATAAAGCTCCAATATCTCATCTGTAAAGTGGGACTATTGGCTTACATAAGTATCATGTTAAATTGAGATGGCATGTCGAATTTAGAGCATGCCATGTAGCACAGTTCTTTCTTGAGCTGCAAGATCTTGTGCTTGCAGTGGAAAATAAAGTGATGGCATATTGGACAGGGGAGGTTACACTTTGGTGACAAATAGATCAGCCACGCAATTGCATTAAAAAAGTTATTTCTTGCTCATGTAACAGACTAGTGATTACTTGTTACGTATCTACTATGTGTGCCAGGTCCCGCACTAGGCACTGTAGGTATGGTCTTGAACAAGACAGGCAAAAATCTCACAGTGCTTCTAAAGATGGGCTTCGTGGGAGAAAAGGCTGATTATGTTTGCACCCACTGCAAGTTAAGGTGTACGACTGTCAACAGCAGCATCTTGAAGTCATGAATGTGTGTACCGTCTGAATTATCTGAATGTTGGATCCCTGCCTGGTTGGGTGCAGGAGCCTGGGAGAAGAGATGCTTCTTTTGAGCACGGAGCTCAGAAATGTGGCAAAGGCTGAAACTACTGATGAAGGACAAGGTCTTGGAATAATGTATTGTTTCAAACCTTGATGCACAAATTCTCTACTTCATGAGCGATTCTAGCGTAAAGCAGGCATGCTTTCTCTAGAAATGCCTCCCTCCAACCAAAAAACCCCAAAGTGAAAAAGAAGAAAAACTGAGAACACCAGAGGCCTTAAATTCTTATGAAGTATGAGTTTTAATGCATGCATCCAATCAGCCCAGGCTGAAGTGTTGACATTGGATTTATTTGCATGACTTAATAGCTTATTTCACAACCCACTCAAAAGCTCCTTTTCCCTTTGAGTTCTGATTGTTTTGTTATAGTCCCTGTGGATACAATTCACATCAGCACTGGGTTTACTATATATTCCCCCTTTGCCTTTCTCTCTCTTAAGTGTGTTAGTCCTTCCCACCTAATGACAAAAGCAGTTTCCTAAGCAACTGAGCACCAGAATGTGTTAAAAAAAAAAATCTAGATTTGTACGTTTCAAAAAATCCACATAAAGAACTGTGATTTGCTTTAAGGAAGGGGCAAATGGAAACATGGTTTTAATTGAGATATGGATATAATCCTGTTCCAGTTGGTCACAGATGATCTTTTCGGCCAATTTGGGACTGATGAGGAAAAGACCACTTGGGTGCTTGTTACCTGTAGAAAGTACTTTTAGGGGCACCGTGAGACATGGAGGCTTGCCCGGGTTTTCAATCTTGACTCCATCACCAATCATTGAGTCATCTCAAGCAAGTTATTTAAGCTCCCTGACTCCCAGCTTTCTTGCCTCTAAGATGGGGATAACAATTCCTATGTTTGTGTAGCTAAGAGAGCTCAAATCCTTAAGAAAAATGCAGAGGGTTAATTCTCCCTACACAGTGGACACCTCATTGGCATACTAGCTGTGTGGATGAAAGGTTGATTCTCTCTAGAATTTAACTGTCAGACCATGTAATTGTATTTTTTTTTTTTTTTGGAGAGTGTCTCACTCTGTCACCCAGGCTGGAGTCCAGTGGCATGATCATAGCTCCCTGTACCCTTAATCTCCTGTGCTCCAGCGATCTTCCCTCCTCAGCCTCCCAGTTGTAGCTATATTTTAATGGCCTGATTCCTTTTCATCTTGACTTAATTGCCAACCACTCAAGTATTTCTAGAGCCCATACTATGTGACTATTGCTGTACAATGCTCTGGAAAGCCAAAAGTGTGTTTGTATAGTGACCACCTTGCACATGTATTTTCTGGAGTCTTTTTTTTTTCACATAATGCTCAGTGCAGTCACTAGTAGTTGCTTTAAGGAACTGTCCAAATTTCAGAATGATATTTATAAAATGTTCCATTTATGTTTGAACACTTTTTGGAAATAAGTGTAATAGTAAGCATATTAAAAATTAGACTGGGGCTGGGCACGGTAGCTAGTGGCTGTAATCCCAGCACTTTGGGAGGCTGAGGCGGGCAGATCATGAGGTCAGGAGTTCGAGACCAGCCTGGCCATTGTAATGTAAACCCTGTCTCTACTAAAAATACAAAAAAGTAGCTAGGCGTAGTCGTGGGCACCTGTAATCACAGGTACTTGGGAGGCTGAGGTAGGAGAATTGCTTGAATCCAGGAGGTGGAGGTTGTGGTGTGTCCAGATAGTGCCACTGCACTCCAGCCTAGGTGACCATGTGAGACTCCATCTCAAAAAAAAAAAAAAAAAAAAAATCAAAAGTAGACTGGAAGCATAAATACCAAACTGTGAGGAGCATTTGCCCCAGGAATGAAAGGATTGGTGTGAAAACATCACTTGGGAGTTAAATGTTTTAGTCTGGATACTTCTGAGTGGTTTGACATTTTTTATAAGGCTATTTATATATTATTTGGTTTTAAGAAATCAATACACTATTTCTTTTTTAACAATTTTAGGTTTACAGAAAAATTGAGCAACGAGTGCAGAGTTTGCCTACGCCCCACCACTCCCCCAGTTTCCTTTATAATTAACACTTGCATTAGTGTGGTATATTTTTTACATTTGATGAGCCAATTTTGATACACTATTATTAACCAAGTCTGTAGGTTATGTTATGGTTCAGTCTGCATTGTACATCCTATGGGTTTTGACAGCTGTTGAATGACATGCAACCACTGTTATATCATTCAGAATAGTTTTACTGCCCTAAAAAATCTCCTATGTTCTATCTAGCCATCCCTCTTTCCCTCCCCCTCCTCTGAGCCCTTGCAAACCATTGATCTTTGTATTCTCTTCATAGTTTTTTTTTTTTTTCCAATGTATCCCATCACTGGAATCACACAGTATGCAGCCCTTAAAATTTGGCTCCTTTTGCTTCGCAGTATGCCTGTAAAGTAACTCCATGTCTTTCTGTGGCTCAACAGCTCATTTCTTTTTAGTATGGCTGAATAATGGTCTGCGTATACCATGATTTGTTTATTCATTCACTTACTGAAGGTCATCTCAATTACTTCCAGGTTTTGGCAATTTTGAATAAAGTTACTATAAACATCTGTGTGCAGGTTTTTGTGTAGAAATAAGTTTTCAACTACTTTGGGTAAATACCAAGGATTATAATTGCTGGATTGTATGGTAAGAGTACGTTTCATTTTGTAAAATATTGCGGGTCTTCTGAGGTTGCTATATCATTTTGCATTCCCATCCACAGTGAATGTGAGTTCTGTTGCCCCACATCCTCACTAGCACTTGGTGTTGTCATTGTTTTGAATTTTCACAATTCTAATAGGTACATAGTGGTATCATTGTTTTAATTTGCAATATCCTAATAATATATGTTGAGCTTCTTTTCATATGCCTGTATTCCATCTGTATGTATTTTTTGGTGAGGTGTCTGTTCAAGTCTTTTGCCCATTTTTAAATTATTTTTCTTAATGAGTTTTAAGACTTTAAAAAAAATATTTTGGATAACAGTTCTTTATCATACATGTTTCTTGCAAATATTTTCTCCTAGCCTTTGGCTTGTCTTTCTCAGTTGACAGTGTCTTATATCAAGGAGACGTTTTCAATTTTAATGAAGTCTAGCTTATCAATGATTTCTTTCATGGATTGCACCTTTGGTATTATATATAAAAAGTCACTTTCATGCTCAAGATCAGCTGAACTTTCTTGTACATTATTTTCTAGGAGTTCTATGGTTTTACATTTTACATTTAGGTCTGTGATTCATTTTGAGTCAATTTTTGTGAATAGTGTGAGGTCTTTGTCTAGATTCTTTTTTTTTTTTTTTTTTTTTTTTTTTGCATGTGGGTATCCATTTGTTCTAGATCCATTTGTGGAAAAGACTATGTGGGCTTTCTCTTCTGTTTCACTGATGTATTTGGTGGCTTTTGCCAATACCACACTGTTTCAATTACTATAGCTTTGTTCTAACTCTTGAAGTCGGATAGTGTCAGTGCTCCTACTTTGTTCTTCTCATTTAATATTGTCTTGCATATTCTGAATCTTTTGCTTTTCCATGTACACTTTAGAATCAGTTTGTTAATATCCACAAAAAATAGGTTGCTGGGATTTTCATTTTCTTTGTATTTATTAGGCAAAAATATTCCTTTATTTACATTTTATTCACATTTAGTTTTTTATGCGCACATTTAAAGGACTTTATTGTAAACAACGACAGTGATTCTAGAACAGTAGATAGCTTTTTTAAATGTAATTACTCTTGTAAGAGGAAAAAATACATGATACTAAAGGATTGTATTTTGTGACCACCTATAATGCAACAAATCATCTACTTAGTTGCTATGTTAATCTTTGCTGCTGTAACAAATTATCAGACTCAGTGGCTTCAAACAACACAAATTTATCATCCTGTGGTTCTGTAGGACAGAAGTATGATACTGGGCCCACTGGGCTGAAAAGGTACCAGCCGTACTGCATTCCTTTTTGGGGCCTTTAGGGGAGATTCTGTTTCATTGGCTTTTCAGTTTTCTTTGTGGCCCCCTGCATTCTTTGGCTTATGGTCCCTTCCTTCTTCAAAGCCTCCTTTTCACCTCCTTCAAAGTGGTCAAGTCTGTCTTATACAGCATCATTCTGACCTCTTTTGCCTCCTTCTTCCACTTTTAAGGACCCTTAGCATTATATTAGGTCCACTCAGATGATTCAAGGTCATCTCAAGGCCCTTAACTTAATCAAATTTCAACTTAATCACATTTGCAAAATCTTTTTGCATAACATATTCGCAGCTTCTTCAAATTAAAACGTTGACATCTTTAGGTGTGGCCATGATTCTGCCTGCCACAGTAGAACTTGTTTTCAAAGTAATCAGGTTTTGCCCTCAGCAAATTAACGCAGGAACGGAAAACCAAGCACCACATGTTCTCACTTACAACAGGGAGCTGAATAATGAGCACACGTCAACACATGGAGGGAACAACACACACTGGGGCCTGTTGGAGGGGTGCTGCTGGGAGGGAGAGCATAAGGAAGAGTAACTAATGGATGCTGGGCTTAATACCTAGGTGATGGGATGATCTGTGTAGCAAATCACCATGGCACTACCATCTCTACAGCAGCACAGCCTGTATCAAATAATGGTATGTTGGAGTAATTCAAACTGGAAAATAGGTAGCTAGGAGGACTGCACCTGAGCATATCAACCATGAGTTTCCATAAACCTGTAAAACAAAATAGCCAAAGAATTATTACATATATATATCTGTGGTTAAGAAATCATACCCCTCCTTTTTGAAAGGCCCAAATTCAAAATGAAAAGATACCACTACATTATATGACTGGCTTTCAAAAATTCCCCAGTGTTCTGCTTAACTTTTTAAATTTACTTTGTATCTTTTTTTTTTAACTCCAGAGTAGAAGAGTGATGCTTGATGTCCTCAAGTTACAGCCAGCATTTACTAATTCTTTGATTTGACTTTATAAAGTACTTATGCTTGAATCCAGAACCCAAGGATTTTTCAGTTATCACAAATTACTTTCACAGAAGGCTAATTTATTATTCTATGAGACAATCCATTAGATTGGTGCAAAAGTAACTATGGTTTTTGCCCAAAAACCATAGTTACTTTTGCACCAAGCTAAAATATTCTTCTCACTAAACTTTTTCTCTGCCAAAAGATCACATCTGGATAACTTTTTTTCCCCACATCTGGATAACTTAAGGCAAGCTTTTGTACCTCTTCTTCAGTACCTCAGAGAGAAAACAGCTTCTGTTTGATATTTGTGTAGTTTGTTTTGGCATAGTCATTGGAAAGGTCTAGGATTTTGGTTCCTGGACCACATATTAAAATAGCAATTCCCTACTGTTCAAATTGAAACTTGCCTGTAAAAATTCAATGTTAGTTTTTACCTGCTTGGTACCCTGAATTAAGATGAAAGGGTTTTAAAAAATCATCTTTCTTACAAAATCTGTGGGATCATTGTGACCCAATGAAAAATATACTTCCTGCAAAACTTTAACCATCTGTTTATTCAGATCGAGACTATTGGAAAAGGTACAAGGGACATTGGTCAACAATCAACAAAGGCATTTACAGGTAAATCCAGCTGAGTAGAGGAACTCATAGAATCCCTAAGTTTAGGTTTTCATGGGACAAAAGAAAGCATTCAGGAGAATGGCCCAAAATATTTACAGTATCAAGATCTGATATCATAATCCTTCATAGATCCCATTGTTTTGAAAGACGTTCAAGAGTGTGTGTTATAGCTTTTAGTTATTTTGATATGATGCTAACAATCACTTCTTTGCTAGCTCCTTTGGAACGAAGAAACATCTTCAGGTCCTGCTCATTGGGAACATTCTGTTAAAAACTCCAGGCTGTCGTTTCTTTGCCATGTCAGTATCCACTTCCATAGTAAGTTATTCAGTGGTTCCTCATTCTCCAAAGCTCATTGTCTGCATCGTTTCACTTCACACCAAAAAGCCTAAGTGAAACTGATTTGAAGAGCATTTCTGCTGAAAATCAGGTCATCCAACATTTTGAATTAAAGTGAAAGTTCTCATATACCAGAGATTTCTTGGTGCCATAATAGTCAGGTAGCCCAAACCTTTCGGAATGCTGTGTGCCGTAGATGGCTTTTACTTTGGCTTGGGATTTTTAAAACTGAGGTTGCATTGAATGTATAGGTCAAGTTGAGAAGAACTGATATCTTGACAATATTGAGATTTCCTGTCTGCGTATGTGGATAGCTTTCCTTTTTCTTAGATCTTTTGTATTTCTTTCAGCAAAGTTTTATAGTTTTCCTTATATAGATCTTTCACGTTTGATTTATACCTAAGTATTTAAATTTTTGGCATTAATGTAAATGGTATTGTGTTTTTAATTTCAAGTCCCAATTGTTCATTGCTAGCAATAAGAAGACAATTGACTTTGTATATTAACTTTTGTCCCACAAGCTTGCTATGATTGCTTATTAGTTCTAGAAGTGTATTACTTGTATAATTAAAAAAATTTTAAAAAAGAATCAAAGAGTATGGAGGAGAAACTTTCAGCACACCTGTGCACATCATAATCATTAAAATGTGATGAAATATGTTGACACCAGGTGTTGCTTTTGTGAATTTCCTGTAGTGGCTTAGAATCACTTTTGCTTATATTTTCAAATGTGAAGATTTGTATAATAAATTAAACTGAACAAACAAGAAAACATCTGGGGTGAGTTTTTGTAACAGGTGTTGTGTAAATAGGTCTTGTGGATATCCAAACAGGTGACACTACCTAAAATATACACACATGTTGGACTCAACATGCACAGAAACAAAGCATGTGGAATAGAAGAACCTAGACAATGGTAGTCCCAAGAATTGTGACCTAATGACAAGTGA